>NC_000013.11:16282173-16882173 GCF_000001405.40 Homo sapiens
AGCATTCTGTGAAACTTGTTTGTGATGTGTGTACTCAACTAACAGTGTTGAACCTTTCTTTTTACAGAGCAGTTTTGAAACACTCTTTTTGTAGAATCTGCGAGGGGATATTTGGATACATTTCAGGATTTCGTTGGAAACGGGAATATCTTCATATAAAATCTCGACAGAAGCATTCTCAGAAACTTCTTTGTGATATGTGCATTCAAGTCACAGAGTTGAATATTCCCTTTCACAGAGTAGGTTTGAAACACTCTTTTTGTAGTATCTGAAAGTGGACATTTGGAGCGCCTTGACACCTACGGTGAAAAGGGAAATATCTTCCCATAAAAACTAGACAGAAGCAATCTCAGAATCTTCTTTGGGATATATGCACGCAGCTAACAGAGTTGAACCTTTCTATTGACAGAGCAGTTTTGAAACAGTCTTTCTGTGGAATCTACAAGTGGATATTTGGATAGCTTGGAGGATTTCGTTGGAAACGGGATTACGTATAAAAAGTAGACAGCAAGCATTCTCATAAACTTGTTTGTGATGTGTGAACTCAGCTAACAGGCGTGGATCTTTCTTTTGATACAGCAGTTTTGAAAAACACTTTTTGTTGAATCTGCAAGTGGACATTTGGATAGATTTGAAGATTTCGTTGGAAACGGGAATATCTTCATATCAAATCTAGACAGAAGCATTCTCAGAAACGTCTTTGTGATGTTTGCATTCAACTCATAGAGTTGAACATTCCGTTTCAGAGAGCAGGTTTGAAGCACTCTTTTTGTAGTATGTGCAAGTGGATATTTGGAGCGCTCTGAGGCCTACGGTGAAAAAGCAGATATCTTCCCATAACCACTAGACAGAAACATTCTCAGAAACTCCTTTATGACGTATGCACCTCACCTAACAGAGAAGAACCTTCCTTTTGACAGAGCAGTTTTGATACACTCTTTTTGTAGAATCTGCAAGTGGATACTTGGATAGCTGTGAAGATTTCGTTGGAAACGGGAATATCTTCCTATAAAATCTAGACAGAAGCATTCTCAGAAACTGCTCTGTGATGTCTGCATTCAAGTCACAGAGTTGAACATTGCCTTTCCTAGAGTAGGTTTGAAACGCTCTTTTTGTAGTATATGGAAGTGGACGTTTCGGACGGTTTGAGGCCCATGGTGATAAAGGGAATATCTTCCCCTACAAGCTAGAAAGAAGCATTCTGTGAAACTTGTTTGTGATGTGTGTACTCAACTAAGAGAGTTGAACCTTTCTTTTTACAGAGCAGTTTTGAAACACTCATTTTGTAGAATCTGCGAGGGGATATTTGGATAGATTTCAGGATTTCGTTGGAAACGGGAATATCTTTATATAAAATCTCGACAGAAGCATTCTCAGAAGCTTCTTTGTGATATGTGCATTCAAGTCACAGAGTTGAATATTCCCTTTCACAGAGTAGGTTTGAAACACTCTTTTTGTAGTATCTGGAAGTGGACATTTAGAGCGCCTTGACGCCTACGGGTGAAAAGGGAAATATCTTCTCATAAAAAGTAGACAGAAAGCAATCTCAGAATCTTCTTTGGGATATATGCACGCAGCTAACAGAGTTGAACCTTTCTATTGACAGAGCAGTTTTGAAACAGTCTTTCTGTGGAATCTGCAAGTGGACATTTGGATAGCTTGGAGGATTTCGTTGGAAACGGGATTACGTATAAAAAGTAGACAGCAGCATCCTCAGAAACTTCTTTGTGATGTGTGCATTCAAGTCACAGAGTTGAACATTCCCCTTCGTACAGCAGTTTTGAAACACTCTTTGTGTATTATCTGGGAGTGAACATTAGGACAGCTTTCAGGTCTATGGTGAGAAAGGAAATATCTTCAAATAAAAACAAGACAGAAGCATTCTCATAAACTTGTTTCTGATGTGTGAACTCAGCTAACAGAGGTGGATCTTTCTTTTGATAGAGCAGTTCTGAAAAACACTTTTTGTTGAATCTGCAAGTGGATATTTGCATAGATTTGAAGATTTCGTTGGAAACGGGAATATCTTCATATCAAATCTAGACAGAAGCATTCTCAGAAACGTCTTTGCGATGTTTGCATTCAACTCATAGAGTTGAACATTCCGTTTCAGAGAGCAGCTTTGAGGCACTCTTTTTGTAGTATGCGCAAGTGGATATTTGGAGCGCTCTGAGGCCTACGGTGAAAAAGCAAATATCTTCCCATAACCACTAGACAGAAACATTCTCAGAAACTCCTTTATGACGTATGCACTCACCTAACAGAAAAGAACCTTCCTTTTGACAGAGCAGTTTTGATACACTCTTTTTGTAGAATCTGCAAGTGGATATTTGGATAGATGTGAAGATTTCGTTGGAAACGGGAATATCTTCCTATAAAATCTAGACAGAAGCATTCTCAGAAACTGCTCTGTGATGTCTGCATTCAAGTCACGGAGTTGAACATTGCCTTTCCTAGAGCAGGTTTGAAACGCTCTTTTTGTAGTATATGGAAGTGGACGTTTCGGACGGTTGGAGGCCCATGGTGATAAAGGGAATATCTTCCCCTACAAGCTAGAAAGAAGCATTGTGTGAAACTTGTTTCTGATGTTTGTACTCAACTAACAGAGTTGAACCTTTCTTTTTACAGAGCAGTTTTGAAACACTCTTTTTGTAGAATCTGCGAGGGGATATTTGGATACATTTCAGGATTTCGTTGGAAACGGGAATATCTTCATATAAAATCTCGACAGAAGCATTCTCAGAAACTTCTTTGTGATATGTGCATTCAAGTCACAGAGTTGAATATTCCCTTTCACAGAGTAGGTTTGAAACACTCTCTTTGTAGTATCTGGAAGTGGACATTTGGAGCGCCTTGACGCCTACGGTGAAAAGGGAAGTATCTTCCCATAATAACTAGACAGAAGCAATCTCAGAATCTTCTTTGGGATATATGCACGCAGCTAACAGAGTTGAACCTTTCTGTTGACAGAGCAGATTTGAAACAGTCTTTCTGTGGAATCTGCAAGTGGATATTTGGATAGATTGGAGGATTTCGTTGGAAACGGGATTACGTATAAAAAGTAGACAGCAGCATCCTCAGTAAACTTCTTTGTGATGTGTGCATTCAAGTCACAGAGTTGAACATTCCCTTTCGTACAGCAGTTTTGAAACACTCTTTCTGTAGTATCTGGAAGTGAACATTAGGACAGCTTTCAGCTCTATGGTGAGAAAGGAAATATCTTCAAATATAAACTAGACAGAAGCATTCTCATAAACTTGCTTGTGATGTGTGAACTCAGCTAACAGAGGTGAATCTTTCTTTTGATAGAGCAGTTCTGAAAAACACTTTTTGTTGAATCTGCAAGTGGACATTTGGATAGATTTGAAGATTTCGTTGGAAACGGGAATATCTTCATATCAAATGCTAGACAGAAGCATTCTCAGAAACGTCTTTGTGATGTTTGCATTCATCTCATAGAGTTGAACATTCCCTTTCAGAGAGCAGCTTTGAAGCACTCTTTTTGTAGTATGTGCAAGGGGATATTTGGAGCGCTCTGAGGCCTAAGGTGAAAAAGCAAATATCTTCCCATAACCACTAGACAGAAACATTCTCAGAAACTCCTTTATGACGTATGCACTCACCTAACAGAGAAGAACCTTCCTTTTGACAGAGCAGTTTTGATACACTCCTTTTGTAGAATCTGCAAGTGGATATTTGGATAGCTGCGAAGATTTCCTTGGAAACGGGAATATCTTCCTATAAAATCTAGACAGAAGCATTCTCAGAAACTGCTCTGTGATGTCTGCATTCAAGTCACAGAGTTGAACATTGCCTTTCATAGAGCAGGTTTGAAACGCTCTTTTTGTAGTATATGGAAGTGGAATTATCGGACGGTTTGAGGCCCATGGTGATAAAGGGAATATCTTCCCCTACAAGCTAGAAAGAAGCATTCTGTGAAACTTGTTTGTGATGTGTGTACTCAACTAAGAGAGTTGAACCTTTCTTTTCACAGGGCAGTTTTGAAACACTCTTTTTGTAGAATCTGCGAGGGGATATTTGGATAGATTTCAGGATTTCGTTGGAAACGGGAATATCTTCATACAAAATCTCGACAGAAGCATTCTCAGAAACTTCCTTGTGATATGTGCATTCAAGTCACAGAGTTGAATATTCCTTTTCACAGAGTAGGTTTGAAACACTCTTTTTGTAGTATCTGGAAGTGGACATTTGGAGCGCCTTGACGCCTACGGTGAAAAGGGAAATATCTTCCCATAAAAACTAGACAGAAGCAATCTCAGAATCTTCGTTGGGATATATGCACGCAGCTAACAGAGTTGAACCTTTCTATTGACAGAGCAGTTTTGAAACAGTCTTTCTGTGGAATCTGCAAGTGGATATTTGGATAGCTTGGAGGATTTCTTTGGAAACGGGATTACGTATAAAAAGTAGACAGCCAGCATCCTCAGAAACTTCTTTGTGATGTGTGCATTCAAGTCACAGAGTTGAACATTCCCTTTCGTACAGCAGTTTTGAAACACTCTTTCTGTAGTATCTGGAAGTGAACATTAGGACAGCTTTCAGGTCTATGGTGAGAAAGGAAATATATTCAAATAAAAACTAGACAGAGAATTCTGATAAACTTGTTTGTGAAGTGTGAACTCAGCTAACACAGGTGGATCTTTCTTTTGATACAGCAGTTTTGAAAAACACTTTGTTGAATCTGCAAGTGGACATTTGCATAGATTTGAAGATTTCGTTGGAAACGGGTATATCTTCATAACAAATCTAGACAGAAGCATTCTCAGAAACGTCTTTGTGATGTTTGCATTCAACTCATAGAGTTGAACATTCCCTTTCAGAGAGCAGCTTTGAAACACTCTTTTTGTAGTATGTGCAAGTGGATATTTGGAGCGCTCTGAGGCCTACGGTGAAAAAGCAAATATCTTCCCATAACCACTAGACAGAAAACATTCTCAGAAACTTCTTTATGACGTATGTACTCAACTAGCAGAGAAGAACTTTCCTTTTGACAGAGCAGTTTTGATACACTCTTTTTGTAGAATCTGCAAGTGGATATTTGGATAGTTGTGAAGATTTCGTTGGAAACGGGAATATCTTCCTATAAAATCTAGACAGAAGCATTCTCAGAAACTGCTCTGTGATGTCTGCATTCAAGTCACAGAGTTGAACATTGCCTTTCATAGAACAGGTTTGAAACGCTCTTTTTGTAGTATATGGAAGTGGATGTTTCGGACGGTTGGAGGCCCATGGTGATAAAGGGAATATCTTCCCCTACAAGCTAGAAAGAAGCATTGTGTGGAACTTGTTTGTGATGTGTGTACTCAACTAACAGAGTTGAACCTTTCTTTTTACAGAGCAGTTTTGAAACTCTCTTTTTGTAGAATCTGCGAGGGGATATTTGGATAGATTTCAGGATTTCTTTGGAAACGGGAATATCTTCATATAAAATCTCGACAGAAGCATTCTCAGAAACTTCTTTGTGATATGTGCATTCAAGTTACAGAGTTGAATATTCCCTTTCACAGATTAGGTTTGAAACACTCTTTTTGTAGTATCTGGAAGTGGACATTTGGAGCGCCTTGACGCCTACGGTGAAAAGGGAAATATCTTCCCATAAAAACTAGACAGAAGCAATCTCAGAATCTTCTTTGGGATATATGTACGCAGCTAATAGAGTTGAACCTTTCTATTGACATAGCAGTTTTGAAACAGTCTTTCTGTGGAATCTGCAAGTGGATATTTGGATAGCTTGGAGGATTTCGTTGGAAACGGGATTACGTATAAAAAGTAGACAGCAGAATCCTCAGAAACTTCTTTGTGATGTGTGCATTCAAGTCACAGAGTTGAACATTCCCTTTCGTACAGCAGTTTTGAAACACTCTTTCTGTAGTATCTGGAAGTGAACACTAGGAGAGCTTTCAGGTCTATGGTGAGAAAGGAAATATCTTCAAATAAAAACTAGACAGAAGCCTTCTCATAAACTTGTTTGTGATGTCTGAACTCAGCTAACAGAGGTGGATCTTTCTTTTGATAGAGCAGTTCTGAAAAACACTTTTTGTTGAATCTGCAAGTGGACATTTGGATAGATTTGAAGATTTCGTTGGAAACGGGAATATCTTCATATCAAATCTAGACAGAAGCATTCTCAGAAACGTCTTTGTGATGTTTGCATTCAACTCATAGAGTTGAACATTCCGTTTCAGAGAGCAGATTTGAGGCACTCTTTTTGTAGTATGTGCAAGTGGATATTTGGAGCGCTCTGAGGCCTACGGGGAAAAAGCAAATATCTTCCCATAACCACTAGACAGAAACATTCTCAGAAACTCCTTTATGACGGTATGCACTCACCTAACAGAGAAGAACCTTCCTTTTGACAGAGCAGTTTTGATACACTCTTTTTGTAGAATCTGCAAGTGGATATTTGGATAGCTGTAAAGATTTCGTTGGAAACGGGAATATCTTCCTATAAAATCTAGACAGAAGGATTCTCAGAAACTGCTCTGTGATGTCTGCATTCAAGTCACAGAGTTGAACATTGCCTTTCATAGAGCAGGTTTCAAGCACTCTTTTTTTAGTATATGGAAGTGGACGTTTCGGACGGTTTGAGGCCCATGGTGATAAAGGAAATATCTTCCCCTACAAGCTAGAAAGAAGCATTCTGTGAAACTTGTTTGTGATGTGTGTACTCCACTAACAGAGTTGAACCTTTCTTTTTGCAGAGCAGTTTTGAAACACTCTTTTTGTAGAATCTGCGAGGGGATATTTGGATAGATTTCAGGATTTCGTTGGAAAGGGGAATATCTTCATATAAAATCTCGACAGAAGCATTCTCAGAAACTTCCTTGTGATATGTGCATTCAAGTCACAGAGTTGAATATTCCCTTTCACAGAGTAGGTTTGAAACACTCTTTTTGTAGTATCTGGAAGTGGACATTTGGAGCGCCTTGACGCCTACGGTGAAAAGGGTAATATCTTCCCATAAAAACTAGACAGAAGCAATCTCAGAATCTTCTTTGGGATATATGTACGCAGCTAACAGAGTTGAACCTTTCTATTGACAGACCCGTTTTGAAACAGTCTTTCTGTGGAATCTGCAAGTGGATATTTGGATAGCTTAGAGGATTTCTTTGGAAACGGGATTACGTATAAAAAGTAGACAGCAGCATCCTCAGAAACTTCTTTGTGACGTGTGCATTCAAGTCACAGAGTTGAACATTCCCTTTCGTACAGCAGTTTTGAAACACTCTTTCTGTAGTATCTGGAAGTGAACATTAGGACAGCTTTCAGGTCTATGGTGAGAAAGGAAATATCTTCAAATAAAAACTAGACAGAAGCATTCTCATAAACTTGTTTGTGATGTGTGAACTCAGCCAACAGAGGTGGATCTTTCTTTTGATAGAGCAGTTCTGAAAAACACTTTTTGTTGAATCTGCAAGTGGACATTTGGATAGATTTGAAGATTTCGTTGGTAACGGGAATATCTTCATATCAAATCCTAGACAGAAGCATTCGCAGAAACGTCTTTGTGATGTTTGCATTCAACTCATAGAGTTGAACATTCCGTTTCAGAGAGCAGCTTTGAGGCACTCTTTTTGTAGTATGTGCAAGTGGATATTTGGAGCGCTCTGAGGCCTACGGTGAAAAAGCAAATATCTTCCCATAACCACTAGACAGAAACATTCTCAGAAACTCCTTTATGACGTATGCACTCACCTAACAGAGAAAAACCTTCCTTTTGACAGAGCAGTTTTGATACACTCTTTTTGTAGAATCTGCAAGTGGATATTTGGATAGCTGGGAAGATTTCGTTGGAAACGGGAATATCTTCCTATAAAATCTAGACAGAAGCATTCTCAGAAACTGCTCTGTGATGTCTGCATTCAAGTCACAGAGTTGACGATTGCCTTTCATAGAGCAGGTTTAAAACGCTCTTTTTGTAGTATATGGAAGTGGACGTTTCGGACGGTTTGAGGCCCATGGTGATAAAGGAAATATCTTCCCCTACAAGCTAGAAAGAAGCATTCTGTGAAACTTGTTTGTGATGTGTGTACTCAACTAACAGAGTTGAACCTTTCTTTTTACAGAGCAGTTTTGAAACACTCTTTTTGTAGAATCTGCGATGGGATATTTGGATACATTTCAGCATTTCGTTGGAAACAGGAATATCTTCATATAAAATCTCGACAGAAGCATTTTCAGAAACTTCTTTGTGATATGTGCATTCAAGTCACAGAGTTGAATATTCCCTTTCACAGAGTAGGTTTGAAACACTCTTTTTGTAGTATCTGGAAGTGGACATTTGGAGCGCCTTGACACCTACGGTGAAAAGGGAAATATCTTCCCATAAAAACTAGACAGAAGCAATCTCAGAATCTTCTTTGGGATATATGCACGCAGCTAACAGAGTTGAACGTTTCTATTGACAGAGCAGTTTTGAAAGAGTCTTTCTGTGGAATCTGCAAGTGGATATTTGGATAGCTTGGAGGATTTCGTTGGAAACGGGATTACGTATAATAAGTAGACAGCAGCATCCTCAGAAACTTCCTTGTGATGTCTGCATTCAAGTCACAGAGTTGAACATTCCCTTTCGTACAGCAGTTTTGAAACACTCTTTCTGTAGTATCTGGAAGTGAACATTAGGACAGCTTTCAGGTCTATGGTGAGAAAGGAAATATCTTCAAATAAAAACTAGACAGAAGCATTCTCATAAACTTGTTTTGATGTGTGAACTCAACTAACAGAGGTGCTTCTTTCTTTTTATACAGCACTTTTGAAAAACACTTTTTGTTGAATCTGCAAGTGGACATTTGGATAGATTTGAAGATTTCTTTGGAAACGGGAATATCTTCATATCAAATCTAGACAGAAGCATTCTCAGAAACGTCTTTGTGATGTTTGCATTCAACTCATAGAGTTGAACATTCCGTTTCAGAGAGCAGCTTTGAAGCACTCTTTTTGTAGTATGTGCAACTGGATATTTGGAGAGCTCTGACGCCTACGGTGAAAAAGCAAATATCTTCCCATAACCACTAGACAGAAACATTCTCAGAAACTCCTTTATGACGTATGCACTCAACTAATAGAGAAGAACCTTCCTTTTGACAGAGTAGTTTTGATACACTCTTTTTGTAGAATCTGCAAGTGGATATTTGGACAGCTGTGAAGATTTCGTTGGAAACGGGAATATCTTCCTATAAAATCTAGACAGAAGCATTCTCAGAAACTGCTCTGTGATGTCTGCATTCAAGTCACGGAGTTGAACATTGCCTTTCATAGAGCAGGTTTGAAACGCTCTTTTTGTAGTATATGGAAGTGGACGTTTCGGACGGTTTGAGGCCCATGGTGATAAAGGGAATATCTTTCCCTACAAGCTAGAAAGAAGCATTCTGTGAAACTTGTTTGTGATGTGTGTACTCAACTAACAGAGTTGAACCTTTCTTTTTACAGAGCAGTTTTGAAACACTGTTTTTGTAGAATCTGCGAGGGGATATTTGGATAGATTTCAGGATTTCGTTGGAAAGGGGAATATCTTCATATAAAATCTCGACAGAAGCATTCTCAGAATCTTCTTTGTGATATCTGCATTCAAGTCACAGAGTTGAATATTCCCTTCCACAGAGTAGGTTTGAAACACTCTTTTTGTAGTATCTGGAAGTGGACATTTGGAGCGCCTTGACGCCTACGGTGAAAAGGGAAATATCTTCCCATAAAAACTAGACAGAAGCAATCTCAGAATCTTCTTTGGGATATATGCACGTAGCTAGCAGAGTTGAACCTTTCTATTGACAGAGCAGTTTTGAAACAGTCTTTCTGTGGAATCTGCAAGTGGATATTTGGATAGCTTGGAGGATTTCGTTGGAAACGTGATTACGTATAAAAAGTAGACAGCAGCATCCTCAGGAACTTCTTTGTGATGTGTGCATTCAAGTCACAGAGTTGAACATTCCCTTTCGTACAGCAGTTTTGAAACACTCTTTCTGTAGTATCTGGAAGTGAACATTAGGACAGCTTTCAGGTCTATGGTGAGAAAGGAAATATCTTCAAATAAAAACTAGACAGAAGCATTCTCATAAACTTGTTTGTGATGTGTGAACTCAGCTAACACACGTGGATCTTTCTTTTGATAGAGCAGTTCTGAAAATCACTTTTGTTGAATCTGCAAGTGGACATTTGGATAGATTTGAAGATTTCGTTGGAAACGGGAATATCTTCATATCAAATCTAGACAGAAGCATTCTCAGAAACGTCTTTGTGATGTTTGCATTCAACCCATAGAGTTGAACATTCCGTTTCAGAGAGCAGCTTTGAAGCACTCTTTTTGTAGTGTGTGCAAGGGGATATTTTGAGCGCTCTGAGGCCTAAGGTGAAAAAGCAAATATCTTCCCATAACCACTAGACAGAAACATTCTCAGAAACTCCTTTATGACGTATGTACTCAACTAACAGAGAAGAACCTTCCTTTTGACAGAGCAGTTTTGATACACTCTTTTTGTATAATCTGCAAGTGGATATTTGGATAGCTGTGAAGATTTCGTTGGAAACGGGAATATCTTCCTATAAAATCTAGACAGAAGCATTCTCAGAAACTGCTCTGTGATGTCTGTATTCAAGTCACAGAGTTGAACATTGCCTTTCATAGAGCAGGTTTGAAACGCTCTTTTTGTAGTATATGGAAGTGGATGTTTCGGACGGTTGGAGGCCCATGCTGATAAAGGGAATATCTTCCCCTACAAGCTAGAAAGAAACATTCTGTGAAACTTGTTTGTGATGTGTGTACTCAGCTAACAGAGTTGAACCTTTCTTTTTACAGAGCAGTTTTGAAACACTCTTTTTGTAGAATCTGCGAGGGGATATTTGGATAGATTTCAGGATTTCGTTGGAAAAGGGAATATCTTCATATAAAATCTCGACAGAAGACCGAAGCATTCTCAGAAACTTCATTGTGATATCTGCATTGAAGTCACAGACTTGAATACTCCCTTTCACAGAGTAGGTTTGAAACACTCTTTTTGTAGTATCTGGAATTGGACATTTGGATCGCTTTGACGCCTATTGTGAAAAAGGAAATATCTTCCCCTAAAAACTAGACAGAAGCAACCTCAGAATGTTCTTTGGGATGTATGCACGCAGCTAACAGAGTTGAACCTTTGTATTGACAGAGCGGTTTTGAAACACTCTTTTTGTGGAATCTGCAAGTGGATATTTGGATAGCTTGGAGGATTTCGTTGGAAACGGGATTACGTATAAAAAGTAGACAGCAGCATCCTCAGAAACTTCTTTGTGATGTGTGCATTCAAGTCACATAGTTGAACATTCCCTTTCGTACAGCAGTTTTGAAACACTCTTTCTGTAGTATCTGGAAGTGAACATTAGGACAGCTTTCAGCTCTATGGTGAGAAAGGAAATATCTTCAAATAAAAACTAGACAGATAAGCATTCTCATAAACTTGTTTGTGATGTGTGAACTCAGCTAACAGAGGTGGATCTTTCTTTTGATAGAGCAGTTCTGAAAAACACTTTTTGTTGAATCTGCAAGTGGAGATTTGGATAGATTTGAAGATTTCGTTGGAAACGGGAATATCTTCATATCAAATCTAGACAGAAGCATTCTCGGAAACGTCTTTGTCATGTTTGCATTCAACTCATAGAGTTGAACATTCCGTTTCAGAGAGCAGCTTTGAAGCACTCTTTTTGTAGTATGTTCAAGGGGATATTTGGAGCGCTCTGAGGCCTAAGGTGAAAAAGCAAATATCTTCCCATAACCACTAAACAGAAACATTCTCAGAAACTCCTTTATGACGTATGCACTCACCTAACAGAGAAGAACCTTCCTTTTGACAGAGCAGTTTTGATACACTCTTTTTGTAGAATATGCAAGTGGATATTTGGATAGCTGTGAAGATTTCGTTGGAAACGGGAATATCTTCCTATAAAATCTACACAGAAGCATTCTCAGAAACTGCTCTGTGATGTCTGCATTCAAGTCACAGAGTTGAACATTGCCTTTCATAGAGCAGGTTTGAAACGCTCTTTTTGTAGTATATGGAAGTGGATGTTTCAGACGGTTGGAGGCCCATGGTGATAAAGGGAATATCTTCCCCTACAAGCTAGAAAGAAGCATTCTGTGAAACTTGTTTGTGATGTGTGTACTCAACTAACAGAGTTGAACCTTTCTTTTACAGAGCAGTTTTGAAACACTCTTTTTGTAGAATCTGCGAGGGGTATTTGGATAGATTTCAAGATTTCGTTGGGAACGGGAATATCTTCATATAAAATCTCGACAGAAGCATTCTCAGAAACTTCTTTGTGATATCGGCATTCAAGTCACAGAGTTGAATATTCCCTTTCACAGAGTAAGTTTGAAACAATCTTTTTGTAGTATCTGGAAGTGGACATTTGGATCGCCTTGACGCCTACGGTGAAAAGGGAAATATCTTCCCATAAAAACTAGACAGAAGCAATCTCAGAATCTTCTTTGGGATATATGCACGCACCTAACAGAGTTGAACCTTTCTATTGACAGAGCAGTTTTGAAACAGTCTTTCTGTGGAATCTGCAGGTGGATATTTGGATAGCTTGGAGGATTTCGTTGGAAACGGGATTACGTATAAAAAGTAGACAGCAGCATCCTCAGAAACTTCTTTGTGATGTGTGCATTCAAGTCACAGAGTTGAACATTCCCTTTCGTACAGCAGTTTTGAAACACTCTTTCTGTAGCATCTGGAAGTGAACATTAGTTCAGCTTTCAGGTCTATGGTGAGAAAGGAAATATCTTCAAATAAAAACTAGACAGAAGCATTCTCATAAACTTGTTTGTGATGTCTGAACTCAGCTAACAGAGGTGGACCTTTCTTTTGATAGAGCAGTTCTGAAAAACACTTTTTGTTGAATCTGCAAGTGGACATTTGGATAGATTTGAAGATTTCGTTGGAAACGGGAATATCTTCATATCAAATCTAGACAGAAGAATTCTCGGAAACGTCTTTGTGATGTTTGCATTCAACTCATAGAGTTGAACATTCCCTTTCAGAGAACAGCTTTGAAGCACTCTTTTTGTAGTATGTGCAAGGGGATATTTGGAGCGCTCTGAGGCCTAAGGTGAAAAAGCAAATATCTTCCCATAACCACTAGACAGAAAACATTCTCAGAAACTTCTTTATGACGTATGTACTCAATTAGCAGAGAAGAACTTTCCTTTTGACAGAGCATTTTTGATACACTCTTTTTGTAGTATCTGCAAGTGGATATTTGGATAGCTGTGAAGATTTCGTTGGAATCGGGAATATCTTCCTATAAAGTCCGGACAGAAGCATTCTCAGAAACTGATCTGTGATGTCTGCATTCAAGTCACAGAGTTGAACATTGCCTTTCATAGAGCAGGTTTGAAACGCTCTTTTTGTAGTATATGGAAGTAGACGTTTCGGACGGTTTGAGGCCCATGGTGATAAAGGGAATATCTTCCCCTACAAGCTAGAAAGAAGCATTCTGTGAAACTTTTTTGTGATGTGTGTACTCAACTAACAGAGTTGAACCTTTCTTTTTACAGAGCAGTTTTGAAACACTCTTTTTGTAGAATCTGCGAGGGGATATTTGGATAGTTTTCAGGATTTCGTTGGAAACGGGAATATCTTCATATAAAATCTCGACAGAAGCATTCTCAGAAACTTCATTGTGATATCTGCATTCAAGTCACAGAGTTGAATATTCCCTTTCACAGAGTAGGTTTGAAACACTCTTTTTGTAGTATCTGGAAGTGGACATTTGGAGCGCCTTGACACCTACGGTGAAAAGGGAAATATCTTCACATAAAAACTAGACAGAATCAATCTCAGAATCTTCTTTGGGATATATGCAGGCAGCTAACAGAGTTGAACCTTTCTATTGACAGAGCAGTTTTGAAACAGTCTTTCTGTGGAATCTGCAAGTGGATATTTGGATAGATTGGAGGATTTCGCTGGAAACGGGATTACGTATAAAAAGTAGACAGCAGCATCCTCAGAAACTTCTTTGTGATGTGTGCATTCAAGTCACAGAGTTGAACATTCCCTTTCGTACAGCAGTTTTGAAACACTCTTTCTGTAGTATCTGGAAGTGAACATTAGGACAGCTTTCAGGTCTATGGTGAGAAAGGGAATATCTTCAAATAAAAACTAGACAGAAGCATTCTCATAAACTTGTTTGTGATGTGTGAACTCAGCTAACAGAGGTGGATCTTTCTTTTCATAGAGCAGTTCTGAAAAACACTTTTTGTTGAATCTGCAACTGGACATTTGGATAGATTTGAAGATTTCGTTGGAAACGGGAATATCTTCATATCAAATCTAGACAGAAGCATTCTCAGAAACGTCTTTGTGATGTTTGCATTCAACTCATAGAGTTGAACATTCCGTTTCAGAGAGCAGGTTTGAAGCACTCTTTTTGTAGTATGTGCAAGTGGATATTTGGAGCGCTCTGAGGCCTACGGTGAAAAACAAATATCTTCCCATAACCACTAGACAGAAACATTCTCAGAAACTCCTTTATGACGTATGTACTCAACTAACAGAGAAGAACCTTCCTTTTGAAAGAGCAGTTTTGATACACTCTTTTTGTAGAATCTGCAAGTGGATATTTGGATAGCTGTGAAGATTTCGATGGAAACGGGAATATCTTCCTATAAAATCTAGACAGAATAATTCTCAGAAAGTGCTCTGTGATGTCTGCATTCAAGTCACAGAGTTGAACATTGCCTTTCATAGAGCAGGTTTGAAACACTCTTTTTGTAGTATATGGAAGTGGACGTTTCGGACGGTTTGAGGCCCATGGTGATAAAGGGAATATCTTCCCCTACAAGCTAGAAAGAAGCATTCTGTGAAACTTGTTTGTGATGTGTGTACTCAACTAACACAGTTGAACCTTTCTTTTTACAGAGCAGTTTTGAAACACTCTTTTTGTAGAATCTGCGAGGGGATATTTGGATACATTTCAGGATTTCGTTGGAAACGGGAATATCTTCATATAAAATCTCGACAGAAGCATTCTCAGAAACTTCTTTGTGATATCTGCCTTTAAGTCACAGAGTTGAATATTCCCTTTCACAGAATAGGTTTGAAACACTCTTTTTGTAGTATCTGGAAGTGGACATTTGGAGCGCCTTGACACCTACGGTGAAAAGGGAAATATCTTCCCATAAAAACTAGACAGAAGCAATCTCAGAATCTTCTTTGGGATATATGCACGCAGCTAACAGAGTTGAACCTTTCTAGTGACAGAGCAGTTTTGAAACAGTCTTTCTGTGGTATCTGCAAGTGGATATTTGGATAGATTGGAGGATTTCGTTGGAAACGGGATTACGTATAAAAAGTAGACAGCAGCATCCTCAGAAACATCCTTGTGATGTGTGCATTCAAGTCACAGAGTTGAACATTCCCTTTCGTACAGCAGTTTTGAAACACTCTTTCTGTAGTATCTGGAAGCGAACTTTAGGACAGCTTTCAGGTCTATAGTGAGAAAGGATATATCTTCAAATAAAAACTAGACAGAAGCATTCTCATAAACTTGTTTGTGATGTGTGAACTCAGCTAACAGAGGTGGATCTTTCTTTTGATAGAGCAGTTCTGAAAAACACTTTTTGTTGAATCTGCAAGTGGACATTTAGGGATAGATTTGAAGATTTCGTTGGAAACGGGAATATCTTCATATCAAATCTAGACAGAAGCATTCTCAGAAACGTCTTTGTGATGTTTGCATTCAACTCATAGAGTTGAACATTCCGTTTCAGAGACCAGCTTTGAAGCACTCTTTTTGTAGTATGTGCAAGTGGATATTTGGAGCGCTCTGAGGCCTACGGTGAAAAAGCACATATCTTCCCATAACCACTAGACAGAAACATTCTCAGAAACTTCTTTATGACGTATGTACTCAACTAGCAGAGAAGAACTTTCCTTTTGACAGAGCATTTTTGATACACTCTTTTTGTAGTATCTGCAAGTGGATATTTGGATAGCTGTGAAGATTTCGTTGGAATCGGGAATATCTTCCTATAAAGTCCGGACAGAAGCATTCTCAGAAACTGCTCTTTGATGTTTGCATTCAAGTCACAGAGTTGAACATTGCCTTTCATAGAGCAGGTTTCAAGCACTCTTTTTTTAGTATATGGAAGTGGACGTTTCGGACGGTTTGAGGCCCATGGTGATAAAGGAAATATCTTCCCCTACAAGCTAGAAAGAAGCATTCTGCGAAACTTGTTTGTGATGTGTGTACTCAACTAACAGAGTTGAACCTTTCTTTTTACAGAGCAGTTTTGAAACACTCTTTTTGTAGAATCTGCGAGGGGATATTTGGATAGATTTCAGGATTTCGTTGGAAACGGGAATATCTTCATATAAAATCTCGACAGAAGCATTCTGAGAAACCTCTTTGTGATACCTGCATTCAAGTCACAGGGTTGAATATTCCCTTTCACAGAGTATTTTTGAAACACTCTTTTTGTAGTATTTGGAAGTGGACATTTGGAGCGCCTTGACACCTACGGTGAAAAAGGAAATATGAAATATCTTCCCATAAAAACTAGACAGAAGCAATCTCAGAATCTTCTTTGGGATATATGTACGCAGCTAATAGAGTTGAACCTTTCTATTGACAGAGCAGTTTTGAAACAGTCTTTCTGTGGAATCTGCAAGTGGATATTTGGATAGCTTGGAGGAT
This sequence comes from Homo sapiens, assembly GCF_000001405.40. Lineage (NCBI taxonomy): Eukaryota > Metazoa > Chordata > Mammalia > Primates > Hominidae > Homo > Homo sapiens. The sequence continues at coordinate 16,298,863 of NC_000013.11, forward strand.
TTCATTGGAAACGGGATTACGTATAAAAAGTAGACAGCAGCATCCTCAGAAACTTCTTTGTGATGTGTGCATTCAAGTCACAGAGTTGAACATTCCCTTTCGTACAGCAGTTTTGAAACACTCTTTCTGTAGTATCTGGAAGTGAACATTAGGACAGCTTTCAGCTCTATGATGAGAAAGGAAATATCTTCAAATAAAAACTAGACAGAAGCATTCTCATAAACTTGTTTGTGATGTGTGAACTCAGCTAACACACGTGGATCTTTCTTTTGATAGAGCAGTTCTGAAAAACACTTTTTGTTGAATCTGCAAGTGGACATTTGGATAGATTTGAAGATTTCGTTGGAAACGGGAATATCTTCATATCAAATCTAGAGAGAAGCATTCTCAGAAACGTCTTTGTGATGTTTGCATTCAACTCATAGAATTGAACATTGCGGTTCAGAGAGCAGCTTTGAAGCACTCTTTTTGTAGTATGTGCAAGTGGATATTTGGAGCGCTCTGAGGCCTACGGTGAAAAAGCAAATATCTTCCCATAACCACTAGACAGAAACACTCTCAGAAACTCCTTTATGACGTATGTACTCAACTAACAGAGAAGAACTTTCCTTTTGACAGAGCATTTTTGATACACTCTTTTTGTACTATCTGCAAGTGGATATTTGGATAGCTGTGAAGATTTCGTTGGAAACGGGAATATCTTCCTATAAAACCTAGACAGAAGCATTCTCAGAAACTGCTCTGTGATGTCTGCATTCAAGTCACAGAGTTGAACATTGCCTTTCATAGAGCAGGTTTCAAACACTCTTTTTTTAGTATATGGAAGTGGACGTTTCGGACGGTTTGAGGCCCATGGTGATAAAGGAAATATCTTCTCCTACAAGCTAGAAAGAAGCATTCTGTGAAACTTGTTTGTGATGTGTGTACTCAACTAACAGAGTTGAACCTTTCTTTTTACAGAGCAGTTTTGAAACACTCTTTTTGTAGAATCTGTGAGGGGATATTTGGATACATTTCAGCATTTCGTTGGAAACGGGAATATCTTCATATATAATCTCGACAGAAGCATTCTCAGAAACTTCATTGTGATATCTGCATTCAAGTCACAGAGTTGAATATTCGCTTTCACAGAGTAGGTTTGAAACACTCTTTTTGTAGTATCTGGAAGTGGACATTTGGAGCGCCTTGACACCTACGGTGAAAAGGGAAATATCTTCCCATAAAAACTAGACAGAAGCAATCTCAGAATCTTCTTTGGGATATATGCACGCAGCTAACAGAGTTGAACCTTTCTATTGACAGAGCAGTCTTGAAACAGTCTTTCTGTGGAATCTGCAAGTGGATATTTGGATAGCTTGGAGGATTTCGTTGGAAACGGGATTAAGTATAAAAAGTAGACAGCAGCATCCTCAGAAACTTCTTTGTGATGTGTGCATTCAAGTCACAGTGTTGAACATTCCCTTTCGTACAGCAGTTTTGAAACACTCTTTCTGTAGTATCTGGAAGTGAACATTAGGACAGCTTTCAGGTCTATGGTGAGAAAGGAAATATCTTCAAGTAAAAACTAGACAGAAGCATTCTCATAAACTTGTTTGTGATGTGTGAACTCAGCTAACAGAGGTGGAACTTTCTTTTGATAGAGCAGTTCTGAAAAACACTTTTTGTTGAATCTGCAAGTGGACATTTGGATAGATTTGAAGATTTCGTTGGAAACGGGAATATCTTCATATCAAATCTAGACAAAAGCATTCTCAGAAACGTCTTTGTGATGTTTGCATTCAACTCATAGAGTTGAACATTCCGTTTCAGAGAGCAGCTTTGAAGCACTCTTTTTGTAATATCTGCAAGTGGATATTTGGAGCGCTCTGAGGCCTACGGTGAAAAAGCAAATATCTTCCCATAACCGCTAGACAGAAACATTCTCAGAAACTGCTTTATGACGTATGCACTCAACTAACAGAGAAGAACCTTCCTTTTGACAGAGCAGTTTTGATACACTCTTTTTGTAGAATCTGCAAGTGGATATTTGGATAGCTGTGAAGATTTCTTTGGAAACGGGAATATCTTCCTATAAAATCTAGACAGAAGCATTCTCAGAAACTGCTCTGTGATGTCTGCATTCAAGTCACAGAGTTGAACATTGCCTTTCCTAGAGCAGCTTTGAAAAGCTCTTTTTGTAGTATATGGAAGTGGACGTTTCGGATGGTTTGAGGCCCATGGTGATAAAGGGAATATCTTCCCCTACAAGCTAGAAAGAAGCATTCTGTGAAACTTGTTTGTGATGTGTGTACTCAACTAACAGAGTTGAACCTTTCTTTTTACAGAGCAGTTTTGAAACACTCTTTTTGTAGAATCTGCGAGGGGATATTTGATAGATTTCAGGATTTCGTTGGAAACGGGAATATCTTCATATAAAATCTCGACAGAAGCATTTTCAGAAACTTCTTCGTGATATCTGCATTCAAGTCACAGAGTTCAATATTCCCTTCCATAGAGAAGGTTTGAAACACTCTTTTTGTAGTATCTGGAAGTGGACATTTGGAGCGCCTTGACACCTACGGTGAAAAGGGAAATATCTTCCCATAAAAACTAGACAGAGGCAATCTCAGAATCTTCTTTGGGATATATGCACGCAGCTAACAGAGTTGAACCTTTCTATTGACAGAGCAGTTTTGAAACAGTCTTTCTGTGGAATCTGCAAGTGGATATTTGGATAGCTTGGAGGATTTCGTTGGAAATGGGATTACGTATAAAAAGTAGACAGCAGCATCCTCAGAAACTTCTTTGTGATGTGTGCATTCAAGTCACAGAGTTGAACATTCCCTTTCGTACAGCAGTTTTGAAACACTCTTTCTGTAGTATCTGGAAGTGAACATTAGGACAGCTTTCAGGTCTATGGTGAGAAAGGAAATATCTTCAAATAAACACTAGACAGAAGCATTCTCATAAACTTGTTTGTGATGTGTGAACTCAGCTAACACACGTGGATCTTTCTTTTGATAGAGCAGTTCTGAAAAACACTTTTTGTTGAATCTGCAAGTGGACATTTGGATAGATTTGAAGATGTCGTTGGAAACGGGAATATCTTCATATCAAATCTAGACAGAAGCATTCTCAGAAACGTCTTTGTGATGTTTGCATTCAACTCATAGAGTTGAACATTCCGTTTCAGAGACCAGCTTTGAAGCACTCTTTTTGTAGTATGTGCAAGTGGATATTTGGAGCGCTCTGAGGCCTACGGTGAAAAAGCAAATATCTTCCCATAACCACTAGACAGAAACATTCTCAGAAACTCCTTTATGACGTATGCACTCACCTAACAGAGAAGAACCTTCCTTTTGACAGAGCAGTTTTGAAACACTCTTTTTGTAGAATCTGCAAGTGGATATTTGGATAGCTGTGAAGATTTCGTTGGAAACGGGAATATCTTCCTATAAAATCTATACAGAAGCATTCTCAGAAACAGCTCTGTGATGTCTGCATTCAAGTCACAGTGTTGAACATTGCCTTTCATAGAGCAGGTTTGAAACGCTCTTTTTGAAGTATATGGAAGTGGACGTTTCGGACGGTTTGAGGCCCATGGTGATAAAGGGAATATCTTCCCCTACAAGCTAGAAAGAAGCATTCTGTGAAACTTGTTTGTGATGTGTGTACTCAACTAACAGAGTTGAACCTTTCTTTTTACAGAGCAGTTTTGAAACACTCTTTTTGTAGAATCTGCGAGGGGATATTTGGATACATTTCAGGATTTCGTTGGAAACGGGAATATCTTCATATAAAATCTCGACCGAAGCATTCTCAGAAACTTCTTTGTGATATCTGCATTCAAGTCACAGGGTTGAATATTCCCTTTCACAGAGTAGGTTTGAAACACTCTTTTTGTAGTATCTGGAAGTGGACATTTGGAGCGCCTTGACACCTACGGTGAAAAGGGAAATATCTTCCCATAAAAACTAGACAGAAGCAATCTCAGAATCTACTTTGGGATATATGCACGCAGCTAACAGAGTTGAACCTTTGTATTGACAGAGCAGTTTTGAAACAGTCTTTCTGTGGAATCTGCAAGTGGATATTTGGATAGCTTGGAGGATTTCGTTGGAAACGGGATTACGTATAAAAAGTAGACAGCAGCATCCTCAGAAACTTCTTTGTGTTGTGTGCATTCAAGTCACAGAGTTGAACATTCCCTTTCGTACAGCAGTTTTGAAAAACTCTTTCTGTAGTATCTGGAAGTGAACATTAGGACAGCTTTCACGTCTATGGTGAGAAAGGAAATATCTTCAAATAAAAACTAGACAGATAGCATTCTCATAAACTTGTTTGTGATGTGTGAACTCAGCTAACACAGGTGGATCTTTCTTTTGATTGAGCAGTTCTGAAAAACACTTTTTGTTGAATCTGCAAGTGGACATTTGGATAGATTTGAAGATTTCGTTGGAAACGGGAATATCTTCATATCAAATCTAGACAGAAGCATTCTCAGAAACGTCTTTGTGATGTTTGCATTCAACTCATAGAGTTGAACATTCCGTTTCAGAGACCAGCTTTGAAGCACTCTTTTTGTAGTATGTGCAAGTGGATATTTGGAGCGCTCTGAGGCCTACGGTAAAAAGCAAATATCTTCCCATAACCACTAGACAGAAACATTCTCAGAAACTCCTTTACGACGTATGCACTCACCTAAGAGAGAAGAACCTTCCTTTTGACAGAGCAGTTTTGATACACTCTTTTTGTAGAATCTGCAAGTGGATATTTGGATAGCTGTGAAGATTTCGTTGGAAACGGGAATAACTTCCTATAAAATCTAGACAGAAGCATTCTCAGAAACTGTTCTGTGATGTCTGCATTCAAGTCACAGAGTTGAACATTGCCTTTCATAGAGCAGGTTTGAAACGCTCTTTTTGTAGTATATGGAAGTGGACGTTTCGGACGGTTTGAGGCCCATGGTGATAAAGGGAATATCTTCCCCTACGAGCTAGAAAGAAGCATTCTGTGAAACTTGTTTGTGATGTGTGTACTCAACTAACAGAGTTGAACCTTTCTTTTTACAGAGCAGTTTTGAAACACTCTTTTTGTAGAATCTGCGTGGGGATATTTGGATACATTTCAGCATTTCGTTGGAAACGGGAATATCTTCATATAAAATCTCGACAGAAGCATTCTCAGAAACTTCTTTGTGATATGTGCATTCAAGTCACAGAGTTGAATATTCCCTTTCACCGAGTAGGTTTGAAAAACTCTTTTTGTAGTATCTGGAAGTGGACATTTGGAGCGCCTTGACGCCTACGGTAAAAAGGGAAATATCTTCCCATAAAAACTAGACAGAAGCAATCTCAGAATCTTCTTTGGGATATATGCACGCAGCTAACAGAGTTGAACCTTTCTATTGACATAGCAGTTTTGAAACAGTCTTTCTGTGGAATCTGCAAGTGGATATTTGGATAGCTTGGAGGATTTCCTTGGAAACGGGATTACGTATAAAAAGTAGACAGCAGCATCCTCAGCAAACTTCTTTGTGATGTGTGCATTCAAGTCACAGTAGTTGAACATTCCCTTTCGTACAGCAGTTTTGAAACACTCTTTCTGTAGTATCTGGAAGTGAACATTAGGACAGCTTTCAGGTCTATGGTGAGAAAGGTAATATCTTCAAATAAAAACTAGACAGAAAGCATTCTCATAAACTTGTTTGTGATGTGTGAACTCATCTAACAGAGGTGGATCTTTCTTTTGATAGAGCAGTTCTGAAAAACACTTTTTGTTGAATCTGCAAGTGGACATTTGGATAGATTTGAAGATTTCGTTGGAAACGGGAATATCTTCATATCAAATCTAGACAGAAGCATTCCCAGAAACGTCTTTGTGATGTTTGCATTCAACTCATAGAGTTGAACATTCCCTTTGAGAGAGCAGCTTTATAGCACTCTTTTTGTAGTATGTGCAAGGGGATATTTAGAGCGCTCTGAGGCCTAAGGTGAAAAAGCAAATATCTTCCCATAACCACTAGACAGAAACATTCTCAGAAACTCCTTTATGACGTGTGCACTCACCTAACAGAGAAGAACCTTCCTTTTGAAAGAGCAGTTTTGATCCACTCTTTTTGTAGAATCTGCAAGTGGATATTTGGATAGCTGTGAAGATTTCGTTGGAAACGGGAATATCTTCCTATAAAATCTAGACAGAAGCATTCTCAGAAACTGCTCTGTGATGTCTGCATTCAAGTCACAGAGTTGAACATTGACTTTCATAGAGCAGGTTTGAAACGCTCTTTTTGTAGTATATGGAAGTGGATGTTTCGGACGGTTGGAGGCCCATGGTGATAAAGGGAATATCTTCCCCTACAAGCTAGAAAGATAAGCATTCTGTGAAACTTGTTTGTGATGTGTGTACTCAACTAACAGAGTTGAACCTTTCTTTTTACAGAGCAGTTTTGAAACACTCTTTTTGTAGAATCTGCGAGGGGATATTTGGATAGATTTCAGGATTTCGTTGGAAACGGGAATATCTTCATATAAAATCTCGACAGAAGCATTCTCAGAAGCTTCTTTGTGATATGTGCATTCAAGTCACAGAGTTGAATATTCCCTTTCACAGAGTAAGTTTGAAACACTCTTTTTGTAGTATCTGGAAGTGGACATTTGGAGCACCTTGACGCCTACGGTGAAAAGGGAAATATCTTCTCATAAAAAGTAGACAGAAGCAATCTCAGAATCTTCTTTGGGATATATGCACGCAGCTAACAGAGTTGAACCTTTCTATTGACAGAGCAGTTTTGAAACAGTCTTTCTGTGGAATCTGCAAGTGGATATTTGGATAGCTTGGGGGATTTCGTTGGAAACGGGATTACGTATAAAAAGTAGACAGCAGCATCCTCAGAAACATCCTTGTGATGTGTGCATTCAAGTCACAGAGTTGAACATTCCCTTTCGTACAGCAGTTTTGAAACACTCTTTCTGTAGTATCTGGAAGTGAATTTTAGGAGAGCTTTCAGGTCTATAGTGAGAAAGGATATATCTTCAAATAAAAACTAGACAGAATCATTCTCATAAACTTGTTTGTGATGTGTGAACTCAGCTAACAGACGTGGATCTTTCTTTTGATACAGCAGTTTTGAAAAACACTTTTTGTTGAATCTGCAAGTGGACATTTGGATAGATATGAAGATTTCGTTGGAAACGGGAATATCTTCATATCAAATCTAGACAGAAGCATTCCCAGAAACGTCTTTGTGATGTTTGCATTCAACTCATAGAGTTGAACATTCTCTTTCAGAGAGCAGCTTTGAAGCACTCTTTTTGTAGTATTTGCAAGGGGATATTTGGAGCGCTCTGAGGCCTAAGGTGAAAAAGCAAATATCTTCCCATAACCACTAGACAGAAACATTCTCAGAAACTCCTTTATGACGTATGCACTCAGCTAACAGAAAAGAACCTTCCTTTTGACAGAGCAGTTTTGATACACTCTTTTTGTAGAATCTGCAAGTGGATATTTGGATAGCTGTGAAGATTTCGTTGGAAACGGGAATATCTTCCTATAAAATCTAGACAGAAGCATTCTCAGAAACTGCCCTGTGATGTCTGCATTCAAGTCACAGAGTAGAACATTGCCTTTCATAGAGGAGGTTTCAAACACTCTTTTTTTAGTATATGGAAGGGGACGATTCGGACAGTTTGAGGCCCATGGTGATATAGGAAATATCTTCCCCTACAAGCTAGAGAGAAGCATTCTGTGAAACTTGTTTGTGATGTGTGTACTCAACTAACAGAGTTGAACCTTTCTTTTTACAGAGGAGTTTTGAAACACTCTTTTTGTAGAATCTGCGAGGGGTTATTTGGATAGAATTCATGATTTCGTTGGAAAAGGGAATATCTTCCTATAAAATCTCGACAGAAGCATTCTCAGAAACTTCTTTGTGATATGTGCATTCAAGTCACAGAGTTGAATATTCCCTTTCACAGAGTAGGTTTGAAACACTCTTTTTGTAGTATCTGGAAGTGGACATTTGGAGCGCCTTGACACCTACGGTGAAAAGGGAAATATCTTCCCATAAAAATTCGACAGAAGCAATCTCAGAATCTTCTTTGGGATATATGCACGCAGCTAACAGAGTTGAACCTTTCTATTGACAGAGCAGTTTTGAAACAGCCTTTCTGTGGAATCTGCAAGTGGATATTTGGATAGCTTGGAGGACTTCGTTGGAAACGGGATTACGTATAAAAAGTAGACAGCAGCATCCTCAGAAACTTCTTTGTGATGTGTGTATTCAAGTCACAGAGTTGAACATTCCCTTTCGTACAGCAGTTTTGAAACACTCTTTCTGTAGTAACTGGAAGTGAACATTAGGACAGCTTTCAGGTCTATGGTGAGAAAGGAAATATCTTCAAATAAAAACTAGACAGAAGCATTCTCATAAACTTGTTTGTGATGTGTGAACTCAGCTAACAGACGTGGATCTTTCTTTTGATACAGCAGTTTTGAAAAACACTTTTTGATGAATCTGCAAGTGGACATTTGGATAGATTTGAAGATTTCGTTGGAAACGGGAATATCTTCATATCAAATACTAGACAGAAGCATTCTCAGAAACGTCTTTGCGATGTTTGCATTCAACTCATAGAGTTGAACATTCCGTTTCAGAGAGCAGCTTTGAGGCACTCTTTTTGTAGTATGTGCAAGTGGATATTTGGAGCGCTCTGAGGCCTACGGTGAAAAAGCAAATATCTTCCCAAAACCACTAGACAGAAACATTCTCAGAAACTCCTTTATGACGTATGCACTCACCTAACAGAAAAGAACCTTCCTTTTGACAGAGCAGTTTTGATACACTCTTTTTGTAGAATCTGCAAGTGGATATTTGGATAGCTGTGAAGATTTCGTTGGAAACGGGAATATCTTCCTATAAAACCTAGACAGAAGCATTCTCAGAAACTGCTCTGTGATGTCTGCATTCAAGTCACAGAGTTGAACATTGCTTTTCATAGAGCAGGTTTGAAACGCTCTTTTTGTAGTATATGGAAGTAGACTTTTCGGACGGTTTGAGGCCCATGGTGATAAAGGGAATATCTTCCCCTACAAGCTAGAAAGAAGCAATCTGTGAAACCTGTTTGTGATGTGTGTACTCAACTAACAGAGTTGAACCTTTCTTTTTACAGAGCAGTTTTGAAACACTCTTTTTGTAGAATCTGCGAGGGGATATTTGGATAGATTTCAGGATTTCGTTGGAAACGGGAATATCTTCATATAAAATCTCGACAGAAGCATTCTCAGAAACTTCCTTGTGATATGTGCATTCACGTCACAGAGTTGAATATTCCCTTTCACAGAGTAGGTTTGAAACACTCTTTTTGTAGTATCTGGAAGTGGACATTTGGAGCGCCTTGACACCTACGGTGAAAAGGGAAATATCTTCCCATAAAAACTAGACAGAAGCAATCTCAGAATCTTCTTTGGGATATATGCACGCAGCTAACAGCAGTTGAACCTTTCTATTGACAGAGCAGTTTTGAAACAGTCTTTCTGTGGAATCTGCAAGTGGATATTTGGATAGCTTGGAGGATTTCGTTGGAAACGGGATTAAGTATAAAAAGTAGACAGCAGCATCCTCAGAAACTTCATTGTGATGTGTGCATTCAAGTCACAGAGTTGAACATTCCCTTTCGTACAGCAGTTTTGAAACACTCTTTCTGTAGTAACTGGAAGTGAACATTAGGACAGCTTTCAGGTCTATGGTGAGAAAGGAAATATCTTCAAATAAAAACTAGACAGAAGCATTCTCATAAACTTGTTTGTGATGTGTCAACTCAGCTAACAGAGGTGGATCTTTCTTTTGATAGAGCAGTTCGGAAAAACACTTTTTGTTGAATCTCCAAGTGGACATTTGGATAGATTTGAAGATTTCGTTGGAAACGGGAATATCTTTATATCAAATCTAGACAGAAGCATTCTCAGAAACGTCTTTGTGATGTTTGCATTCAACTCATAGAGTTGAACATTCCGTTTCAGAGAGCAGGTTTGAAGCACTCTTCTTGTAGTATGTGCAAGTGGATATTTGGAGCGCTCTGAGGCCTACGGTGAAAAAGCAAATATCTTCCCATAACCACTAGACAGAAACATTCTCAGAAACTCCTTTATGACGTATGCACTCACCTAACAGAAAAGAACCTTCCTTTTGACAGAGCAGTTTTGATACACTCTTTTTGTAGAATCTGCAAGTGGATATTTGGATAGTTGTGAAGGTTTCGTTGGAAACGGGAATATCTTCCTATAAAATCTAGACAGAAGCATTCTCAGAAACTGCTCTGTGATGTCTGCATTCAAGTAACAGAGTTGAACATTGCCTTTCCTAGAGCAGGTTTGAAACGCTCTTTTTGTAGTATATGGAAGTGGACGTTTCGGACGGTTTGAGGACCATGGTGATAAAGGGAATATCTTCCCCTACAAGCTAGAAAGAAGCATTGTGTGAAACTTGTTTGTGATGTGTGTACTCAACTAACAGAGTTGAACCTTTCTTTTTACAGAGCAGTTTTGAAACACTCTTTTTGTAGAATCTGCGAGGGGATATTTGGATACATTTCTGCATTTCGTTGGAAACGGGAATATCTTCATATAAAATCTCGACAGAAGCATTCTCAGAAACTTTCCTTGTGATATGTGCATTCAAGTCACAGAGTTGAATATTCCCTTTCACAGAGTAGGTTTGAAACACTCTTTTTGTAGTATCTGGAAGTGGACATTTGGAGCGCCTTGACACCTACGGTGAAAAGGCAAATATCTTCCCATAAAAACTAGACAGAAGCAATCTCAGAATCTTCTTTGGGATATATGCACACAGCTAACAGAGTTGAACCTTTCTATTGACAGAGCAGTTTTGAAACAGTCTTTCTGTGGAATCTGCAAGTGGATATTTGGATAGATTGGAGGATTTCATTGGAAACGGGATTACGTATAAAAAGTAGACAGCAGCATCCTCAGAAACTTCTTTGTGATGTGTGCATTCAAGTCACAGAGTTGAACATACCCTTTCGTACAGCAGTTTTGAAACACTCTTTCTGTAGCATCTGGAAGTGAACATTAGGACAGCTTTCAGCTCTATGGTGAGAAAGGAAATATCTTCAAATAAAAACTAGACAGAAGCATTCTCATAAACTTGTTTGTGATGTGTGAACTCAGCTAATAGACGTGGATCTTTCTTTTGATAGAGCAGTTCTGAAAAACACGTTTTGTTGAATCTGCAAGTGGACATTTGGATAGATTTGAAGATTTCATTGGAAACGGGAATATCGTCATATCAAATCTAGACAGAAGCATTCTCAGAAACGTCTTTGTGATGTTTGCATTGAACTCATAGAGTTGAACATTCCCTTTCAGAGAGCAGCTTTGAAGCACTCTTTTTGTAGTATGTTCAAGTGGACATTTGGAACGCTCTGAGGCCTACGGGGAAAAAGCAAATATCTTCCCATAACAACTAGACAGAAACATTCTCAGAAACTTCTTTATGACGTATGTACTCAACTAGCAGAAAAGAACTTTCCTTTTGACAGAGCTTTTTTGATACACTCTTTTTGTAGTATCTGCAAGTGGATATTTGGATAGCTGTGAAGATTTCGTTGGAATCGGGAATATCTTCCTATAAAGTCTGGACAGAAGCATTCTCAGAAACTGCTCTGTGATGTCTGTATTCAAGTCACAGAGTTGAACATTGCCTTTCATAGAGCAGGTTTGAAACGCTCTTTTTGTAGTATATGGAAGTGGACTTTTCGGACGGTTTGAGGCCCATGGTGATAAAGGGAATATCTTCCCCTACAAGCTAGAAAGAAGCATTCTGTGAAACTTGTTTGTGATGTCTGTACTCAACTAACAGAGTTGAACCTTTCTTTTCACAGAGCAGTTTTGAAACACTCTTTTTGTAGAATCTGCGAGGGGATATTTGGATAGATTTCAGGATTTCGTTGGAAACGGGAATATCTTCATACAAAATCTCGACAGAAGCATTCTCAGAAACTTCTTTGTGATATCTCCATTCAAGTCACAGAGTTGAATATTCCCTTTCACAGAGTAGGTTTGAAACACTCTTTTTGTAGTATCTGGAAGTGGAGATTTGGAGCGCCTTGACGCCTACGGTGAAAAGGGAAATATCTTCCCATAAAAACTAGACAGAAGCAATCTCAGAATCTTCTTTGGGATATATGCACGCAGCTAACAGAGTTGAACCTTTCTATTGACAGAGCAGTTTTGAAACAGTCTTTCTGTGGAATCTGAAAGTGGATATTTGGATAGCTTGGAGGATTTCGTTGGAAACGGGATTAAGTATAAAAAGTAGACAGCAGCATCCTCAGAAACTTCTTTGTGATGTGTGCATTCAAGTCACAGAGTTGAACATTCCCTTTCGTACAGCAGTTTTGAAACACTCTTTCTGTAGTATCTGGAAGTGAACATTAGGACAGCTTTCAGGTCTATGGCGAGAAAGGAAATATCTTCAAATAAAAACTAGACAGAAAGCATTCTCATAAACTTGTTTGTGATGTGTCAACTCAGCTAACAGAGGTGGATCTTTCTTTTGATAGAGCAGTTCGGAAAAACACTTTTTGTTGAATCTCCAAGTGGACATTTGGATAGATTTGAAGATTTCGTTGGAAACGGGAATATCTTTATATCAAATCTAGACAGAAGCATTCTCAGAAACGTCTTTGTGATGTTTGCATTCAACTCATAGAATTGAACATTCCCTTTCAGAGAGCAGCTTTGAAGCACTCTTTTTGTAGTATGTGCAAGGGGATATTTTGAGCGCTCTGAGGCCTAAGGTGAAAAAGCAAATATCTTCCCATAACCACTAGACACAAACATTCTCAGAAACGCCTTTATGACGTATGCACTCACCTAACAGAAAAGAACCTTCCTTTTGACAGAGCAGTTTTGATACACTCTTTTTGTAGAATCTGCAAGTGGATATTTGGATAGCTGTGAAGATTTCGTTGGAAACGGGAATATCTTCCTATAAAATCTAGACAGAAGCATTCTCAGAAACTGCTCTGTGGTGTTTGCATTCAAGTCACAGAGTTGAACATTGGCTTTCATAGAGCAGCTTTCAAACACTCTTTTTTTAGTATATGGAAGTGGACGTTTCGGACGGTTTGAGGACAATGGTGATAAAGGAAATATCTTCCCCTACAAGCTAGAAAGAAGGATTCTGTGAAACTTGTTTGTGATGTGTGTACTCAACTAACAGAATTGAACCTTTCTTTTTACAGAGCAGTTTTGAAACACTCTTTTTGTAGAATCTGCGAGGGGATATTTGGATAGATTTCAGGATTTCGTTGGAAACGGGAATATCTTTATATAAAATCTCGACAGAAGCATTCTCAGAAGCTTCTTTGTGATATGTGCATTCAAGTCACAGAGTTGAATATTCCCTTTCACAGAGTAGGTTTGAAACACTTTTTTTCTAGTATCTGGAAGTGGACATTTGGAGCGCATTGACACCTACGGTGAAAAGGGAAATATCTTCTCATAAAAAGTAGACAGAAGCAATCTCAGAATCTTCTTTGGGATATATGCACGCAGCTAACAGAGTTGAACCTTTCTATTGACAGAGCAGTTTTGAAACAGCCTTTCTGTGGAATCTGCAAGTGGATATTTGGATAGCTTGGAGGATTTCGTTGGAAACGGGATTAAGTATAAAAAGTAGACAGCAGAATCCTCAGAAACTTCTTTGTGATGTGTGCATTCAAGTCACAGAGTTGAACATTCCCTTTCGTACAGCAGTTTTGAAACACTCTTTCTGTAGTATCTGGAAGTGAACATTAGGACAGCTTTCAGGTCCATGGTGAGAAAGGAAATATCTTCAAATAAAAACTAGACAGAAGCATTCTCATAAACTTGTTTGTGATGTGTGAACTCAGCTAACAGAGGTGGATCTTTCTTTTGATAGAGCAGTTCTGAAAAACACTTTTTGTTGAATCTGCAAGTGGACATTTGGATAGATTTGAAGATTTCGTTGGAAACGGGGATATCTTCATATCAAATCTAGACAGAAGCATTCTCAGAAACGTCTCTGTCATGTTTGCATTCAACTCATAGAGTTGAACATTCCCTTTCAGAGAGCAGCTTTGAAACACTCTTTTTGTAGTATGTGCAAGTGGATATTTGGAGCGCTCTGAGGCCTACGGTGAAAAAGAAAATATCTTCCCATAACCACTAGACAGAAACATTCTCAGAAACTCCTTTATGACGTGTGCACTCACCTAACAGAGAAGAACCTTCCTTTTGACAGAGCAGTTTTGATACACTCTTTTTGTAGAATCTGCAAGTGGATATTTGAATAGCTGTGAAGATTTCGTTGGAAACGGGAATATCTTCCTATAAAATCTAGACAGAAGCATTCTCAGAAACTGCTCTGTGATGTCTGCATTCAAGTCACAGAGTTGAACATTGCCTTTCATAAAGCAGGTTTGAAACGCTCTTTTTGTAATATATGGCAGTGGACGTTTCGGACGGTTTGAGGCCCATGGTGATAAAGGGAATATCTTCCCCTACAAGCTAGAAAGAAAGCATTGTGTGAAACTTGTTTGTGATGTGTGTACTCAACTAACAGAGTTGAACCTTTCTTTTCACAGAGCAGTTTTGAAACACTCTTTTTGTAGAATCTGCGAGGGGATATTTGGATAGATTTCAGCATTTCGTTGGAAACGGGAATATCTTCATATAAAATCTCGACAGAAGCATTCTCAGAAACTTCTTTGTGATATCTGCATTCAAGTCACAGAGTTGAATATTCCCTTTCACTGAGTAGGTTTGAAACACTCTTTTTGTAGTATCTGGAAGTAGACATTTGGAGCGCCTTGACGCCTACGGTGAAAAGGGAAATATCTTCTCATAAAAAGTAGACAGAAGCAATCTCAGAATCTTCTTTGGGATATATGCACGCAGCTAACAGAGTTGAACCTTTCTATTGACAGAGCAGTTTTGAAACTGTCTTTCTGTGGAATCTGCAAGTGGATATTTGGATAGCTTGGAGGATTTCGTTGGAAACGGGATTACGTATAAAAAGTAGACAGCAGCATCCTCAGAATCTTCCTTATTGATGTGTGCTTTCAAGTCACAGAGTTGAACATTCCCTTTCGTACAGCAGTTTTGAAAAACTCTTTCTGTAGTATCTGGAAGTGAACTTTAGGAGAGCTTTCACGTCTATAGTGAGAAAGGATATATCTTCAAATAAAAACTAGACAGAAGCATTCTCATAAACTTGTTTGTGATGTGTGAACTCAGCTAACAGACGTGGATCTTTCTTTTGATACAGCAGTTTTGAAAAACACTTTTTGTTGAATCTGCAAGTGGACATTTGGATAGATATGAAGATTTCGTTGGAAATGGGAATATCTTCATATGAAATCTAGACAGAAGCATTCTCAGAAACGTCTTTGTGATGTTTGCATTCAACTCATAGAGTTGAACATTCCGTTTCAGAGAGCAGCTTTGAGGCACTCTTTTTGTAGTATGTGCAAGTGGATATTTGGAGCGCTCTGAGGCCTACGGTGAAAAAGCAAATATCTTCCCATAAACACTAGACAGAAACATTCTCAGAAAATCCTTTATGACGTATGCACTCACCTAACAGAGAAGAACCTTCCTTTTGACAGAGCAGTTTTGATACACTCTTTTTGTAGAATCTGCAAGTGGATATTTGGATAGCTGTGAAGATTTCGTTTGAAACGGGAATATCTTCCTATAAGATCTAGACAGAAGCATTCTCAGAAACTGCTCTGTGATGTCTGCATTCAAGTCACAGAGTTGAACATTGCCTTTCATAGAACAGGTTTGAAACGCTCTTTTTGTAGTATATGGAAGTAGACGTTTCGGACGGTTTGAGGCCCATGGTGATAAAGGGAATATCTTCCCCTACAAGCTAGAAAGAAGCATTCTGTGAAACTTGTTTGTGATGTGTGTACTCAACTAACAGAGCCTTTCTTTTTACAGAGCAGTTTTGAAACTCTCTTTTTGAAGAATCTGCGAGGGGATATTTGGATAGATTTCAGGATTTCGTTGGAAACGGGAATATCTTCATATAAAATCTCGACAGAAGCATTCTCAGAAACTTCTTTGTGATATGTGAATTCAAGTCACAGAGTTGAATATTCCCTTTCACAGAGTAGGTTTGAAACACTCTTTTTGTAGTATCTGGAAGTGGACATTTGGAGCGCCTTGACGCCTACGGTGAAAAGGGAAATATCTTCCCATAAAAACTAGACAGAAGCAATCTCAGAATCTTCTCTGGGATATATGCACCCAGCTAACAGAGTTGAACCTTTCTATTGACAGAGCAGTTTTGAAACAGTCTTTCTGTGGAATCTGCAAGTGGATATTTGGATAGCTTGGAGGATTTCGTTGGAAACGGGATTACGTATAAAAATTAGACAGCAGCATCCTCAGAAACTTCTTTGTGATGTGTGCATTCAAGTCACAGAGTTGAACATTCCCTTTCGTACAGCAGTTTTGAAACACTCTTTCTGTAGTATCTGGAAGTGAACATTAGGACAGCTTTCAGGTCTATGGTGAGAAAGGCAAAATCTTCAAATAAAAACTAGACAGAAGCATTCTCATAAACTTGTTTGTGATGTGTGAACTCAGCTAACAGAGATGGATCTTTCTTTTGATAGAGCAGTTCTGAAAAACACTTTTTGTTGAATCTGCAAGTGGATATTTGGATAGATTTGAAGATTTCGTTGGAAACGGGAAGATCTTCATATCAAATCTAGACAGAAGCATTCTCAGAAACGTCTTTGTGATGTTTGCATTCAACTCATAGAGTTGAACATTCCCTTTCAGAGAGCAGTTTTGAAGCACTCTTTTTGTAGTAAGTGCAAATTGACATTTGGAGCGCTTTGAGGCCTAAGGGGAAAAAGCAAATATCTTCCCATAACCAGTAGACAGAAACATTCTCAGAAACTCCTTTATGACGTATGCACTCACCTAACAGAGAAGAACCTTCCTTTTGACAGAGCAGTTTTGATACACTCTTTTTGTATAGTCTGCAAGTAGATATTTGGATAGCTGTGAAGATTTCGTTGGAAACGGGAATATCTTCCTATAAAATCTAGACAGAAGCATTCTCAGAAACTGCTCTGTGATGTCTGCATTCAAGTCACAGTGTTGAACATTGCCTTTCATAGAGCAGGTTTCTAACACTCTTTTTTTAGTATATGGAAGTGGACGTTTCGGACGGTTTGAGGCCCATGGAGATAACGGGAATATCTTCCCCTACAAGCTAGAAAGAAGCATTGTGTGCAACTTGTTTGTGATGTGTGTAGTCAAGTAACAGAGTTGAACCTTTCTTTTTACAGAGCAGTTTTGAAACACTCTTTTTGTAGAATCTGCGAGGGGATATTTGGATAGATTTCAGGATTTCGTTGGAAACGGGAATATCTTCATATAAAATCTCGACAGAAGAATTCTCAGAAACTTCTTTGTGATATCTGCATTCAAGTCACAGAGTTGAATATTCCCTTTCACAGAGTAGGTTTGAAACACTCTTTTTGTAGTATCTGGAAGTGGTCATTTGGAGCGCCTTGACGCCTACGGTGAAAAGGGAAATATCTTCCCATAAAAACTAGACAGCAGCAATCTCAGAATCTTCTTTGGGATATATGCACGCAGCTAACAGAGTTGAACCTTTCTATTGACAGAGCAGTTTTGAAACAGTCTTTCTGTGGAATCTGCAAGTGGATATTTCGATAGCTTGGAGGATTTCGTTGGAAACGGGATTAAGTATAAAAAGTAGACAGCCGCATCCTCAGAAACTTCTTTGTGATGTGTGCATTCAAGTCACAGAGTTGAACATTCCCTTTCGTACAGCAGTTTTGAAACACTCTTTCTGTAGTATCTGGAAGTGAACATTAGGACAGCTTTCAGGTCTTTGGTGAGAAAGGAAATATCTTCAAATAAAAACTAGACAGAAGCATTCTCATAAACTTGTTTGTGATGTGTGAACTCAGCTAACAGAGGTGGATCTTTCTTTTGATAGAGCAGTTCTAAAAAACACTTTTTGTTGAATCTGCAAGTGGACATTTTGATAGATTTGAAGATTTCGTTGGAAACGGGAATATCTTCATATCAAATCTAGACAGAAGCATTCTCAGAAACGTCTTTGTGATGTTTGCATTCAACTCATAGAGTTGAACATTCCGTTTCAGAGAGCAGCTTTGAAGCACTCTTTTTGTAGTATGTGTAAGCGGATATTTGGAGCGCTCTGAGGCCTACGGTGAAAAAGCAAATATCTTCCCATAACCACTAGACAGAAACACTCTCAGAAACTCCTTTATGACGTATGCACTCACCTAACAGAGAAGAACCTTCCTTTTGACAGAGCAGTTTTGAAACACTCTTTTTGTAGAATCTGCAAGTGGATATTTGGATACCTGTGAAGATTTCGTTGGAAACGGGAATATCTTCCTATAAAATCTAGACAGAAGCATTCTCAGAAACTGCTCTGTGATGTCTGTATTCAAGTCACAGAGTTGAACATTGCCTTTCATAGAGCAGGTTTGAAACGCTCTTTTTGTAGTATATGGAAGTGGACGTTTCGGACGGTTTGAGGCCCATGGTGATAAAGGGAATATCTTCCCCTACAAGCTAGAAAGAAGCATTCTGTGAAACTTGTTTGTGATGTGTGTACTCAACTAACAGAGTTGAACCTTTCTTTTTACAGAGCAGTTTTGAAACAGTCTTTTTGTAGAATCTGCGAGGGCATATTTGGATAGATTTCAGGATTTCGTTGGAAAGGGGAATATCTTCATATAAAATCTCGACAGAAGCATTCTCAGAAACTTCTTTGTGATATCTGCATTCAAGTCACAGAGTTGAATATTCCCTTTCACAGAGTAGGTTTGAAACACTCTTTTTGTAGTATCTGGAAGTGGACATTTGGAGCGCCTTGACGCCTACGGTGAAATGGGAAATATCTTCCCATAAAAACTAGACAGAAGCAATCTCAGAATCTTCTTTGGGATATATGCACTCAGCTAACAGAGTTGAACCTTTCTATTGACAGAGCAGTTTTGAAACAGTCTTTCTGTGGAATCTGCAAGTGGATATTTGGATAGATTGGAGGATTTCGTTGGAAACGGGATTACGTATAAAAAGTAGACAGCAGCATCCTCAGAAACTTCTTTGTGATGTGTGCATTCAAGTCACAGAGTTGAACATTCCCTTTCGTACAGCAGTTTTGAAACACTCTTTCTGTAGTATCTGGGAGTGAACATTAGGACAGCTTTCAGGTCTATGGTGAGAAAGGAAATATCTTCAAATAAAAACTAGACAGAAGCATTCTCATAAACTTTTTTCTGATGTGTGAACTCAGCTAACAGAGGTGGATCTTTCTTTTGATAGAGCAGTTCTGAAAAACACTTTTTGTTGAATCTGCAAGTGGACATTTGGATAGATTTGAAGATTTCGTTGGAAACGGGAATATCTTCATATCAAATCTAGACAGAAGCATTCTCAGAAACGTCTTTGTGATGTTTGCATTCAACGCATAGAGTTGAACATTCCGCTTCAGAGAGCAGCTTTGAAGCACTCTTTTTGTAGCATGTGCAAGTTGACATTTGGAGCGCTCTGAGGCCTACGGGGAAAAAGCAAGTATCTTCCCATAACCACTAGACAGAAACATTCTGAGAAACTTCTTTATGACGTATGTACTCAACTAGCAGAGAAGAACTTTCCTTTTGACAGAGCATTTTTGATACACTCTTTTTGTAGTATCTGCAAGTGGATATTTGGATAGCTGTGAAGATTTCGTTGGAAACGGGAATATCTTCCTATAAAATCTAGACAGAAGCATTCTCAGGAAACTGCTCTGTGATGTCTGCATTCAAGTCACAGCAGTTGAACATTGCCTTTCATAGAGCAGGTTTGAAACGCTCTTTTTGTAGTATATGGAAGTGGACTTTTCGGACGGTTTGAGGCCCATGGTGATAAAGGGAATATCTTCCCCTACAAGCTAGAAAGAAGCATTCTGTGAAACTTGTTTGTGATGTGTGTACTCAACTAACAGAGTTGAACCTTTCTTTTTACAGAGCAGTTTTGAAACACTCTTTTTGTAGAATCTGCGAGGGGATATTTGGATAGATTTCAGGATTTCGTTGGAAACGGGAATAACTTCATATAAAATCTCGACAGAAGCATTCTCAGAAACTTCCTTGTGATATGTGCATTCAAGTCACAGAGTTGAATATTCCCTTTCACAGAGTAGGTTTGAAACACTCTTCTTGTAGTATCTGGAAGTGGACATTTGGAGCGCCTTGACGCCCACGGTGAAAAGGGAAATATCTTCCCATAAAAACTAGACAGAAGCAATCTCAGAATCTTCTTTGGGATATATGCACGCAGCTATCAGAGTTGAACCTTTCTATTGACAGAGCAGTTTTGAAACAGTCTTTCTGTGGAATCTGCAAGTGGATATTTGGATAGCTTGGAGGATTTCGTTGGAAACGGGATTACGCATAAAAAGTAGACAGCAGCATCCTCAGAAACTTCTTTGTGATGTGTGCATTCAAGTCACAGAGTTGAACATTCCCTTTCGTACAGCAGTTTTGAAACACTCTTTCTGTAGTATGTGGAAGTGAACATTAGGACAGCTTTCAGGTCTATGGTGAGAAAGGAAATATCTTCAAATAAAAACTAGACAGAAGCATTCTCATAAACTTGTTTGTGATGTGTGAACTCAGCTTAGAGACGTGGATCTTTCTTTTGATAGAGCAGTTCTGAAAAACACGTTTTGTTGAATCTGCAAGCGGACATTTGGATAGATTTGAAGATTTCGTTGGAAACGGGAATATCTTCATATCAAATCTAGACAGAAGCATTCTCAGAAACGTCTTTGTGATGTTTGCATTCAACTCACAGAGTTGAACATTCCCTTTCAGAGAGCAGCTTTGAAGCACTCTTTTTGTAGTATGTGCAAGGGGATATTTGGAGCGCTCTGAGGCCTAAGGTGAAAAAGCAAATATCTTCCCCTAACCACTAGACAGAAACATTCTCAGAAACTCCTTTATGACGTATGCACTCAACTAACAGAGAAGAACCTTCCTTTTGACAGAGCAGTTTTGATACACTCTTTTTGTAGAATCTGCAAGTGGATATTTGGATAGCTGTGAAGATTTCGTTGGATACGGGAATATCTTCCTATAAAATCTAGACAGAAGCATTCTCAGAAACTGGTCTGTGATGTCTGCATTCAAGTCACAGAGTTGAACATTGCCTTTCATAGAGCAGGTTTGAAACGCTCTTTTTGTAGTATATGGAAGTAGACGTTTCGGACGGTTTGAGGCCCATGGTGATAAAGGGAATATCTTCCCCTACAAGCTAGAAAGAAGCATTCTGTGAAACTTTTTTGTGATGTGTGTACTCCACTAACAGAGTTGAACCTTTCTTTTTACAGAGCAGTTTTGAAACACTCTTTTTGTAGAATCTGCGAGGGGATATTTGGATAGTTTTCAGGATTTCGTTGGAAACGGGAATATCTTCATATAAAATCTCGACAGAAGCATTCTCAGAAACTTCTTTGTGATATGTGCATTCAAGTCACAGTGTTGAATATTCCCTTTCACAGAGTAGGTTTGAAACACTCTTTTTGTAGTATCTGGAAGTGGACATTTGGAGCGCCTTGACGCCTACGGTGAAAAGGGAAATATCTTCCCATAAAAACTAGACAGACGCAATCTCAGAATCTTCTTTGGGATATATGTACGCAGCTAATAGAGTTGAACCTTTCTATTGACAGAGCAGTTTTGAAACAGTCTTTCTGTGGAATCTGCAAGTGGATATTTGGATAGCTTGGAGGATTTCGTTGGAAACGGGATTACGTATAAAAAGTAGACAGCAGCATCCTCAGAAACTTCTTTGTGATGTGTGCATTCAAATCACAGAGTTGAACATTCCCTTTCGTACAGCAGTTTTGAAACACTCTTTCTGTAGTATCTGGAAGTGAACATTAGGACAGCTTTCAGGTCTATGGTGAGAAAGGAAATATCTTCAAATAAAAACTAGACAGAAGCATTCTCATAAACTTGTTTGTGATGTGTGAACTCAGCTAACAGACGTGGATCTTTCTTTAGATAGAGCAGTTTTGAAAAACACTTTTTGTTGAATCTGCAAGTGGACATTTGGATAGATTTGAAGATTTCGTTGGAAACGGGAATATCTTCATATCAAATCTAGACAGAAGCATTCTCAGAAAAGTCTTTGTGATGTTTGCATTCAACTCATAGAGTTGAACATTCCGTTTCAGAGAGCAGCTTTGAAGCACTCTTTTTGTAGTATGTGCAAGTGGATATTTGGAGCGCTCTGAGGCCTACGGTGAAAAAGCAAATATCTTCCCATAACCACTAGACAGAAACATTCTCAGAAACTCCTTTATGACGTATGCACTCACCTAACAGAGAAGAACCTTCCTTTTGACAGAGCAGTTTTGATACACTCTTTTTGTAGAATCTGCAATTGGATATTTGGATAGCTGTGAAGATTTCGTTGGAAACGGGAATATCTTCCTATAAAATCTAGACAGAAGCATTCTCAGAAACTGCTCTGTGATGTCTGCATTCAAGTCACAGAGTTGAACATTGCCTTTCATAGAGCAGGTTTGAAACGCTCTTTTTGTAGTATATGGAAGTGGATGTTTCGGACGGTTTGAGGCCCAAGGTGATAAAGGGAATATCTTCCCTACAAGCTAGAAAGAAGCATTCTGTGAAACTTGTTTGTGATGTGTGTACTCAACTAACAGAGTTGAACATTTCTTTTTACAGAGTAGTTTTGAAACACTCTTTTTGTAGAATCTGCGAGGGGATATTTGGATAGATTTCAGGATTTCGTTGGAAACGGGAATATCTTCATATAAAATCTCGACAGAAGCATTCTCAGAAACTTCTTTGTGATATCTGCCTTTAAGTCACAGAGTTGAATATTCTCTTTCACAGAGTAGGTTTGAAACACTCTTTTTGTAGTATCTGGAAGTGGACATTTGGAGCGCCTTGACGCCTACGGTGAAAAGGGAAATATCTTCCCATAAAAACTAGACAGAAGCAATCTCAGAATCTTCTTTGGGATATATGCACGCAGCTAACAGAGTTGAACCTTTCTATTGACAGAGCAGTTTTGAAACAGTCTTTCTGTGGAATCTGCAAGTGGATATTTGGATAGCTTGGACGATTTCGTTGGAAACGGGATTACGTATAAAAAGTAGCCAGCAGCATCCTCAGAAACTTCTTTGTGATGTGTGCATTCAAGTCAGAGAGTTGAACATTCCCTTTCGTACAGCAGTTTTGAAACACTCTTTCTGTAGTATCTGGAAGTGAACATTAGGACAGCTTTCAGGTCTATGGTGAGAAAGGAAATATCTTCAAATAAAAACTAGACAGAAGCATTCTGATAAACTTGTTTGTGAAGTGTGAACTCAGCTAACAGAGGTGGATCTTTCTTTCGAAACAGCAGTTTTGAAAAACACTTTTTGTTGAATCTGCAAGTGGACATTTGAATAGATTTGAAGATTTCGTTGGAAACAGGAATATCTTCATATCAAATCTAGACAGAAGCATTCTCAGAAACGTCTTTGCGATGTTTGCATTCAACTCATAGAGTTGAACATTCCGTTTCAGAGAGCAGCTTTGAAGCACTGTTTTTGTAGTATGTGCAAGTGCATATTTGGAGCGCTCTGAGGCCTACGGTGAAAAAGCAAATATCTTCCCATAACCACTAGACAGAAACATTCTCAGAAACTCCTTTATGACGTATGTACTCAACTAACAGAGAAGAACCTTCCTTTTGAAAGAGCAGTTTTGATACACTCTTTTTGTAGAATCTGCAAGTGGATATTTGGATAGCTGTGAAGATTTCGTTGGAAACGGGAATATCTTGCCTATAAAATCTAGACAGAAGCATTCTCAGAAATTGCTCTGTGATGTCTGTATTCAAGTCACAGAGTTGAACATTGCCTTTCATAGAGCAGGTTTGAAACGCTCTTTTTGTAGTATATGGAAGTGGATGTTTCGGACGGTTGGAGGCCCATGGTGATAAAGGGAATATCTTCCCCTACAAGCTAGAAAGAAGCATTCTGTGAAACTTGTTTGTGATGTGTGTACTCAACTAACAGAGTTGAACCTTTCCTTTTACAGAGCAGTTTTGAAACACTCTTTTTGTAGAATCTGCGAGGGGATATATGGATAGATTTCAGGATTTCGTTGGAAACGGGAATATCTTCATATAAAATCTCGACAGAAGCATTCTCAGAAACTTCCTTGTGATATGTGCATTCAAGTCACAGAGTTGAATATTCCCTTTCACAGAGTAGGTTTGAAACACTCTTTTTGTAATATCTGAAAGTGGACATTTGGAGCGCCTTGACGCCTACGGTGAAAAGGGAAATATCTTCCCATAAAAACTAGACAGAAGCAATCTCAGAATCTTCTTTGGGATATATGCACGCAGCTAACAGAGTTGAACCTTTCTATTGACAGAGCAGTTTTGAAACAGTCTTTCTGTGGATTCTGCAAGTGGATATTTGGATAGCTTGGAGGATTTCGTTGGAAACGGGATTACGTATAAAAAGTAGACAGCAGCATCCTCAGAAACTTCTTTGTGATGTGTGCATTCAAGTCACAGAGTTGAACATTCCCTTTCATACAGCAGTTTTGAAACACTCTTTCTGTAGTATCTGGAAGTGAACATTAGGACAGCTTTCAGCTCTATGGTGAGAAAGGAAATATCTTCAAATATAAACTAGACAGAAGCATTCTCATAAACTTGTTTGTGATGTGTGAACTCAGCTAACAGAGGTGGATCTTTCTTTTGATAGAGCAGTTCTGAAAAACACTTTTTGTTGAATCTGCAAGTGGACATTTGGATAGATTTGAAGATTTCGTTGGAATCGGGAATATCTTCATATCAAATCTAGACAGAAGCATTCTCAGAAACGTCTTTGTGATGTTTGCATTCAACTCATAGAGTTGAACATTCCCTTTCAGAGAGCAGCTTTGAAGCAGTCTTTTTGTAGTATGTGCAAGTGGATATTTGGAGCGCTCTGAGGCCTACGGTGAAAAAGCAAATATCTTCCCATAACCACTAGACAGAAACATTCTCAGAAACGCCTTTATGACGTATGCACTCACCGAACAGAAAAGAACCTTCCTTTTGACAGAGCAGTTTTGATACACTCTTTTTGTAGAATCTGCAAGTGGATATTTGGATAGCTGTGAAGATTTCGTTGGAAACGGGAATATCTTCCTATAAAATCTAGACAGAAGCATTCTCAGAAACTGCTCTGTGATGTCTGCATTCAAGTCACAGAGTTCAACATTGTCTTTCATAGAGCAGGTTTGAAACGCTCTTTTTGTAGTATATGGAAGTGGACGTTTCGGACGGTTTGAGGCCCATGGTGATAAAGGGAATATCTTCCCCTACAAGCTAGAAAGAAGCATTCTGTGAAACTTGTTTGTGATGTGTGTACTCAACTTACATAGTTGAACCTTTCTTTTTACAGAGCAGTTTTGAAACACTCTTTTTGTAGAATCTGCGAGGGGTTATTTGGATAGATTTCAGGATTTCGTTGGAAACGGGAATATCTTCATATAAAATCTCGACAGAAGCATTCTCAGAGACTTCCTTGTGATATGTGCATTCAAGTCACAGAGTTGAATATTCCCTTTCACAGAGTAGGTTTGAAACACTCTTTTTGTAGTATCTGGAAGTGGTCATTTGGAGCGCCTTGACGCCCACGGTGAAAAGGGAAATATCTTCCCATAAAAACTAGACAGAAGCAATCTCAGAATCTTCTTTGTGATATATGCACGCAGCTGACAGATTTGAACCTTTCTATTGACTGAGCAGATTTGAAACAGTCTTTCTGTGGAATCTGCAAGTGGATATTTGGATAGATTGGAGGATTTCGTTGGAAACGGGATTACGTATAAAAAGTAGACAGCAGTATCCTCAGAAACTTGCTTTGTGATGTGTGCATTCAAGTCACAGAGTTGAACATTCCCTTTCGTACAGCAGTTTTGAAACACTCTTTCTGTAGTATCTGGAAGTGAACATTAGGACAGCTTTCAGGTCTATAGTGAGAAAGGATATATCTTCAAATAAAAACTAGACAGAAGCATTCTCATAAACTTGTTTGTGATGTCTGAACTCAGCTAACAGAGGTGGATCTTTCTTTTGATAGAGCAGTTCTGAAAAACACTTTTTGTTGAATCTGCAAGTGGACATTTGGATAGATTTGAAGATTTCGTTGGAAACGTGAATATCTTCAAATCAAATCTAGACAGAAGCATTCTCAGAAACGTCTTTGTGATGTTTGCATTCAACTCATAGAGTTGAACATTCCGTTTCAGAGAGCAGCTTTGAAGCACTCTTTTTGTACTATGTGCAAGTGGATATTTGGAGCGCTCTGAGACCTACGGTGAAAAAGCAAATATCTTCCCATAACCACTAGACAGAAACATTCTCAGAAACTCCTTTATGACGTATGCACTCACCTAACAGAGAAGAACCTTCCCTTTTGACAGAGCAGCTTTGATACACTCTTTTTGTAGAATCTGCAAGTGGATATTTGGATAGCTGTGAAGATTTCGTTGGAAACGGGAATATCTTCCTATAAAATCTAGACAGAAGCATTCTCAGAAACTGCTCTGTGATGTCTGCATTCAAGTCACAGAGTTGAACATTGCCTTTCATAGAGCAGGTTTGAAACGCTCTTTTTGTAGTATATTGAAGTGGACGTTTCGGACGGTTTGAGGCCCATGGTGATAAAGGGAATATCTTCCCGTACAAGCTAGAAAGAAGCATTCTGTGAAACTTGTTGGTGATGTGTGTACTCAACTAACAGAGTTGAACCTTTCTTTTCACAGAGCAGTTTTGAAACACTCTTTTTGTAGAATCTGCGAGGGGATATTTGGATAGATTTCAGCATTTCGTTGGAAACGGGAATATCTTCATATAAAATCTCGACAGAAGCATTCTCAGAAACTTCCTTGTGATATGTGCATTCAAGTCACAGAGTTGAATATTCCCTTTCACAGAGTAGGTTTGAAACACTCTTTTTGTAGTATCTGGAAGTGGACATTTGGAGCGCCTTGACGCCCACGGTGAAAAGGGAAATATCTTCCCATCAAAACTAGACACAAGCAATCTCAGAATCTTCTTTGGGATGTATGCACCCAGCTAACAGAGTTGAAACTTTCTATTGACAGAGCAGTTTTGAAACAGTCTTTTAGTGGAATCTGCAAGTGGATATTTGGATAGCTTGGAGGATTTCTTTGGAAACGGGATTATGTATACAAAGTAGACAGCAGCATTCTCAGAAACTTCTTTGTGATGTGTGCATTCAAGTCAAAGAGTTGAACATTCCCTTTCGTATAGGAGGTTTGAAACACTCTTTCTCTAGTACCTGGAAGTGAACGGGGCGAGAGCTTTCAGGTCTATGGTGAGAAAGGAAATATCTTCAAATAAAAACTAGACAGAAGCATTCTCATAAACTTGTTTGTGATGTGTGAACTCAGCTAACAGAGGTGGATCTTTCTTTTGATAGAGCAGTTCTGAAAAACACTTTTTGTTGAATCTGCAAGTGGACATTTGGATAGATTTGAAGATTTCGTTGGAAAAGGGAATATCTTCATATCAAATCTAGACAGAAGCATTCTCAGAAACGTCTTTGTGATGTTTGCATTCAACTCATAGAGTTGAACATTCCGTTTCAGAGAGCAGCTTTGAGGCACTCTTTTTGTAGTATGTGCAAGTGGATATTTAGAGCGCTCTGAGGCCTACGTTGAAAAAGCAAATATCTTCCCATAACCACTAGACAGAAACATTCTCAGAAACTTCTTTGTGACGTACGTACTCAACTAACAGAGTTGAACCTTCCTTTTGACACAGCAATTTTGATACAATCTTTTTGTAGAATCTGCAAGTCTATATTTGGATAACTGTGAAGATTTCGTTGGAAACGGGAATTTCTTCCTATAAAATCTAGACAGCAGCATTCTCAGAAACTGCTCTGTGATGTCTGCATTCAAGTCACAGAGTTGAACATTGCCTTTCATAGAGCAGGTTTCAAACACTCTTTTTTTAGTTTATGGAAGTGGACGTTTCGGACGGTTTAAGGCCCATGGTGATAAAGGAAATATCTTCCCCTACAAGCTAGAAAGAAGCATTCTGTGAAACTTGTTTGTGATGTGTGTACTCAACTAACAGAGTTGAACCTTTCTTTTTACAGAGCAGTTTTGAAACACTCTTTTTGTAGAATCTGCGAGGGGAAATTTGGATAGATTTCAGGATTTCCTTGGAAACGGGAATATCTTCATACAAAATCTCGACAGAAGCATCCTCAGAAACTTCTTTGTGATGTGTGCATTCAAGTCACAGAGTTGAACATTCCCTTTCACAGAGTAGGTTTGAAACACTCTTTTTGTAGTATCTGGAAGTGGATATTTGGAGCGCCTTGACACCTACGGTGAAAAGGGAAATATCTTCCCATAAAAACTAGACAGAAGCAATCTCAGAATCTTCTTTGGGATATATGCACGCAGCTAACAGAGTTGAACCTTTCTATTGACAGAGCAGTTTTGAAACAGTCTTTCTGGGGAATCTGCAAGTGGATATTTGGATAGCTTGGAGGATTTCGTTGGAAACGGGATTACGTATAAAAAGTAGACAGCAGCATCCTCAGAAACTTCTTTGTGATGTGTGCATTCAAGTCACAGAGTTGAACATTCCCTTTCGTAGAGCAGTTTTGAAACACTCTTTCTGTAGTATCTGGAAGTGAACATTAGGACAGCTTTCAGCTCTATGGTGAGAAAGGAAATATCTTCAACTAAAAACTAGACAGAAGCATTCTCATAAACTTGTTTGTGATGTGTGAACTCAGCTAACAGAGGTGGATCTTTCTTTTGATAGAGCAGTTCTGAAAAACACTTTTTGTTGAATCTGCAAGTGGATATTTGGATAGATTGAAGATTTCGTTGGAAACGGGAATATCTTCATATCAAATCTAGAGAGAAGCATTCTCAGAAACGTCTTTGCGATGTTTGCATTCAACTCATAGAGTTGAACATTCCGTTTCAGAGAGCAGCTTTGAGGCACTCTTTTTGTAGTATGTGCAAGTGGATATTTGGAGCGCTCTGAGGCCTACGGTGAAAAAGCAAATATCTTCCCATAACCACAAGACAGAAACATTCTCAGAAACTCCTTTATGACTTATGCACTTACCTATCAGAGAAGAATCTTCCTTTTGACAGAGCAGTTTTGATACACTCTTTTTGTAGAATCTGCAAGTGGATATTTGGATAGCTGTGAAGATTTCGCTGGAAACGGGAATATCTTCCTATAAAATCTAGACAGAAGCATTCTCAGAAACTGCTCTGTGATGTCTGCATTCAAGTCACAGAGTTGAACATTGCCTTTCCTATAACAGGTTTGAAACGCTCTTTTTGTAGTATATGGAAGTGGACGTTTCGGACGGTTTGAGGCCCATGGTGATAAAGGGAATATCTTCCCCTACAAGCTAGAAGGAAGCATTCTGTGAAACTTGTTTGTGATGTGTGTACTCAACTAACAGAGTTGAACCTTTCTTTTCACAGAGCAGTTTTGAAACACTCTTTTTGTAGAATCTGCGAGCGGATATTTGGATAGATTTCAGGATTTCGATGGAAACGGGAATATCTTCATATAAAATACTCGACAGAAGCATTCTCAGAAACTTCTTTGTGATATCTGCATTCA
Source organism: Homo sapiens (assembly GCF_000001405.40). Classification (NCBI taxonomy): domain Eukaryota; kingdom Metazoa; phylum Chordata; class Mammalia; order Primates; family Hominidae; genus Homo; species Homo sapiens. The sequence continues at coordinate 16,328,617 of NC_000013.11, forward strand.
AGTCACAGAGTTGAATATTCCCTTTCACAGAGTAGGTTTGAAACACTCTTTTTGTAGTATCTGGAAGTTGACATTTGGAGCGCCTTGACGCCTACGGTGAAAAGGGAAATATCTTCTCATAAAAAGTAGACAGAAGCAATCTCAGAATCTTCTTTGGGATATATGCACGCAGCTAACAGAGTTGAACCTTTCTATTGACAGAGCAGTTTTGAAACAGTCTTTCTGTGGAATCTGCATGTGGATATTTGGATAGCTTGGAGGATTTCGTTGGAAACGGGATTACGCATAAAAAGTAGACAGCTGCATCCTCAGAAACTTCTTTGTGATGTGTGCATTCAAGTCACAGAGTTGAACATTCCCTTTCGTACAACAGTTTTGAAACACTCTTTCTGCAGTATCTGGAAGTGAACATTAGGACAGCTTTCAGGTCTATGGTGAGAAAGGAAATATCTTCAAATAAAAACTAGACAGAAGCATTCTCATAAACTTGTTTGTGATGTGTGAACTCAGCTAACAGAGGTGGATCTTTCTTTTGATAGAGCAGTTCTGAAAAACACTTTTTGTTGAATCTGCAAGTGGACTTTTGGATAGATTTGAAGATTTCGTTGGAAACGTTAATATCTTCATATCAAATCTAGACAGAAGCACTCTCGGAAACGTCTTTGTGATGTTTGCATTCAACTCATAGAGTTGAACATTCCGTTTCAGAGAGCAGCTTTGAAGCACTCTTTTTGTAGTATGTGCAAGTGGATATTTGGAGCGCTCTGAGGCCTACGGTGAAAAAGCAAATATCTTCCCATAACCACTAGACAGAAACATTCTCAGAAACTCCTTTATGACGTATGCACTCACCTAACAGAGAAGAACCTTCCTTTTGACAGAGCAGTTTTGATACACTCTTTTTGTAGAATCTGCAAGTGGATATTTGGATAGCTGTCAAGATTTCGTTGGAAACGGGAATATCTTCCTATAAAATCTAGACAGAAGCATTCTCAGAAACTGCTCTGTGATGCCTGCATTCAAGTCACAGAGTTGAACATTGCCTTTCATAGAGCAGGTTTGAAATGCTCTTTTTGTAGTATATGGAAGTGGACGTTTCAGACGGTTTGAGGCCCATTGTGATAAAGGGAATATCTTCCCCTACAAGCTAGAAAGAAGCATTCTGTGAAACTTGTTTGGGATGTGTGTACTCAACTAACAGAGTTGAACCTTTCTTTTTACAGAGCAGTTTTGAAACACTCTTTTTGTAGAATCTGCGAGGGGATATTTGGATACATTTCAGCATTTCGTTGGAAACGGGAATATCTTCATATAAAATCTCGACAGAAACATTCTCAGAAACTTCATTGTGATATCTGCATTCAAGTCACAGAGTTGAATATTCCCTTTCAGAGAGTAGGTTTGAAACACTCTTTTTGTAGTATCTGGAAGTGGACATTTGGAGCGCCTTGACACCTACGGTGAAAAGGGAAATATCTTCCCATGAAAACGAGACAGAAACAATCTCAGAATCTTCTTTGGGATATATGCACGCAGCTAACAGTGTTGAACCTTTCTATTGACAGAGCAGTTTTGAAACAGTCTTTCTGTGGAATCTGCAAGTGGATATTTGGATAGCTTGGAGGATTTCGTTGGAAACGGGATTAGGTATAAAAAGTAGACAGCAGCATCCTCAGAAACTTCTTTGTGATGTGTGCATTCAAGTCACAGAGTTGAACATTCCCTTTCGTACAGCAGTTTTGAAACACTCTTTCTGCAGTATCTGGAAGTGAACATTAGGACAGCTTTCAGCTCTATGGTGAGAAAGGAAATATCTTCAAATAAAAACTAGACAGAAGCATTCTCATAAACTTGTTTGTGATGTGTGAACTCAGCTAACAGAGGTGGATCTTTCTTTTGATAGAGCAGTTCTTAAAAACACGTTTTGTTGAATCTGCAAGTGGACATTTGGATAGATTTGAAGATTTCGTTGGAAACGGGAATATCTTCATATCAAATCTAGACAGAAGCATTCTCAGAAACGTCTTTGTGATGTTTGCATTCAACTCATGGAGTTGAACATTCCCTTTCAGAGAGCAGCTTTGAAGCACTCTTTTTGTAGTATGTGCAAGTGGACATTTGGAGCGCTTTGAGGCCTACGGGGAAAAAGCAAATATCTTCCCATATCCACTAGACAAAAACATTCTCAGAAACTCCTTTATGACGTATGCACTCACCTAACAGAGAAGAACCTTCCTTTTGACAGAGCAGTTTTGATACACTCTTTTTGTAGAATCTGCAAGTGGATATTTGGATAGCTGTGAAGATTTCCTTGGAAACGGGAATATCTTCCTATAAAATCTAGACAGAAAGCATTCTCAGAAACTGCTCTGTGATGTCTGCATTCAAGTCACAGAGTTGAACATTGCCTTTCATAGAGCAGGTTTGAAACGCTCTTTTTGTACTATATGGAAGTGGATGTTTCGGACGGTTTGAGGCCCATGGTGATAAAGGGAATATCTTCCCCTACAAGCTAGAAAGAAGCATTCTGTGAAACTTGTTTGCGATGTGTGTACTCAACTAATAGATTTGAACCTTTCTTTTTACAGAGCAGTTTTGAAACACTCTTTTTGTAGAATCTGCGAGGGGATATTTGGATAGATTTCAGGATTTCGTTGGAAACGGGAATATCTTCATATAAAATCTCGACAGAAGCATTCTCTGAAACTTCTTTGTGATATGTGCATTCAAGTCACAGAGTTCAATATTCCCTTTCACAGAGTAGGTTTGAGACACTCTTTTTGTAGTATCTGGAAGTGGACATTTGGAGCGCCTTGACGACTACGGTGAAAAGGGAAATATCTTCTCATAAAAAGTAGACAGAAGTAATCTCAGAATCTTCTTTGGGATATATGCACCCAGCTAACAGAGTTGAACCTTTCTATTGACAGAGCAGTTTTGAAACAGTCTTTCTGTGGAATCTGCAAGTGGATATTTGGATAGCTTGGAGGATTTCGTAGGAAACGGGATTACGTATAAAAAGTAGACAGCAGCATCCTCAGAAACTTGTTTGTGATGTGTGCATTCAAGTCACAGAGTTGAACATTCCCTTTCGTACAGCAGTTTTGAAACACTCTTTCTGTAGTATCTGGAAGTGAACATTAGGACAGCTTTCAGGTCTATGGTGAGAAAGGAAATATCTTCAAATAAAAACTAGACAGAAGCATTCTCATAAACTTGTTTGTGATGTGTGAACTCAGCTAACAGAGGTGGATCTTTCTTTTGATAGAGCAGTTCTGAAAAACACGTTTTCTTGAATCTGCAAGTGGACATTTGGATAGATTTGAAGATTTCGTTGGAAACGGGAATATCGTCATATCAAATCTAGACAGAAAGCATTCTCAGCAAACGTCTTTGGGATGTTTGCATTCAACTCATAGAGTTGAACATTCCCTTTCAGAGAGCAGCTTTGAAGCACTCTTTTTGTAGTATGTGCAAGTGGATATTTGGAGCGCTCTGAGGCCTAAGGTGAAAAAGCAAATATCTTCCCATAACCACTAGACAGAAACATTCTCAGAAAGTTCTTTATGACGTATGAACTCAACTAGCAGAGAAGAACTTTCCTTTTGACAGAGCATTTCTGATACACTCTTTTTTTACTATCTGCAAGTGGATATTTGGATAGCTGTGAAGATTTCGTTGGAAACGGGAATATCTTCCTATAAAGTCTGGACAGAAGCATTCTCAGAAACTGCTCTGTGATGTCTGCATTCAAGTCACAGAGTTGAACATTGCCTTTCATAGAGCAGGTTTGAAACGCTCTTTTTGTAGTATATGGAAGTGGACTTTTCAGACGGTTTGAGGCCCATGGTGATAAAGGGAATATCTTCCCCTACAAGCTAGAAAGAAGCATTCTGTGAAACATGTTTGTGATGTGTGTTCTCAACTAACAGAGTTGAACCTTTCTTTTTACAGAGCAGTTTTGAAACACTCTTTTTGTAGAATCTGCGAGGGGATATTTGGATAGATTTCAGGATTTCGTTGGAAACGGGAATATCTTCATATAAAATCTCGACAGAAGCATTCTCAGAAACTTCTTTGTGATATCTGCCTTCAAGTCACAGAGTTGAATATTCCCTTTCACAGAGTAGGTTTGAAACACTCTTTTTGTAGTATCTGGAAGTGGACATTTGGAACGCCTTGGCGCCTATGGTGAAAAGGTAAATATCTTCCCATAAAAACTAGACAGAAGCAATCTCAGAATCTTCTTTGGGATATATGCACGCAGCTAACAGAGTTGAACCTTTCTATTGACAGAGCAGTTTTGAAACAGTCTTTCTGTGGAATCTGCAAGTGGATATTTGGATAGCTTGGAGGATTTCATTGGAAACGGGATTAAGTATAAAAAGTAGACAGCAGCATCCTCAGAAACTTCTTTGTGATGTGTACATTCAAGTCACAGAGTTCAACATTCCCTTTCGTACAGCAGTTTTGAAACACTCTTTCTGTAGTATCTGGAAGTGAACATTAGGACAGCTTTCAGCTCTATGGTGAGAAAGGAAATATCTTCAAATAAAAACTAGACAGAAGCATTCTCATAAACTTGTTTGTGATGTGTGAACTCAGCTAACAGAGGTGGATCTTTCTTTTGATAGAGCAGTTCTGAAAAACACTTTTTTTTGAATCTGCAAGTGGACATTTGGATAGATTTGAAGATTTCTTTGGAAACGGGAATATCTTCATATCAAATCTAGACAGAAGCATTCTCAGAAACGTCTTTGTGATGTTTGCATTCAACTCATAGAGTTGAACATTCCGTTTCAGAGAGTAGCTTTGAAGCACTCATTTTGTAGCATGTGCAAGTGGACATTTGGAGCGCCCTGAGGCCTACGGGGAAAAAGCAAATATATTCCCATAACCACTAGACAGAAACATTCTCAGAAACTCCTTTATGACGTATGTACTCAACTAACAGAGAAGAACCTTCCTTTTGACAGAGCAGTTTTGATACACTCTTTTTGTAGAATCTCCAAGTGGATATTTGGATAGCTGTGAAGATTTCGTTGGAATCGGGAATATCTTCCTATAAAATCTAGACAGAAGCATTCTCAGAAACTGCTCTGTGATGTCTGCATTCAAGTCACAGAGTTGAACATTGCCTTTCATAGAGCAGGTTTGAAACGCTCTTTTTGTAGTGTATGGAAGTGGACTTTTCGGACGGTTGGAGGCCCATGGTGATAAAGGGAATATCTTCCCCTACAAGCTAGAAAGAAAGCATTCTGTGAAACTTGTTTGTGATGTGTGTACTCAACTAACAGAGTTGAACCTTTCTTTTTACAGAGCAGTTTTGAAACACTCTTTTTGTAGAATCTGCGAGGGGATATTTGGATACATTTCAGGATTTCGTTGGAAACGGGAATATCTTCATATAAAATCTCGACAGAAGCATTCTCAGAAACTTCTTTGTGATATGTGCATTCAAGTCACAGAGTTGAATATTCCCTTTCACAGAGTAGGTTTGAAACACTCTTTTTGTAGTATCTGGAAGTGGACATTTGGAGCGCCTTGACACCTACGGTGAGAAGGGAAATATCTTCCCATAAAAACTAGACAGAAGCAATCTCAGAATCTTCTTTGGGATATATGCACGCAGCTAACGGAGTTGAACCTTTCTATTGACAGAGCAGTTTTGAAACAGTCTTTCTGTGGAATCTGCAAGTGGATATTTGGATAGCTTGGAGGATTTCGTTGGCAACGGGATTACGTATAAAAATTAGACAGCAGCATTCTCAGAAACTTCTTTGTGATGTGTGCATTCAAGTCAAAGAGTTGAACATTCCCTTTCGTACAGCAGGTTTGAAACACTCTTTCTCTAGTACCTGGAAGTGAACGTTTCGAGACCTTTCAGGTCTATGGTGAGAAAGGAAATATCTTCAAATAAAAACTAGACAGAAGCATTCTCATAAACTTGTTTGTGATGTGTGAACTCAACTAACAGAGGTGGGTCTTTCTTTTGATACACCAGTTATGAAAAACCCTTTTAATTGAATCTGCAAGTGGACATTTGGATAGATTTGAAGATTTCGTTGGAAACGGGAATATCTTCATATCAAATCTAGACAGAAGCATTCTCAGAAACGTCTTTGCGATGTTTGCATTCAACTCATAGAGTTGAACATTCCGTTTCAGAGAGCAGCTGTGAGGCACTCTTTTTGTAGTATGTGCAAGTGGATATTTGGAGCGCTCTGAGGCCTACGGTGAAAAAGCAAATATCTTCCCATAACCACTAGCAGAAAACATTCTCAGAAACTCCTTTATGACGTATGTACTCAACTAACAGAGAAGAACCTTCCTTTTGACAGAGCAGTTTTGATCCACTCTTTTTGTAGAATCTGCAAGTGGATATTTGGATAGCTGTGAAGGTTTCGTTAGAAACGGAAATATCTTCCTATAAAATGCTAGACAGAAGCATTCTCAGAAACGGCTCTGTGATGTCTGCATTCAAGTCACAGAGTTGAACATTGCATTTCATAGAGCAGGTTTCAAACACTCTTTTTTTAGTATATGGAAGTGGACCTTTCAGACGGCTTGAGGACCATGGTGATAAAGGAAATATCTTCCCCTACAAGCTAGAAAGAAGCATTCTGTGAAACTTGTTTGTGATGTGTGTACTCAACTAACAGAGTTGAACCTTTCTTTTTACAGAGCAGTTTTGAAACACTCTTTTTGTAGAATCTGCGAGGGGATATTTGGATAGATTTCAGGATTTCGTTGGAAACGTGAATATATTCATATAAAATCCCGACAGAAGCATTCTCAGAAACTTCATTGTGATATCTGCATTGAAGTCACAGACTTGAATACTCCCTTTCACAGAGTAGGTTTGAAACACTCTTTTTGTAGTATCTGGAAGTGGACATTTGGATCGCTTTGACGCCTATTGTGAAAAAGGAAATATCTTCCCCTAAAAACTAGACAGAAACGTTCTCAGAAACTCCTTTATGACGTATGCACTCACCTAACAGAGAAGAACCTTCCTTTTGACAGAGCAGTTTTGATACACTCTTTTTGTAGAATCTGCAAGTGGATATTTGGATAGCTGTGAAGATTTCGTTGGAAACGGGAATATCTTCCTATAAAATCTAGACAGAAGCATTCTCAGAAACTGCTCTGTGATGTCTGCATTCAAGTCACAGAGTTGAACATTCCCTTTCATACAGCAGTTTTGAAACACTCTTTCTGTAGTATCTGGAAGTCAACATTAGGACAGCTTTCAGGTCTATGGTGAGAAAGGAAATATCTTCAAATAAAAACTAGACAGAAGCATTCTCATAAACTTGTTTGTGATGTCTGAACTCAGCTAACAGAGGTGGATCTTTCTTTTGATAGAGCAGTTCTGAAAAACACTTTTTGTTGAATCTGCAAGAGGACATTTGGATAGATTTGAAGATTTCGTTGGAAACGGGAATATCTTCATATCAAATCTAGACAGAAGCATTCTCAGAAACGTCTTTGTGATGTTTGCATTCAACTCATAGAGTTGAACATTCCCTTTCAGAGAGCAGCTTTGAAGCACTCTTTTTGTAGTATGTGCAAGTGGATATTTGGAGCTCTCTGAGGCCTACGGTGAAAAAGCAAATATCTTCCCATAACCACTAGACAGAAACATTCTCAGAAACTCCTTTATGACGTATGTACTCATCTAACAGAGAAGAACCTTCCTTTTGACAGAGCAGTTTTGATACACTCTTTTTGTAGAATCTGCAAGTGGATATTTGGATAGCTGGGAAGATTTCGTTGGAAACGGGAATATCTTCCTATAAAATCTAGACAGAAGCATTCTCAGAAACTGCTCTGTGATGTCTGCATTCAAGTCACAGAGTTGAACATTACCTTTCCTAGAGCAGGTTTGAAACGCTCTTTTTGTAGTATATGGAAGTAGACGTTTCGGACGGTTTGAGGCCCATGGTGATAAAGGGAATATCTTCCCCTACAAGCTAGAAAGAAGCATTGTGTGAAACTTGTTTGTGATGTGTGTACTCAACTAACAGAGTTGAACCTTTGTTTTTACAGAGCAGTTTTGAAACACTCTTTTTGTAGAATCTGCGAGGGGATATTTGGATACATTTCAGGATTTCGTTGGAAACGGGAATATCTTCATATAAAATCTCGACAGAAGCATTCTCAGAAACTTCTTTGTGATATGTGCATTCAAGTCACAGAGTTGAAAATTCCCTTTCACAGAGTAGGTTTGAAACACTCTTTTTGTAGTATCTGGAAGTGGACATTTGGAGCGCCTTGACGCCTACGGTGAAAAGGGAAATATCTTCCCATAAAAACTAGACAGAAGCAATCTCAGAATCTTCTTTGGGATGTATGCACGCAGCTAACAGAGTTGAACCTTTCTATTGACAGAGCAGTTTTGAAACAGTCTTTCTGTGGAATCTGCAAGTGGATATTTGGATAGCTTGGAGGATTTCGTTGGAAACGGGATTACGTATAAAAAGTAGACAGCAGCATCTTCAGAAACTTCTTTGTGATGTGTGCATTCAAGTCACAGAGTTGAACATTCCCTTTCGTACAGCAGTTTTGAAACACTCTTTCTGTAGTATCTGGAAGTGAACATTAGGACAGCTTTGAGGTCTACGGTGAGAAAGGCAATATCTTCAAATAAAAACTGGACAAAAGCATTCTCATAAACTTGTTTGTGATGTCTGAACTCAGCTAACAGTAGGTGGATCTTTCTTTTGATAGAGCAGTTCTGAAAAACACTTTTTGTTGAATCTGCAAGTGGACATTTGGATAGATTTGAAGATTTCGTTGGAAACGGGAATATCTTCATATCAAATCTAGACAGAAGCATTCCCAGAACCGTCTTTGTGATGTTTGCATTCAACTCATAGAGTTGAACATTCCCTTTCAGAGAGCAGCTTTGAAGCACTCTTTTTGTAGGATGTGCAAGGGGATATTTGGAGCGCTCTGAGGCCTAAGGTGAAAAAGCAAATATCTTCCCATAACCACTAGACAGAAACATTCTCAGAAACTCCTTTATGACGTATGTACTCAACTAACAGAGAAGAACCTTCCTTTTGACAGAGCAGTTTTGATACACTCTTTTTGTAGAATCTGCAAGTGGATATTGGATAGCTGTGAAGATTTCCTTGGAAACGGGAATATCTTCCTATAAAATCTAGACAGAAGCATTCTCAGAAACTGCTCTGTGATGTCTGCATTCAAGTCACAGAGTTGAACATTGCCTTTCCTAGAGCAGGTTTGAAACGCTCTTTTTGTAGTATATGGAAGTGGACGTTTCGGACGGTTTGAGGCCCATGGTGATAAAGGGAATATCTTCCCCTACAAGCTAGAAGGAAGCATTCTGTGAAACTTGTTTGTGATGTGTGTACTCAACTAACAGAGTTGAACCTTTCTTTTAACAGAGCAGTTTTGAAACACTCTTTTTGTAGAATCTGCGAGGGGATATTTGGATAGATTTCAGGATTTCGTTGGAAACGGGAATATCTTCATATAAAATCTCGACAGAAGCATTCTCAGAAACTTCTTTGTGATATCTGCCTTTAAGTCACAGAGTTGAATATTCCCTTTCACAGAGTAGCTTTGAAACACTCTTTTTGTAGTATCTGGAAGTGGACATTTGGAGCGCCTTGACACCTACGGTGAAAAGGGAAATATCTTCCCATAAAAACTAGACAGAAGCAATCTCAGAATCTTCTTTGGGATATATGCACGCAGCTAACAGAGTTGAACCTTTCTATTGACAGAGAAGTTTTGAAACAGTCTTTCTGTGGAATCTGCAAGTGGATATTTGGATAGCTTGGAGGATTTCGTTGGAAACGGGATTACGTATAAAAATTAGACAGCAGCATCCTCAGAAACATCCTTGTGATGTGTGCATTCAAGTCACAGAGTTGAACATTCCCTTTCATACAGCAGTTTTGAAACACTCTTTCTGTAGTATCTGGAAGTGAACTTTAGGAGAGCTTTCAGGTCTATAGTGAGAAAGGATATATCTTCAAATAAAAACTAGACAGAAGCATTCTCATAAACTTGTTCGTGATGTGTGAACTCAGCTAACACACGTGGATCTTTCTTTTGATAGAGCAGTTCTGAAAAACACTTTTTGTTAAATCTGCAAGAGGACATTTGGATAGATTAGAAGATTTCGTTGGAAACGGGAATATCTTCATATCAAATCTAGACAGAAGCATTCTCAGAAACGTCTTTGTGATGTTTGCATTCAACTCATAGAGTTGAACATTCCCTTTCATAGAGCAGCTTTGAAGCACTCTTTTTGTAGTATGTGCAAGCGGATATTTGGAGCACTCTGAGGCCTAAAGTGAAAAAGAAAATATCTTCCCATAACCACTAGACAGAAACATTCTCAGAAACTCCTTTATGACGTATGCACTCACCTAACAGAGAAGAACCTTCCTTTTGACAGAGCAGTTTTGATACACTCTTTTTGTAGAATCTGCAAGTGGATATTTGGATAGCTGTGAAGATTTCGTTGGAAACGGTAATATCTTCCTATAAAATCTAGACAGAAGCATTCTCAGAAACTGCTCTGTGATGTCTGCATTCAAGTCACAGAGTTGAACATTGCCTTTCATAGAGCAGGTTTGAAACGCTCTTTTTGTAGTATATGGAAGTGGACGTTTCGGACGGTTTGAGGCCCATGATGATAAAGGGAATATCTTCCCCTACAAGCTAGAAAGAAAGCATTCTGTGAAACTTGTTTGTGATGTGTGTACTCAACTAACTGAGTTGAACCTTTCTTTTTACAGAGCAGTTTTGAAACACTCTTTTTGTAGAATCTGTGAGGGGATATTTGGATAGATTTCAGGATTTCGTTGGAAACGGGAATATCTTCATATAAAATCTCGACAGAAGCATTCTCAGAAACTTCTTTGTGATATGTGCATTCAAGTCACCGAGTTGAATATTCCCTTTCACAGAGTAGGTTTGAAACACTCTTTTTGTAGTATCTGGAAGTGGACATTTGGAGCGCCTTGACGCCTATGGTGAAAAGGGAAATATCTTCCCATAAAAACTAGACAGAAAGCAATCTCAGAATCTTCTTTGGGATATATGCACGCAGCTAACAGAGTTGAACCTTTCTATTGACTGAGCAGATTTGAAACAGTCTTTCTGTGGAATCTGCAAGTGGATATTTGGATAGATTGGAGGATTTCGTTGGAAACGGGATTACGTATCAAAAGTAGACAGCAGCATCCTCAGAAACTTCTTTGTGATGTGTGCATTCAAGTCACAGAGTTGAACATTCCCTTTCGTACAGCAGTTTTGAAGCACTCTTTCTGTATTATCTGGGAGTGAACATTAGGACAGCTTTCAGGTCTATGGTGAGAAAGGAAATATCTTCAAATAAAAACTAGACAGAAGCATTCTCATAAACTTGTTTGTGATGTGTGAAGTCAGCTAACAGAGGTGGATCTTTCTTTTGATAGAGCAGTTCTGAAAAACACTTTTTGTTGAATCTGCAAGTGGACATTTGGATAGATTTGAAGATTTCGTTGGAAACGGGAATATCTTCATATCAAATCTAGACAAAAGGATTCTCGGAAACGTCTTTGTAATGTTTGCATTCAACTCATAGAGTTGAACATTCCGTTTCAGAGAGCAGCTTTGAAGCACTCTTTTTGTAGTATGTGCAAGTGGATATTTGGAGCGCTCTGAGGCCTACGGGGAAAAAGCAAATATCTTCCCATAAACACTAGACTGAAACATTCTCAGAAACTCCTTTATGACGTATGCACTCACCTAACAGAGAAGAACCTTCTTTTTGACAGAGCAGTTTTGATACACTCTTTTTGTAGAATCTGCAAGTGGATATTTGGATAGCTGTGAAGATTTCGTTGGAAACGGGAATATCTTCCTATAAAATCTAGACAGAAGCATTCTCAGAAACTACTCTGTGATGTCTGCATTCACGTCACAGAGTTGAACATTGCCTTTCATAGAGCAGGTTTGAAACACTCTTTTTGTAGTATATGGAAGTGGACGTTTCGGACGGTTTGAGGCCCATGGTGATAAAGGGAATATCTTCCCCTACAAGCTAGAAAGAAGCATTCTGTGAAACTTGCTTGTGATGTGTGTACTCAACTAACAGAGTTGAACCTTTCTTTTCACAGAGCAGTTTTGAAACACTCTTTTTGTAGAATCTGCGAGGGGATATTTGGATAGATTTCAGGATTTCGTTGGAAACGGGAATATCTTCATATAAAATCTCGACAGAAGCATTCTCAGAAACTTCCTTGTGATATGTGCATTCCAGTCACAGAGTTGAATATTCCCTTTCACAGAGTAGGTTTGAAACACTCTTTTTGTAGTATCTGGAAGTGGACATTTGGAGCGCCTTGACGCCTACGGTGAAAAGGGAAATATCTTCCCATAAAAACTAGACAGAAGCAATCTCAGAATCTTCTTTGGGATATATGCACGCAGCTATTAGAGTTGAACCTTTCTATTGACAGAGCAGTTTTGAAACAGTCTTTCTGTGGAATCTGCAAGTGGATATTTGGATAGCTTGGGGGATTTCTTTGGAAACGGGATTACGTATAAAAAGTAGACAGCAGCATCCTCAGAAACTATTTTGTGATGTGTGCATTCAAGTCACAGAGTTGAACATTCCCTTTCGTACAGCAGTTTTGAAACACTCTTTCTGTAGTATCTGGAAGTGAACATTAGGACAGCTTTCAGGTCTATGGTGAGAAAGGAAATATCTTCAAATAAAAACTAGACAGAAGCATTCTCATAAACTTGTTTGTAATGTGTGAACTCAGCTAACAGAGATGGGTCTTTCTTTTGATAGAGCAGTTCTGAAAAACACTTTTTGTTGAATCTGCAAGTGGACATTTGGATAGATTTGAAGATTTCGTTGGAAACGGGAATATCTTCATATCAAATCTAGACAGAAGCATTCTCAGAGACGTCTTTGTGATGTTTGCATTCAACTCATAGAGTTGAACATTCCCTTTCAGAGAGCAGCTTTGAAGCACTCTTTTTGTAGCATGTGCAAGTGGACATTTGGAGCGCCCTGAGGCCTACGGTGAAAAAGCAAATATCTTCCCATAACCACTAGACAGAAACATTCTCAGAAACTTCTTTATGACGTATGTTCTCAACTAGCAGAGAAGAACTTTCCTTTTGACAGAGCTTTTTTGATACACTCTTTTTGTAGTATCTGCAAGTGGATATTTGGATAGCTGTGAAGATTTCGTTGGAATCGGGAATATCTTCCTATAAAGTCTGGACAGAAGCATTCTCAGAAACTGCTCTGTGATGCCTGCATTCAAGTCACAGAGTTGAACATTGCCTTTCATAGAGCAGGTTTGAAACGCTCTTTTTGTAGTATATGGAAGTGGATGTTTCGGACGGTTGGAGGCCCATGGTGATAAAGGGAATATCTTCCCCTACAAGCTAGAAAGAAGCATTCTGTGAAACTTGTTTGTGATGTGTGTACTCAACTAACAGAGTTGAACCTTTCTTTTTACAGAGCAGTTTTGAAACACTCTTTTTGTAGAATCTGCGAGGGGATATTTCGATAGATTTCAGGATTTTGTTGGAAACGGGAATATCTTCATATAAAATCTCGACGGAAGCATTCTCAGAAACTTCTTTGTGATATGCGCATTCAAGTCACAGAGTTGAATATTCCCTTTCACAGAGTAGGTTTGAAACACTCTTTTTGTAGTATCTGGAAGTGGACATTTGGAGCGCCTTGACGCCTACGGTGAAAAGGGAAATATCTTCCCATAAAAACTAGACAGAAGCAATCTCAGAATCTTCTTTGGGATATATGTACGCAGCTAACAGAGTTGAACCTTTCTATTGACAGAGCAGATTTGAAACAGTCTTTCTGTGGAATCTGCAAGTGGATATTTGGATAGCTTGGAGGATTTCGTTGGAAACGGGATTACGTATAAAAAGTAGACAGCAGCATCCTCAGAAACTTCTTTGTGATGTGTGCATTCAAGTCACAGAGTTGAACATTCGCTTTCGTACAGCAGTTTTGAAACACTCTTTCTGTAGTATCTGGAAGTGAACATTAGGACAGCTTTCAGGTCTATGGTGAGAAAGGAAATATCTTCAAATAAAAACTAGACAGATAAGCATTCTGATAAACTTGTTTGTGAAGTGTGATCTCAGCTAACAGAGGTGGATCTTTCTTTTGATAGAGCAGTTCTGAAAAACACTTTGTTGAATCTGCAAGTGGACATTTGGATAGATTTGAAGATTTCGTTGGAAACGGGAATATCTTCATATCAAATCTAGACAGAAGCATTCTCAGAAACGTATTTGTTATGTTTGCATTCAACTCATAGAATTGAACATTCCCTTTCAGAGAGCAGCTTTGAAGCACTCTTTTTGTAGTATGTGCAAGGGGATATTTTGAGCGCTCTGAGGCCTAAGGTGAAAAAGCAAATATCTTCCCATAACCACTAGACACAAACATTCTCAGAAACTCCTTTACGACGTATGTACTCAACTAACAGAGAAGAACCTTCCTTTTGACAGAGCAGTTTTGATACACTCTTTTTGTAGAATCTGCAAGTGGATATTTGGATAGCTGTGAAGATTTCGTTGGAAACGGGAATATCTTCCTATAAAATCTAGACAGAAGCATTCTCAGAAACTGCTCTGTGATGTCTGTATTCAAGTCACAGAGTTGAACATTGCCTTTCATAGAGCAGGTTTGAAGCGCTCTTTTTGTAGTATATGGAAGTGGATGTTTCGGACGGTTGGAGGCCCATGGTGATAAAGGGAATATCTTCCCCTACAAGCTAGAAAGAAGCATTCTGTGAAACTTGTTTGTGATGTGTGTACTCAACTAACAGAATTGAACTTTTCTTTTTACAGAGCAGTTTTGAAACACTCTTTTTGTAGAATCTGCGAGGGGTTATTTGGATAGATTTCAGGATTTCGTTGGAAACGGGAATTTCTTCCTATAAAATCTTGACAGAAGCATTCTCAGAAACTTCCTTGTGACATGGGCATTCAAGTCACAGAGTTGAATATTCCCTTTCACAGAGTAGGTTTGAAACACTCTTTTTGTAGTATCTGGAAGTGGACATTTGGAGCGCCTTGACGCCTACGGTGAAAAGGGAAATATCTTCCCATAAAAACTAGACAGAAGCAATCTCAGAATCTTCTTTGGGATATATGCACGCAGCTAACAGAGTTGAACCTTTCTATTGACAGAGCAGTTTTGAAACAGTCTTTCTGTGGAATCTGTAAGTGGATATTTGGATAGCTTGGAGGATTTCGTTGGAAACGGGATTACGTATAAAAAGTAGACAGCAGCATCCTCAGAAACTTCTTTCTGATGTGTGCATTCAAGTCACAGAGTTGAACATTCCCTTTCGTACAGCAGTTTTGAAACACTCTTTCTGTAGTATCTGGAAGTGAACATTAGGACAGCTTTCAGCTCTATGGTGAGAAAGGAAATATCTTCAAATAAAAACTAGACCGAAGCATTCTCATAAACTTGTTTGTGATGTGTGAACTCAGCTAACAGAGGTGGATCTTTCTTTTGATAGAGCAGTTCTGGAAAACACTTTTTGTTGAATCTGCAAGTGGACATTTGGATAGATTTGAAGATTTCGTTGGAAACGGGAATATCTTCATATCAAATCTAGACAGAAGCATTCTGAGAAACGTCTTTGTGATGTTTGCATTCAACTCATAGAGTGTAACATTCCCTTTCAGAGAGCAGCTTTGAAGCACTCTTTTTGTAGTATGTGCAAGTGGATATTTGGAGCGCTCTGAGGCCTACGGTGAAAAAGCAAATATCTTCCCATAACCACTAGACAGAAACATTCTCAGAAACTTCTTTATGACGTATGTACTCAACTAGCAGAGTAAGAACTTTCCTTTTGACAGAGCATTTCTGATACACTCTTTTTGTACTATCTGCAAGTGGATATTTGGATAGCTGTGAAGATTTCGTTGGAAACGGGAATATCTTCCTATAAAGTCTGGACAGAAGCATTCTCAGAAACTGCTCTGTGATGTCTGCATTCAAGTCACAGAGTTGAACATTGCCTTTCATAGAGCAGGTTTGAAACGCTCTTTTTGTAGTATATAAAAGTGGACGTTTCGGACGGTTTGAGGCCCATGGTGATAAAGGGAATATCTTCCCCTACAACCTAGAAAGAAGCATTCTGAGAAACTTGTTTGTGATGTGTGTACTCAACTAAGAGAAGTGAAACTTTCTTTTTACAGAGCAGTTTTGAAACACTCTTTTTCTAGAATCTGCGAGGGGATATTTGGATAGATTACAGAATTTCGTTGTAAACGGGAATATCTTCATAAAAAATCTCGACAGAAGCATTCTCAGAAACTTCTCTGTGATATGTGCATTGAAGTCACCGAGTTAAATATTCCCTTCCACACAGTAGGTTTGAAACACTCTTTTTTTTTAGTATCTGGAAGTGGAAATTTGGAGCGCTTTGATGCCTATGGTGAAAAAGGAAATATCTTCCAATAAAAACTAGTCAGAAGCAATCTCAGAATCTTCTTTGGGATATATGCACGCAGCTAACAGAGTTGAACCTTTCTATTGCCAGAGCAGTCTTGAAACAGTCTTTCTGTGGAATCTGCAAGTGGATATTTGGATAGCTTGGAGGATTTCGTTGGAAACGGGATTACGTATAAAAAGTAGACAGCAGCATCCTCAGAAACTTCTTTGTGATGTGTGCATTCAAGTCACACAGTTGAACATTCCCTTTCGTACAGCAGTTTTGAAACACTCTTTCTGTAGTATCTGGAAGTGAACATTAGGACAGCTTTCAGCTCTATGTTGAGAAAGGAAATATCTTCAAATAAAAACTAGACAGAAAGCATTCTCATAAACTTGTTTGTGATGTGTGAACTCAGCTAACAGAGGTGGATCTTTCTTTTGATAGAGCAGTTCTGAAAAACACTTTTTGTTGAATCTGCAAGTGGACATTTGGATAGATTTGAAGATTTCGTTGGTAACGGGAATATCTTCATATCAAATCTAGACAGAAGCATTCTCAGAAACGTCTTTGTGCTGTTGGCATTCAACTCATAGAGTTGAACATTCCGTTTCAGAGAGCAGCTTTGAGGCACTCTTTTTGTAGTATGTGCAAGTGGATATTTGGAGCGCTCTGAGGCCTACGGTGAAAAAGCAAATATCTTCCCATAACCACTAGACAGAAACATTCTCAGAAACTCCTTTATGACGTATGCACTCACCTAACAGAGAAGAACCTTCCTTTTGACAGAGCAGTTTTGATACACTCTTTTTGTAGAATCTCCAAGTGGATATTTGGATAGCTGTGAAGATTTCGTTGGAAACGGGAATATCTTCTTATGAAATCTAGACAGAAGCATTCTCAGAAACTGCTCTGTGATGTCTGCATTCAAGTCACAGAGTTGAACATTGCCTTTCATAGAGCAGGTTTGAAAGGCTCTTTTTGTACTATATGGAAGAGGACGTTTCGAACGGTTTGAGGACCATGGTGATAAAGGGAATATCTTCCCCTACAAGCTAGAAAGAAGCATTCTGTGAAACTTGTTTGTGATGTGTGTACTCAACTAACAGAGTTGAACCTTTGTTTTTACAGAGCAGTTTTGAAACACTCTTTTTGTAGAATCTGCGAGCGGATATTTGGATAGATTTCAGGATTTCGTTGGAAACGGGAATATCTTCATATAAAATCTCGACAGAAGCATTCTCAGAAACTTCTTTGTGATATCTGCATTCAACTCACAGAGTTGAATATTCCCTTTCACAGAGTAGGTTTGAAACACTCTTTTTGTAGTATCTGGAAGTGGACATTTGGAGCGCCTTGACGCCTACGGTGAAAAGGGAAATATCTTCCCATAAAAACTAGACAGAAGCAATCTCAGAATCTTCTTTGGGATATATGCATGCAGCTAACAGAGTTGAACCTTTGTATTGACAGAGCAGTTTTGAAACAGTCTTTCTGTGGAATCTGCAAGTGGATATTTGGATAGCTTGGAGGATTTCGTTGGAAACGGGATTACGTATAAAAAGTAGACAGCAGCATCCTCAGAAACTTCTTTGTGATGTGTGCATTCAAGTCACAGTAGTTGAACATTCTCTTTCGTACAGCAGTTTTGAAATGCTCTTTCTGTAGTATCTGGAAGTGAACATTAGGACAGCTTTCAGGTCTATGGTGAGAAAGGAAATATCTTCAAATAAAAACTAGACAGAAGCATTCTAATAAACTTGTTTGTGATGTGTGAACTCAGCTAACACAGGTGGATCTTTCTTTTGATAGAGCAGTTCTGAAAAACACTTTTTGTTGAATCTGCAAGTGGACATTTGGATAGATTTGAAGATTTCGTTGGAAACGGGAATATCGTCATATCAAATCTAGACAGAAGCATTGTCAGAAACGTCTTTGTCATGTTTGCATTCAACTCATAGAGTTGAACATTCCGTTTCAGAGAGCAGCTTTGAAGCACTCTTTTTGTAGTATGTGCAAGCGGATATTTGGAGCGCTCTGAGGCCTACGGTGAAAAAGCAAATATCTTCCCATAACCACTAGACAGAAACATTCTCAGAAACTGCTTTATGACGTATGCACTCACCTAACAGAGAAGAACCTTCCTTTTGACAGAGCAGTTTTGATACACTCTTTTTGTAGAATCTTCAAGTGGATATTGGGATAGCTGTGAAGATTTCGTTGGAAACGGGAATATCTTCCTATAAAATCTAGACAGAAGCATTCTCAGAAACTGCTCTGTGATGTCTGCATTCAAGTCACAGAGTTGAACATTGCCTTTCATAGAGCAGGTTTGAAATGCTCTTTTTGTAGTATATGGAAGTGGATGTTTCAGACGGTTGGAGGCCCATGGTGATAAAGGGAATATCTTCCCCTACAAGCTAGAAAGAAGCATTCTGTGAAACTAGTTTGTGATGTGTGTACTCAACTAACAGAGTTGAACCTTTCTTTTTACAGAGCAGTTTTGAAACACTCTTTTTGTAGAATCTGCGAGGGGTTATTTGGATACATTTCAGCATTTCGTTGGAAACGGGAATATCTTCATATAAAATCTCGACAGAAGCATTCTCAGAAACTTCCTTGTGTTATGTGCATTCAAGTCACAGAGTTGAATATTCCCTTTCACAGAGTAGGTTTGAAACACTCTTTTTGTAGTATCTGGAAGTGGACATTTGGAGCGCCTGGACGCCTACGGTGAAAAGGGAAATATCTTCCCATAAAAACTAGACAGAAGCAATCTCAGAATCTTCTTTGGGATATATGCACGCAGCTAACAGAGTTGAACCTTTCTATTGACAGAGCAGTTTTGAAACAGTCTTTCTGTGTAATCTGCAAGTGGATATTTGGTTAGATTGGAGGATTTCGTTGGAAACGGGATTACGTATAAATAGTAGACAGCAACATCCTCAGAAACTTCTTTGTGATGTGTGCATTCAAGTCACAGAGTTGAACATTCCCTTTCGTACAGCAGTTTTGAAACACTCTTTCTGTAGTATCTGGAAGTGAACATTAGGACAGCTTTCAGGTCTATGGTGAGAAAGGAAATACCTTCAAATAAAAACTAGACAGAAGCATTCTCATAAACTTGTTTGTGATGTGTGAACTCAGCTAACGGAGGTGGATCTTTCTTTTGATAGAGCAGTTCTGAAAAACACTTTTTGTTGAATCTGCAAGTGGACATTTGGATAGATTTGAAGATTTCTTTGGAAACGGGAATATCTTCATATCAAATCTAGACAGAAGCATTTTCAGAAACGTCTTTGTGATGTTTACATTCAACTCATAGAGTTGAACATTCCGTTTCAGAGAGCAGATTTGAGGCACTCTTTTTGTAGTATGTGCAAGTGGATATTTGGAGCGCTCTGAGGCCTACGGTGAAAAAGCAAATATCTTCCCATAACCACTAGACAGAAACATTCTCAGAAACTCCTTTATGACGTATGTACTCAACTAACAGAGAAGAACCTTCCTTTTGACAGAGCAGTTTTGATACACTCTTTTTGAAGAATCTGCAAGTGGATATTTGGATAGCTGTGAAGATTTCGTTGGAAACGGGAATATCTTCCTATAAAATCTAGACAGAAGCATTCTCAGAAACTGCTCTGTGATGTCTGCATTCAAGTCACAGAGTTGAACATTGCCTTTCATAGAGCAGGTTTGAAACGCTCTTTTTGTAGTATATGAAAGTGGATGTTTCGGACGGTTGGAGGCCCATGGTGATAAAGGGAATATCTTCCCCTACAAGCTAGAAAGAAGCATTCTGTGAAACTTGTTTGTGATGTGTGTACTCAACTAACAGAGTTGAACCTTTCTTTTTACAGAGCAGTTTTGAAACACTCTTTTTGTAGAATCTGCGAGGGGATATTTGGATAGATTTCACGATTTCGTTGGAAACGGGAATATCTTCATAGAAAATCTCGACAGAAGCATTCTCAGAAACTTCTTTGTGATATGTGCATTCAATTCACAGAGTTGAATATTCCCTTTCACAGAGTAGGTTTGAAACACTCTTTTTGTAGTATCTGGAAGTGGACATTTGGAGCGCCTTGACACCTACGGTGAAAAGGGAAATATCTTCCCATAAAAACTAGACAGAAGCAATCTCAGAATCTTCTTTGGGATATATGCACGCAGCTAACAGAGTTGAACCTTTCTATTGACAGAGCAGTTTTGAAACACTCTTTCTGTGGAATCTGCAAGTGGATATTTGCATAGATTGGAGGATTTCGTTGGAAACGGGATTACGTATAAAAAGTAGACAGCAGCATCCTCAGAAACTTCTTTGTGATGTGTGCATTCAAGTCACAGAGTTGAACATTCCCTTTCGTACAGCAGTTTTGAAACACTCTTTCTGTAGTATCTGGAAGTGAACATTAGGACAGCTTTCAGGTCTATGGTGAGAAAGCAAATATCTTCAAATAAAAACTAGACAGAAGCATTCTCATAAACTTGTTTGTGATGTGTGAACTCAGCTTACAGAGGTGGATCTTTCTTTTGATAGAGCAGTTCGGAAAAACACTTTTTGTTGAATCTGCAAGTGGACATTTGGATAGATTTGAAGATTTCTTTGGAAACGGGAATATCTTCATATCAAATCTAGAGAGAAGCATTCTCAGAAACGTCTTTGTGATGTTTGCATTCAACTCATAGAGTTGAACATTCCCTTTCAGAGAGCAGCTTGGAAACACTCTTTTTGTAGTATGTGCAAGTGGATATTTGGAGCGCTCTGAGGCCTACGGTGAAAAAGCAAATATCTTCCCATAAACACTAGACAGAAACATTCTCAGAAACTTCTTTATGACGTATGTACTCAACTAGCAGAGAAGAACTTTCCTTTTGACAGAGCATTTTTCATACACTCTTTTGTAGTATCTGCAAGTGGATATTTCGATAGCTGTGAAGATTTCGTTGGAAACGGGAATATCTTCCTATAAAGTCTGGACAGAAGCATTCTCAGAAACTGCTCTGTGATGTCTGCATTCAAGTCACAGAGTTGAACATTGCCTTTCATAGAGCAGGTTTGAAACGCTCTTTTTGTAGTATATGGAAGTGGACTTATCGGACGGTTTGAGGCCCATGGTGATAAAGGGAATATCTTCCTCTACAAGCTAGAAAGAAGCATTCTGTGAAACTTGTTTGTGATGTGTGTACTCAGCTAACAGAGTTGAACCTTTCTTTTTACAGAGCGGTTTTGAAACACTCTTTTTGTAGAATCTGCAAGGGGATATTTGGATAGATTTCAGGATTTCGTTGGAAACGGGAATATCTTCATATAAAATCTCGACAGAAGCATTCTCAGAAACTTCTTTGTAATATGTGCATTCTAGTCACAGAGTTGAATATTCCCTTTCACAGAGTAGGTTTGAAACACTCTTTTTGTAGTATCTGGAAGTGGACATTTGGAGCGCCTTGACACCTACGGTGAAAAGGGAAATATCTTCCCATAAAAACTAGACAGAGGCAATCTCAGAATCTTCTTTGGGATATATGCACGCAGCTAACAGAGTTGAACCTTTCTATTGACAGAGCAGTTTTGAAACAGTCTTTCTGTGGAATCTGCAAGTGGATATTTGGATAGCTTGGAGGATTTCGTTGGAAACGGGATTACGTATAAAAAGTAGACAGCAGCATCCTCAGAAACTTCTTTGTGATGTGTGCATTCAAGTCACAGAGTTGAACATTCCCTTTCGTACGGCAGTTTTGAAACACTCCTTCTGTAGTATCTGGAAGTGAACATTAGGACAGCTTTCAGGTCTATGGTGAGAAAGGAAATATCTTCAAATAAAAACTAGACAGAAAGCATTCTCATAAACTTGTTTGTGATGTGTGAACTCAGCTAACAGAGGTGGATCTTTCTTTTGATAGAGCAGTTCTGAAAAACACATTTTGTTGAATCTGCAAGTGGACATTTGGATAGATTTGAAGATTTCGTTGGAAACGGGAATATCTTCATATCAAATCTAGACAGAAGCATTCTCAGAAACGTCTTTGTGATGTTTGCATTCAACTCATAGAGTTGAACATTCGGTTTCAGAGAGCAGCTTTGAGGCACTCTTTTTGTAGTATGTGCAAGTGGATATTTGGAGCGCTCTGAGGCCTAGGGTGAAAAAGCAAATATCTTCCCATAACCACTAGACAGAAACATTCTCAGAAACTCCTTTATGACGTATGCACTCACCTAACAGAGAAGAACCTTCCTTTTGACAGAGCAGTTTTGATACACTCTTTTTGTGGAATCTGCAAGTGGATATTTGGATAGCTGTGAAGATTTCGTTGGAAACGGGAATATCTTCCTATAAAATCTAGACAGAAGCATTCTCAGAAACTGCTCTGTGATGTCTGCATTCAAGTCACAGAGTTGAACATTGCCTTTCATAGAGGAGGTTTGAAACGCTCTTTTTGTAGTATATGGAACTGGATGTTTCGGACGGTTGGAGGCCCATGGTGATAAAGGGAATATCTTCCCCTACAAGCTAGAAAGAAGCATTCTGTGAAACTTGTTTGTGATGTGTGTACTCAACTAACAGAGTTGAACCTTTCTTTTTACAGAGCAGTTTTGAAACACTCTTTTTGTAGAATCTGCGAGGGGATATTTGGATACATTTCAGCATTTCGTTGGAAACGGGAATATCTTCATATAAAATTTCGACAGAAGCATTCTCAGAAACTTCTTTGTGATATCTGCATTCAAGTCACAGAGTTGAATATTCCCTTTCACAGAGTAGGTTTGAAACACTCTTTTTGTAGTATCTGGAAGTGGACATTTGGAGCGCCTTGACACCTACGGTGAAAAGGGAAATATCTTCCCATAAAAAATAGACAGAAGCAATCTCAGAATCTTCTTTGGGATATATGCACGCAGCTAACAGAGTTGAACCTTTCTATTGACAGAGCAGTTTTGAAACAGTCTTTCTGTGGAATCTGCAAGTGGATATTTGGATAGCTTGGAGGATTTCGTTGGAAACGGGATTAAGTATAAAAAGTAGAGAGCAGCATCCTCAGAAACTTCTTTGTGATGTGTGCATTCAAGTCACAGAGTTGAACATTCCCTTTCGTACAGCAGTTTTGAAACACTCTTTCTGTTGTATCTGGAAGTGAACATTAGGACAGCTTTCAGGTCTATGGTGAGAAAGGAAATATCTTCAAATAAAAACTAGACAGATGCATTCTCATAAACTTGTTTGTGATGTCTGAACTCAGCTAACAGAGGTGGATCTTTCTTTTGATAGAGCAGTTCTGAAAAACACTTTTTGTTGAATCTGCAAGTGGACATTTGGATAGATTTGAAGATTTCGTTGGAAACGGGAATATCTTCATATCAAATCTAGACAGAAGCATTCTCAGAAACGTCTTTGTGATGTTTGCATTCAACTCATAGAGTTGAACATTCCGTTTCAGAGAGCAGCTTTGAAGCACTCTTTTTGTAATATGTGCAAGTGGATATTTGGAGCGCTCTGAGGCCTACGGGGAAAAAGCAAATATCTTCCCATAACCACTAGACAGAAACATTCTGAGAAACTCCTTTATGACGTATGCACTCACCTAACAGAGAAGAACCTTCCTTTTGCCAGAGCATTTTTGATACACTCTTTTTGTAGAATCTGAAAGTGGATATTTGGATAGCTGTGAAGATTTCGTTGGAAACGGGAATATCTTCCTATAAAATCTAGACAGAAGCATTCTCAGAAACTGCTCTGTGATGTCTACATTCAAGTCACAGAGTTGAACATTGCCTTTCATAGAGCAGGTTTGAAACGCTCTTTTTGTAGTATATGGAAGTGGACGTATCGGACGGTTTGAGGCCCATGGTGATAAAGGGAATATCTTCCCCTACAAGCTAGAAAGAAGCATTGTGTGAAACTTGTTTGTGATGTGTGTACTCAACTAACAGAGTTGAACCTTTCTTTTCACAGAGCAGTTTTGAAACACTCTTTTTGTAGAATCTGCGAGCGGATATTTGGATAGATTTCAGGATTTCGATGGAAACGGGAATATCTTCATATAAAATCTCGACAGAAGCATTCTCAGAAACTTCTTTGTGATATGTGCATTCAAGTCACAGAGTTGAATATTCCCTTTCACAGAGTAGGTTTGAAACACTCTTTTTGTAGTATCTGGAAGTGGACATTTGGAGCGCCTTGACACCTACTGTGAAAAGGGAAATATCTTCCCATAAAAACTAGACAGAAACAATCTCAGAATCTTCTTTGGGATATATGCACGCAGCTAACAGAGTTGAACCTTTCTATTGACAGAGCAGTTTTGAAACAGTCTTTCTGTGGAATCTGCAAGTGTATATTTGGATAGCTTGGAGGATTTCGTTGGAAACGGGATTACGTATAAAAAGTAGACAGCAGCATCCTCAGAAACTTCTTTGTGATGTGTGCATTCAAGTCACAGAGTTGAACATTCCCTTTCGTACAGCAGTTTTGAACCACTCTTTCTGTAGTAACTGGAAGTGAACATTAGGACAGCTTTCAGGTCTATGGTGAGAAAGGAAATATCTTCAAATAAAAACTAGACAGAAAGCATTCTCATAAACTTGTTTGTGATGTGTGAACTCAGCTAACAGAGGTGGATCTTTCTTTTGATAGAGCAGTTCTGAAAAACACTTTCTGTTGAATCTGCAAGTGGACATTTGGATAGATTTGAAGATTTCGTTGGAAACGGGAATATCTTCATATCAAATCTAGACAGAGCATTCTCAGAAACGTCTTTGTGATGTTTGCATTGAACTCATAGAGTTGAACATTCCCTTTCAGAGAGCAGCTTTGAAGCACTCTTTTTGTAGTATGTTCAAGTGGACATTTGGAGCGCTCTGAGGCCTATGGGGAAAAAGCAAATATCTTCCCATAACAACTAGACAGAAACATTCTCAGAAACTTCTTTATGACGTATGTACTCAACTAGCAGAAAAGAACTTTCCTTTTGACAGAGCTTTTTTGATACACTCTTTTTGTAGTATCTGCAAGTGGATATTTGGATAGATGTGAAGATTTCGTTGGAATCGGGAATATCTTCCTATAAAGTCTGGACAGAAGCATTCTCAGAAACTGCTCTGTGATGTCTGCATTCAAGTCACAGAGTTGAACATTGCCTTTCATAGAGCAGGTTTGAAACGCTCTTTTTGTAGTATATGGAAGTGGACTTATCGGACGGTTTGAGGCCCATGGTGATAAAGGGAATATCTTCCCCTACAACCTAGAAAGAAGCATTCTGTGAAACTTGTTTGTGATGTATGTACTCAACTAACAGAGTTGAACCTTTCTTTTTACAGAGCAGTTTTGAAACACTCTTTTTGTAGAATCTGCGAGGGGATATTTGGATACATTTCAGGATTTCGTTGGAAACGGGAATATCTTCATATAAAATCTCGACAGAAGCATTCTCAGAAACTTCTTTGTGATATCTGCATTCAAGTCACAGAGTTGAATATTCCCTTTCACTGAGTAGGTTTGAAACACTCTTTTTGTAGTATCTGGAAGTGGACATTTGGAGCGCCTTGACGCCTACGGTGAAAAGGGAAATATCTTCCCATAAAAACTAGGCAGAAGAAATCTCCGAATCTTCTTTGGGATATATGCACGCAGCTAACAGAGTTGAACCTTTCTATTGACAGAGCAGTTTTGAAACAGTCTTTCTGTGGAATCTGCAAGTGGATATTTGGATAGCTTGGAGGATTTCGTTGGAAAAGGGATTATGTATAAAAATTAGACAGCAGCATCCTCAGAAACTTCTTTGTGATGTGTGCATTCAAGTCACAGAGTTGAACATTCCCTTTCATACAGCAGTTTTGAAACGCTCTTTCTGTAGTATCTGGAAGTGAACTTTAGGACAGCTTTCAGGTCTATGGTGAGAAAGGAAATATCTTCAAATAAAAACTAGACAGAAGCATTCTCATAAACTTGTTTGTGATGTCTGAACTCAGCTAACAGGAGGTGGATCTTTCTTTTGATAGAGCAGTTCTGAAAAACACTTTTTTTTGAATCTGCAAGTGGACATTTGGATAGATTTGAAGATTTCGTTGGAAACGGGAATATCTTCATATCAAATCTAGACAGAAGCATTCTCAGAAACGTCTTTGTGATGTTTGCATTCAACTCATAGAGTTGAACATTCCCTTTCAGAGAGCAGCTTTGGAGCACTCTTTTTGTAGCATGTGCAAGTGGACATTTGGAGCGCCCTGAGGCCTACGGGGAAAAAGCAAATATCTTCCCATAACCACTAGACAGAAACAATCTCAGAAACTTCTTTATGGCGTATGTACTCAACTAGCAGAGAAGAACTTTCCTTTTGACAGAGCACTTTTGATACACTCTTTTTGTAGTATCTGCAAGTGGATATTTGGATAGCTGTGAAGATTTCGTTGGAATCGGGAATATATTCCTATAAAGTCCGGACAGAAGCATTCTCAGAAACTGCTCTGTGATGTCTGCATTCAAGTCACAGAGTTGAACATTGCCTTTCATACAGCAGGTTTGAAACGCTCTTTTTGTAGTATATGGAAGTGGATGTTTCCGACGGTTGGAGGCCCATGGTGATAAAGGGAATATCTTCCCCTACAAGCTAGAAAGAAGCATTCTGTGAAACTTGTTTGTGATGTGTGTACTCAACTAACAGAGTTGAACCTTTCTTTTCACAGAGCAGTTTTGAAACACTCTTTTTGTAGAATCTGCGAGGGGATATTTGGATAGATTTCAGGATTTCGTTGGAAACGGGAATATCTTCATTTAAAATCTCGACAGAAGCATTCTCAGAAACGTCTTTGTGATATGTGCATTCAAGTCACAGAGTTGAATATTCCCTTTCACAGAGTAGGTTTGAAACACTCTTTTTGTAGTATCTGGAAGTGGACATTTGGAGCGCCTTGACGCCTACGGTGAAAAGGGAAATATCTTCCCATAAAAACTAGACAGAAGCAATCTCAGAATCTTCTTTGGGATATATGCACGCAGCTAACAGAGTTGAACCTTTCTATTGACAGAGCAGTTTTGAAACAGTCTTTCTGTGGAATCTGCAAGTGGATATTTGGATAGCTTGGAGGATTTCGTTGGAAACGGGATTACGCATAAAAAGTAGACGGCACCATCCTCAGAAACTTCTTTGTGATGTGTGCATTCAAGTCACAGAGTTGAACATTCCCTTTCGTACAGCTGTTTTGAAACACTCTTTCTGTAGTAACTGGAAGTGAACATTAGGACAGCTTTCAGGTCTATGGTGAGAAAGGAAATATCTTCAAATAAAAACTAGACAGAAGCATTCTCATAAACTTGTTTGTGATGTGTGAACTCAGCTAACAGAGGTGGATCTTTCTTTTGATAGAGCAGTTCTGAAAAACACTTTTTGTTGAATCTGCAAGTGGACATTTGGATAGATTTGAAGATTTCGTTGGAAACGGGAATATCTTCATATTAAGTCTAGACAGAAGCATTCTCGGAAACGTCTTTGTGATGTTTGCATTCAACTCATAGAGTTGAACATTCCGTTTCAGAGAGCAGCTTTGAAGCACTCTTTTTGTAGTATGTGCAAGGGGATATTTGGAGCGCTCTGAGGCCTAAGGTGAAAAAGCAAATATCTTCCCATAACCACTAGACAGAAACATTCTCAGAAACTCCTTTATGACGGTATGCACTCACCTAACAGAAAATAACCTTCCTTTTGACAGAGCAGTTTAGATACACTCTTTTTGTAGAATCTGCAAGTGGATATTTGGATAGCTGTGAAGATTTCGTTGGAAACGGGAATATCTTCCTATAAAATCTAGACAGAAGCATTCTCAGAAACTGCTCTGTGATGTCTGCATTCAAGTCACAGAGTTGAACATTGCCTTTCATAGAGCAGGTTTGAAACGCTCTTTTTGTAGTATATAGAAGTGGACTTATCGGACGGTTTGAGGCCCATGGTGATAAAGGGAATATCTTCCCCTACAAGCTAGAAAGAAGCATTGTGTGAAACTTGTTTGTGATGTGTGTACTCAACTAACAGAGTTGAACTTTTCTTTTTACAGAGCAGTTTTGAAACACTCTTTTTGTAGAATCTGCGAGGGGATATTTGGATAGATTTCAGGATTTCGTTGGAAACGGGAATATCTTCATATAAAATCTCGACAGAAGCATTCTCAGAAACTTCTTTGTGATATGTGCATTCAAGTCACAGAGTTGAATATTCCCTTTCACAGAGTAGGTTTGAAACACTCTTTTTGTTGTATCTGGAAGTGGACATTTGGAGCGCCTTGACACCTACGGTGAAAAGGGAAATATCTTCTCATAAAAAGTAGACAGAAGTAATCTCAGAAACTTCTTTGGGATATATGCACGCAGCTAACAGAGTTGAACCTTTCTATTGACAGAGCAGTTTTGAAACAGTCTTTCTGTGGAATCTGCAAGTGAATATTTGGATAGCTTGGAGGATTTCGTTGGAAACGGGATTACGTATAAAAAGTAGACAGCAGCATCCTCAGAAACTTCTTTGTGATGTGTGCATTCAAGTCACAGAGTTGAACATTCCCTTTCGTACAGCAGTTTTGAAACACTCTTTCTGTAGTATCTGGAAGTGAACATTAGGACAGATTTCAGGTCTATGGTGAGAAAGGAAATATCTTCAAATAAAAACTAGACAGAAGCATTCTGATAAACTTGTTTGTGAAGTGTGATCTCAGCTAACAGAGGTGGATCTTTCTTTTTATAGAGCAGTTCTGAAAAACACTTTGTTGAATCTGCAAGTGGACATTTGGATAGATTTGAAGATTTCGTTGGAAACGGGAATATCTTCATATCAAATCTAGACAGAAGCATTCTCAGAAACGTCTTTGTGATGTTTGCATTCAACTCATAGAGTTGAACATTCCGCTTCAGAGAGCAGCTTTGAAGCACTCTTTTTGTAGCATGTGCAAGTTGACATTTGGAGCGCTCAGAGGCCTACGGGGAAAAAGCAAGTATCTTCCCATAACCACTAGACAGAAACATTCTCAGAAACTCCATTATGACGTATGCACTCAACTAACAGAGAACAACCTTCCTTTTGACAGAGCAGTTTTGATACACTCTTTTTGTAGAATCTGCAAGTGGATATTTGGATAGCTGTGAAGATTTCGTTGGAAACGGGAATATCTTCCTATAAAATCTAGACAGGCAGCATCCTCAGAAACTGCTTTGTGATATCTGCATTCAAGTCACAGAGTTGAACATTCCCTTTCATGGAGCAGGTTTGAAATGCTCTTTTTGTTACATGTGGAAGTGGACGTTTCGAACGGTTTGAGACCCATGGTGATAAAGGAAATATCTTCCCCCACAAGCTAAGAAGAGCATTCTGTGAAACTTGTTTGTGATATGTGTACTCAACTAACATAGTTGAACCTTTCTTTTTACAGAGCAGTTTTGAAACACTCTTTTTGTAGAATCTGCGAGGGGATATTTGGATAGATTTCAGGATTTCGTTGGAAACGGGAATATCTTCATATAAAATCTCGAAAGAAGCATTCTCAGAAACTTCTTTGTGATATGTGCATTCAAGTCACAGAGTTGAATATTCCCTTTCACAGAGTAGGTTTGAAACACTCTTTTTGTAGTATCTGGAAGTGGATATTTGGAGCGCCTTGACACCTACGGTGAAAAGGGAAGTATCTTCCCATCAAAACTAGACAGAAGCAATCTCAGAATCTCCTTTGGGATATATGCACGCAGCTAACAGAGTTGAACCTTTCTATTGACAGAGCAGTTTTGAAACAGTCTTTCTGTGGAATCTGCAAGTGGATATTTGGATAGCTTGGAGGATTTCGTTGGAAACGGGATTACGTATAAAAACTAGACAGCAGCATCCTCAGAAACTTCTTTGTGATGTGTGCATTCAAGTCACAGAGTTGAACATTCCCTTTCGTACAGCAGTTTTGAAACACTCTTTCTGTAGTATCTGGAAGTGAACATTAGGACAGCTTTCAGGTCTATGGTGATAAAGGAAATATCTTCAAATAAAAACTAGACAGAAGCATTCTCATAAACTTGTTTCTGATGTGTGAACTCAGCTAACAGAGGTGGATCTTTCTTTTGATAGAGCAGTTCTGAAAAACACTTTTTGTTGAATCTGCAAGTGGATATTTGGATAGATTTGAAGATTTCGTTGGAAACGGGCATATCTTCATATCAAATCTAGACAGAAGCATTCTCAGAAACGTCTTTGTGATGTTTGCATTCAACTCATAGAGTTGAACATTCCGTTTCAGAGAGCAGCTTTGAGGCACTCTTTTTGTAGTATGTGCAAGTGGATATTTGGAGCGCTCTGAGGCCTACGGTGAAAAAGCAAATATCTTCCCATAACCACTAGTCAGAAACATTCTCAGAAACTCCTTTATGACGTATGTACTCAACTAGCAGAGAAGAACTTTCCTTTTGACAGAGCATTTTTGATACACTCTTTTTGTACTATCTGCAAGTGGATATTTGGATAGCTGTGAAGATTTCGTTGGAAACGGGAATATCTTCCTATAAAGTCTGGACAGAAGCATTCTCAGAAACTGCTCTGTGATGTCTGCATTCAAGTCACAGAGTTGAACATTGCCTTTCATACAGCAGGTTTGAAACGCTCTTTTTGTAGTATAGGGAAGTGGACTTTTCGGACGGTTTGAGGACCACGATGATAAAGGGGAATCTTCCCCTACAAGCTAGAAAGAAGCATTCTGTGAAACTTGTTTGTGATGTGTGTACTCAACTAACAGAGTTGAACCTTTCTTTTTACAGAGCAGTTTTGAAACACTCTTTCTGTAGAATCTGTGAGGGGATATTTGGATAGATTTCAGGATTTCGGTGGAAACGGGAATATCTTCATATAAAATCTCGACAGAAGCATTCTCAGAAACTTCTTTGTGATATGTGCATTCAAATCACTGAGTTGAATATTCCCTTTCACAGAGTAGGTTTGAAACACTCTTTTTGTAGTATCTGGAAGTGGACATTTGGAGCGCCTTGACGCCTACGGTGAAAAGGGAAATATCTTCCCATAAAAACTAGACAGAAGCAATCTCAGAATCTTCTTTGGGATATATGCACGCAGCTAACAGAGTTGAACCTTTCTATTGACAGAGCAGTTTTGAAACAGTCTTTCTGTGGAATCTGCAAGTGGATATTTGGATAGCTTGGAGGATTTCGTTGGAAACGGGATTAAGTATAAAAAGTACACAGCAGCATCATCAGAAACTTCTTTGTGATGTGTGCATTCAAGTCACAGAGTTGAACATTCCCTTTCGTACAGCAGTTTTGAAACACTCTTTCTGTAGTATCTGGAAGTGAACATTAGGACAGCTTTCAGCTCTATGGTGAGAAAGGAAATATCTTCAAATAAAAACTAGACAGAAGCATTCTCATAAACTTGTTTGTGATGTGTGAACTCAGCTAACAGACGTGGATCTTTCTTTTGATACAGCAGTTTTGAAAAACACTTTTTGTTGAATCTGCAAGTGGACATTTGGATAGATATGAAGATTTCGTTGGAAACGGGAATATCTTCATATCAAATACTAGACAGAAGCATTCTCAGAAACGTCTTTGCGATGTTTGCATTCAACTCATAGAGTTGAACATTCCGTTTCAGAGAGCAGCTTTGAGGCACTCTTTTTGTAGTATGGGCAAGTGGATATTTGGAGCGCTCTGAGGCCTACGGTGAAAGAGCAAATATCTTCCCATAACCACTAGACAGAAACATTCTCAGAAACTCCTTTATGACGTATGCACTCACCTAACAGAGAAGAACCTTCCTTTTGACAGAGCAGTTTTGATACACTCTTTTTGTAGAATCTGCAAGTGGATATTCGGATAGCTGTGAAGATTTCGTTGGAAACGGGAATATCTTCCTATAAAATCTAGACAGAAGCATTCTCAGAAACTGCTCTGTGATGTCTGCATTCAAGTCACAGAGTTGAACATTGCCTTTCATAGAGCAGGTTTGAAACGCTCTTTTTGTAGTATATTGAAGTGGACGTTTCGGACGGTTTGAGGCCCATGGTGATAAAGGGAATATCTTCCCCTACAAGCTAGAAAGAAGCATTCTGTGAAACTTGTTTGAGATGTGTGTACTCAACTAACAGAGTTGAACCTTTCTTTTTACAGAGCAGTTTTGAAACACTCTTTTTGTAGAATCTGCGAGGGGATATTTGGATAGATTTCAGGATTTCGTTGGAAACGGGAATATCTTCATATAAAATCTCGACAGAAGCATTCTCAGAAACTTCTTTGTGATATGTGCATTCAAGTCACAGAGTTGAATATTCCCTTTCACAGAGTAGGTTTGAAACACTCTTTTTGTAGTATCTGGAAGTGGACATTTGGAGCGCCTTGACACCTACGGTGAAAAGCGAAATATCTTCCCATAAAAACTAGACAGAAGCAATCTCAGAATCTTCTTTGGGATATATGCACGCAGCTAACAGAAGTTGAACCTTTCTATTGACAGAGCAGTTTTGAAACAGTCTTTCTGTGGAATCTGCAAGTGGATATTTGGATAGCTTGGAGGATTTCGTTGGAAACGGGATTACGTATAAAAAGTAGACAGCAGCATCCTCAGAAACTTCTTTGTGATGTGTGCATTCAAGTCACAGAGTTGAACATTCCCTTTCGTACAGCAGTTTTGAATCACTCTTTCTGTAGTAACTGGAAGTGAACATTAGGACAGCTTTCAGGTCTATGGTGAGAAAGGAAATATCTTCAAATAAAAACTAGACAGAAGCATTCTCATAAACTTGTTTGTGATGTGTGAACTCAGCTAACAGAGGTGGATCTTTCTTTTGATAGAACAGTTCTGAAAAACACTTTTTGTTGAATCTGCAAGTGGACATTTGGATAGATTAGAAGATTTCGTTGGAAACGGGAATATCTTCATATCAAATCTACACAGAAGCATTCTCAGAAAGGTCTTTGTGATGTTTGCATTCAACTCATAGAGTTGAACATTCCCTTTCAGAGAGCAGCTTTGAAGCACTCTTTTTGTAGTATGTGCAAGGGGATATTTGGAGCGCTCTGAGGCCTAAGGTGAAAAAGCAAATATCTTCCCATAACCACTAGACAGAAACATTCTCAGAAACTCCTTTATGACGTGTGCACTCACCTAACAGAGAAGAACCTTCCTTTTGACAGAGCATTTTTGATACACTCTTTTTGTAGAATCTGCAAGTGGATATTTGGATAGCTGTGAAGATTTCGTTGGAAACGGGAATACCTTCCAATAAAATCTAGACAGAAGCATTCTCAGAAACTGCTCTGTGATGTCTGCATTGAAGTCACAGAGTTGAACATTGCCTTTCATAGAGCAGGTTTGAAACGCTCTTTTTGTAGTATATGGAAGTGGACGTTTCGGACGGTTTGAGGCCCATGGTGATAAAGGGAATATCTTCCCCTACAAGCTAGAAAGAAGCATTCTGTGAAACTTGTTTGTGATGTGTGTACTCAGCTAACAGAGTTGAACCTTTCTTTTTACAGAGCAGTTTTGAAACACTCTTTTTGTAGAATCTGCGAGGGGATATTTGGATAGATTTCAGGATTTTGTTGGAAACGGGAATATCTTCATATAAAATCTCGACAGAAGCATTCTTAGAAACTTCTTTGTGATATCTGCATTCAAGTCACAGAGTTGAATATTCCCTTTCACAGAGTAGGTTTGAAACACTCTTTTTGTAGTATCTGGAAGTGGACATTTGGAGCGCCTTGACGCCTACGGTGAAAAGGGAAATATCTTCCCATAAAAACTAGACAGAAGCAATATCAGAATCTTCTTTGGGATATATGCACGCAGCTAACAGAGTTGAACCTTTCTATTGACAGAGCCGTTTTGAAACAGTCTTTCTGTGGAATCTGCAAGTGGATATTTGGATAGCTTGGAGGATTTCGTTGGAAACGGGATTACGTATAAAAAGTAGACAGCAGCATCCTCAGAAACTTCTTTGTGATGTGTGCATTCAAGTCACAGAGTTGAACATTCCCTTTCGTACAGCAGTTTTGAAACACTCTTTCTGTAGTATCTGGAACTGAACATTAGGACAGCTTTCAGGTCTATGGTGAGAAAGGAAATATCTTCAAATAAAAACTAGACAGAAAGCATTCTCATAAACTTGTTTGTGATGTGTGAACTCAGCTAACACACGTGGATCTTTCTTTTGATAGAGCAGTTCTGAAAAACACTTTTTGTTGAATCTGCAAGTGGACATTTGGATAGATTTGAAGATTTCGTTGGAAACGGGAATATCTTCATATCAAATCTAGACAGAAGCATTCTCAGAAACGTCTTTGTGATGTTAGCATTCAACTCATAGAGTTGAACATTCCCTTTCAGAGAGCAGCTTTGAAGCACTCTTTTTGTAGTATGTGCAAGTGGATATTTGGAGCGCTCTGAGGCCTATGGTGAAAAAGCAAATATCTTCCCATTACCACTAGACAGAAACATTCTCACAAACTCCTTTATGACGTATGCACTCACCTAACAGAGAAGAACCTTCCTTTTGACAGAGCACTTTTGATACACTCTTTTTGTAGAATCTGAAAGTGGATATTTGGATAGCTGTGAAGTTTTCGTTGGAAACGGGAATATCTTCCTATAAATTCTAGACAGAAGCATTCTCAGAAACTGCTCTGTGATGTCTGCATTCAAGTCACAGAGTTGAACATTGCCTTTCATAGAGCAGGTTTGAAACGCTCTTTTTGTAGTATATGGAAGTAGACGTTTCGGACGGTTTGAGGCCCATGGTGATAAAGGGAATATCTTCCCCTGCAAGATAGAAAGAAGCATTCTGTGAAACTTGTTTGTGATGTGTGTACTCAACTAACAGAGTTGAACCTTTCTTTTTACAGAGCAGTTTTGAAACACTCTTTTTGTAGAACCTGCGAGCGGATATTTGGATAGATTTCAGGATTTCGTTGGAAACGGGAATACCTTCATATAAAATCTCGACAGAAGCATTCTCAGCAAACTTCTTTGTGATATGTGTATTCAAGTCACAGAGTTGAATACTCCCTTTCACAGAGTAGGTTTGAAACACTCTTTTTGTAGTATCTGGAAGTGGACATTTGGAGCGCCTTGACGCCTACGGTGAAAAGGGAAATATCTTCCCATAAAAACTAGACAGAAGTAATCGCAGAATCTTCTTTGGGATATATGCACGCAGCTAACAGAGTTGAACCTTTCTATTGACAGAGCAGTTTTGAAACAGTCTTTCTGTGGAATCTGCAATTGGATATTTGGATAGCTTGGAGGATTTCGTTGGAAACGGGATTACGTATAAAAAGTAGACAGCAGCATCCTCAGAAACTTCTTTGTGATGTGTGCTTTCAAGTCACAGAGTTGAACATTCCCTTTCGTACAGCAGTTTTGAAAAACTCTTTCTGTAGTATCTGGAAGTGAACATTAGGACAGCTTTCAGCTCTATGGTGAGAAAGGAAATATCTTCAAATAAAAACTAGACAGAAGCATTCTCATAAACTTGTTTGTGATGTGTGAACTCAGCTAACAGAGGTGGATCTTTCTTTTGATATAGCAGTTTTGAAAAACACTTTTTGTTGAATCTGCAAGTGGACATTTGGATAGATTTGAAGATTTCGTTGGAAACGGGAATATCTTCATATCAAATCTAGACAGAAGCATTCTCAGAAACATCTTTGTGATGTTTGCATTCAACTCATAGAGTTGAACATTCCGTTTCAGAGAGCAGCTTTGAAGCACTCTTTTTGTAGCATGCGCAAGTGGACATTTGGAGCGCTCTGAGGCCTACGGGGAAAAAGCAAATATCTTCCCATAACCACTAGACAGAAACATTCTCAGAAACTCCTTTATGACGTATGCACTCACCTAACAGAGAAGAACCTTCCTTTTGACAGAGCAGTTTTGATACACTCTTTTTGTAGCATCTGCAAGTGGATATTTGGATAGCTGTGAAGATTTCGTTGGAAACGGGAATATCTTCCTATAAAATCTAGACAGAAGCATTCTCAGAAACTGCTCTCTGATGTCTGCATTCAAGTCACAGAGTTGAACATTGCCTTTCATAGAGCAGGTTTGAAATGCTCTTTTTGTAGTATATGGAAGTGGACGTTTCAGACGGTTTGAGTCCCATGGTGATAAAGGGAATATCTTCCCCTACAAGCTAGAAAGAAGCATTCTGTGAAACTTGTTTGTGATGTGTGTACTCAACTAACAGAGTTGAACCTTTCTTTTCACAGAGCAGTTTTGAAACACTCTTTTTGTAGAATCTGCGAGGGGATATTTGGGATAGATTTCAGCATTTCGTTGGAAACGGGAATATCTTCATATAAAATCTCGACAGAAGCATTCTCAGAAACTTCCTTGTGATATGTGCATTCAAGTCACAGAGTTGAATATTCCCTTTCGCAGAGTAGGTTTGAAACACTCTTTTTGTAGTATCTGGAAGTGGACATTTGGAGCGCCTTGACGCCCACGGTGAAAAGGGAAATATCTTCCCATCAAAACTAGACAGAAGCAATCTCAGAATCTTCTTTGGGATATATGCACGCAGCTAACAGAGTTGAACCTTTCTATTGACAGAGCATTTTTGAAACAGTCTTTCTGTGGAATCTGCAAGTGGATATTTGGATAGCTTGGAGGATTTCGTTGGAAACGGGATTACGTATAAAAAGTAGACAGCAGCATCCTCAGAAACTTCTTTGTGATGTGTGCATTCAAGTCACAGATTTGAACATTCCCTTTCGTACAGCAGTTTTGAAACACTCTTTCTGTAGTATCTGGAAGTGAACATTAGGACAGCTTTCAGGTCTATGGTGAGAAAGGAAATATCTTCAAATAAAAACTAGACAGAAGCATTCTCATAAACTTGTTTGTGATGTGTGAACTCAGCTAAGAGAGGTGGATCTTTCTTTTGATACAGCAGTTTTGAAAAACACTTTTTGTTGAATCTGCAAGTGGACATTTGGATAGATTTGAAGATTTCGTTGGAAACGGGAATATCTTCATATCAAATCTAGACAGAAGCATTCTCAGAAACGTCTTTTTGATGTTTGCATTCAACTCATAGAGTTGAACATTCCCTTTCAGAGAGCAGCTTTGAAGCACTCTTTTTGTAGCATGTGCAAGTGGACATTTGGAGCGCCCTGAGGCCTACGGGGAAAAAGCAAATATCTTCCCATAACCACTAGACAGAAACATTCTCAGAAACTTCTTTATGACGTATGTACTCAACTAGCAGAGAAGAACTTTCCTTTTGACAGAGCTTTTTTGATACACTCTTTTTGTAGTATCTGCAAGTGGATATTTGGATAGCTGTAAAGATTTCGTTGGAATCGGGAATATCTTCCTATAAAGTCAGGACAGAAGCATTCTCAGAAACTGCTCTGTGATGTCTGCATTCAAGTCACAGAGTTGAACATTGCCTTTCATAGAGCAGGTTTCAGACACTCTTTTGTTAGTATATGGAAGTGGACGTTTCGGACGGTTTGAGGCCCATGGTGATAAAGGAAATTTCTTCCCCTACAAGCTAGAAAGAAGCATTCTGTGAAACTTGTTTGTGATGTGTGTACTCAACTAACAGAGTTGAACCTTTCTTTTTACAGAGCAGTTTTGAAACACTCTTTTTGTAGAATCTGCGAGGGGATATTTGGATAGATTTCAGGATTTCGTTGGAAACGGGAATATATTCATATAAAATCTCGACAGAAGAATTCTCAGAAACTTCTTTGTGATATGTGCATTCAAGTCACAGAGTTGAATGTTCCCTTTCACAGAGTAGGTTTGAAACACTCTTTTTGTAGTATCTGGAAGTGGACATTTGGAGCGCCTTGACACCTACGGTGAAAAGGGAAATATCTTCTCATAAAAAGTAGACAGACGCAATCTCAGAATCTTCTTTGGGATATATGCACGCAGCTAACAGAGTTGAACCTTTCTATTGACAGAGCAGTTTTGAAACAGTCTTTCTGTGGAATCTGCAAGTGGATATTTGGATAGCTTGGAGGATTTCGTTGGAAACGGGATTACGTATAAAAAATAGACTGCAGCATCCTCAGAAACTTCTTTGTGATGTGTGCATTCAAGTCACAGAGTTGAACATTCCCTTTCGTACAGCAGTTTTGAAACACTCTTTCTGTAGTAACTGGAAGTGAACATTAGGACAGCTTTCAGCTCTATGGTGAGAAAGGAAATATCTTCAAATAAAAACTAGACAAAAGCATTCTCATAAACTTGTTTTTGATATGTGAACTCAGCTAACAGAGGTGGATCTTTCTTTTGATAGAGCAGTTCTGAAAAACACTTTTTGTTGAATCTGCAAGTGGACATTTGGATAGATTTGAAGATTTCGTTGGAAACGGGAATATCTTCATATCAAATCTAGACACAAGCATTCTCAGAAACGTCTTTGTGATGTTTGCATTCAACTCATAGAGCTGAACATTCCGTTTCAGAGAGCAGCTTTGAAGCACTCTTTTTGTAGTATGTGCAAGTGGATATTTGGAGCGCTCTGAGGCCTACGGTGAAAAAGCAAATATCTTCCCATAACCACTAGACAGAAACATTCTCAGAAACTTCTTTATGACGTATGTACTCAACTAGCAGAGAAGAACTTTCCTTTTGACAGAGCTTTTTTGATACACTCTTTTTGTAGTATCTGCAAGTGGATATTGGGATAGCTGTGAAGATTTCGTTGGAATCGGGAATATCTTCCTATAAAGTCTGGACAGAAAGCATTCTCAGAAACTGCTCTGTGATGTCTGCATTCAAGTCACAGAGTTGAACGTTGCCTTTCATAGAGCAGGTTTGAAACGCTCTTTTTGTAGTATATGGAAGTGGACTTATCGGACGGTTTGAGGCCCATGGTGATAAAGGGAATATCTTCCCCTACAAGCTAGAAAGAAGCATTCTGTGAAACTTGTTTGTGATGTGTGTACTCAACTAACAGAGTTGAACCTTTCTTTTCACAGAGCAGTTTTGAAACACTCTTTTTGTAGAATCTGCGAGGGGATATTTGGATAGATTTCAGGATTTCGTTGGAAACGGGATTATCTTCATATAAAATCTCGACAGAAGAATTCTCAGAAACTTCCTTGTGATATGTGCATTCAAGTCACAGAGTTGAATATTCCCTTTCACAGAGTAGGTTTGAAACACTGTTTTTGTAGTATCTGGAAGTGGACATTTGGAGCGCCTTGACGCCTACGGTGAAAAGGGAAATATCTTCCCATAAAAACTAGACAGAAGCAATCTCAGAATCTTCTTTGGGATATATGCACGCAGCTAACAGAGTTGAACCTTTCTATTGACAGAGCAGTTTTGAAACAGTCTTTCTGTGGAATCTGAAAGTGGATATTTGGATAGCTTGGAGGATTTCGTTGGAAACGGGATTACGTATAAAAAGTAGACAGCCAGCATCCTCAGAAACTTCTTTGTGATGTGTGCATTCAAGTCACAGAGTTGAACATTCCCTTTCGTACAGCAGTTTTGAAACACTCTTTCTGTAGTAACTGGAAGTGAACATTAGGACAGCTTTCAGGTCTATGGTGAGAAAGGAAATATCTTCAAATAAAAACTAGACAGAGCATTCTCATAAACTTGTTTGTGATGTGTGAACTCATCTAACAGACGTGGATCTTTCTTTTGATACAGCAGTTTTGAAAAACACTTTTTGTTGAATCTGCAAGTGGACATTTGGATAGATATGAAGATTTCGTTGGAAACGGGAATATCTTCATATCAAATCTAGACAGAAGCATTCTCAGAAACGTCTTTGCGATGTTTGCATTCAACTCATAGAGTTGAACATTCCGTTTCAGAGAGCAGCTTTGAGGCACTCTTTTTGTAGTATGTGCAAGTGGATATTTGGAGCGCTCTGAGGCCTACGGTGAAAAAGCAAATATCTTCCCATAACAACTAGATAGAAACATTCTCAGAAACTCCTTTATGACGTATGCACTCACCTAACAGAAAAGAACCTTCCTTTTGACAGAGCAGTTTTGATACACTCTTTTTGTAGAATCTGCAAGTGGATATTTGGATAGCTATGAAGATTTGGTTGGAAACGGGAATATCTTCCTATAAAATCTAGACAGAAGCATTCTCAGAAACTGCTCTGTGATGTCTGCATTCAAGTCACAGAGTTGAACATTGCCTTTCATAGAGCAGGTTTGAAACTCTCTTTTTGTAGTATATGGAAGTGGACTTATCGGACGGTTTGAGGCCCATGGTGATAAAGGGAATATCTTCCCCTACAAGCTAGAAAGAAGCATTCTGTGAAACTTGTTTGTGATGTGTGTACTCAACTAACAGAGTTGAACCTTTCTTTTTACAGAGCAGTTTTGAAACACTCTTTTGTAGAATCTGTGAGGGGATATTTGGATAGATTTCAGGATTTCGTTTTAAACGAGAATATCTTCATATAAAATCTCGACAGAAGCATTCTCAGAAACTTCTTTGTGATATCTGCATTCAAGTCACAGAGTTGAATATTCCCTTTCACAGAGTAGGTTTGAAACACTCTTTTTGTAGCATCTGCAAGTGGACATTTGGAGCACCTTGACACCTATGGTGAAAAGGGAAATATCTTCCGATAAAAACTAGACAGAAGCAATCTCAGAATCTTCTTTGGGATATATGCACGCAGCTAACAGAGTTGAACCTTTCTATTGAGAGAGCAGTTTTGAAACAGTCTTTCTGTGGAATCTGCAAGTGGATATTTGGATAGCTTGGAGGATTTCCTTGGAAACGGGATTACGTATAAAAAGTAGACAGCAGCATCCTCAGAAACTTCTTTGTGATGTGTGCATTCAAGTCACAGAGTTGAACATTCCCTTTCGTACAGCAGTTTTGAAACACTCTTTCTGTAGTATCTGGAAGTGAACATTAGGACAGCTTCCAGGTCTATGGTGAGAAAGGAAATATCTTCAAATAAAAACTAGACAGAAGCATTCTCATAAACTTGTTTGTGATGTGTGTACTCAGCTAACAGAGGTGGATCTTTCTTTTGATAGAGCAGTTTTGAAAAACACTTTTTGTTGAATCTGCAAGTGGACATTTGGATAGATTTAAAGATTTCGTTGGAAACGGGAATATCTTCATATCAAATCTAGACAGAAGCATTCTCAGAAACGTCTTTGTGATGTTTCCATTCAACTCATAGAGTTGAACATTCACTTTCAGAGAGCAGCTTTGAAGCACTCTTTTTGTAGTATGTGCAAGTGGATATTTTGATCGCTCTCTGGCCTACGGTGAAAAAGCAAATATCTTCCCATAACCACTAGACAGAAACATTCTCAGAAACTCCTTTATGACGTATGCACTCACCTAACAGAAAAGAACCTTCCTTTTGACAGAGCAGTTTTGATACACTCTTTTTGTAGAATCTGCAAGTGGATATTTGGATAGCTATGAAGATTTGGTTGGAAACGGGAATATCTTCCTATAAAATACTAGACAGAAGAATTCTCAGAAACTGCTCTGTGATGTCTGCATTCAAGTCACAGAGTTGAACATTGCCTTTCATAGAGCAGGTTTGAAACGCTCTTTTTGTAGTATATGGAAGTGGATGTTTCGGACGGTTGGAGGCCCATGGTGATAAAGGGAATATCTTCCCCTACAAGCTAGAAAGAAGCATTCTGTGAAACTTGTTTGTGATGTGTGTACTCAACTAACAGAGTTGAACCTTTCTTTTTACAGAGCAGTTTTGAAACACTCTTTTTGTAGAATCTGCGAGGGGATATTTGGATAGATTTCAGGATTTCGTTGGAAACGGGAATATCTTCATATAAACTCTCGACAGAAGCATTCTCAGAAACTTCTTTGTGATATCTGCATTCAACTCACAGAGTTGAATATTCCCTTTCGCAGAGTAGGTTTGAAACACTCTTTTTGTAGTATCTGGAAGTGGACATTTGGAGCGCCTTGACGCCTACGGTGAAAAGGGAAATATCTTCCCATAAAAACTAGACAGAAGCAATCTCAGAATCTTCTTTGGGATATATGCACGCAGCTAACAGAGTTGAACATTTCTATTGACAGAGCAGTTTTGAAACAATCTTTCTGTGGAATCTGCAAGTGGATATTTGGATAGCTTGGAGGATTTCGTTGGAAACGGGATTACGTATAAAAAGTAGACAGCAGCATCCTCAGAAACTACTTTGTGATGTGTGCATTCAAGTCACAGAGTTGAACATTCCCTTTCGTACAGCAGTTTTGAAACACTCTTTCTGTAGTATCTGGAAGTGAACATTAGGACAGCTTTCAGGTCTATAGTGAGAAAGGATATATCTTCAAATAAAAACTAGAGAGAAGCACTTTTAAAAACTTGTTTGTGATGTGTGAACTCAACTAACAGAGGTGGATCTTTCTTTCGATACAGCAGTTTTGAAAAACACTTTTTGTTGAATCTGCAAGTGGACATTTGGATAGATTGGAAGATTTCTTTGGAAACGGGAATATCTTCATATCAAATCTAGACAGAAGCATTCTCAGAAACGTCTTTGCGATGTTTGCATTCAACTCATAGAGTTGAACATTCCGTTTCAGAGAGCAGCTTTGAGGCACTCTTTTTGTAGTATGTGCAAGTGGATATTTGGAGCGCTCTGAGGCCTACGGTGAAAAAACAAATATCTTCCCATAACCACTAGACAGAAACATTCTCAGAAACTCCTTTATGACGTTTGTACTCAACTAACAGAGAAGAACCTTCCTTTTGACAGAGCAGTTTTGATACACTCTTTTTGTAGAATCTGCAAGTGGATATTTGGATAGCTGTGAAGATTTCGTTGGAAACGGGAATATCTTCCTATAAAGTCTGGACAGAAGCATTCTCAGAAACTGCTCTGTGATGTCTGCATTCAAGTCACAGAGTTGAACATTGCCTTTCATGGAGCAGGTTTGAAACGCTCTTTTTGTAGTATATGGAAGTGGACTTATCGGACGGTTTGAGGCCCACGGTGATAAAGGGAATATCTTCCCCTACAAGCTAGAAAGAAG
Organism: Homo sapiens; assembly: GCF_000001405.40. Taxonomy (NCBI): domain Eukaryota; kingdom Metazoa; phylum Chordata; class Mammalia; order Primates; family Hominidae; genus Homo; species Homo sapiens. The sequence continues at coordinate 16,372,080 of NC_000013.11, forward strand.
CATTCTGTGAAACTTGTTTGTGATGTGTGTACTCAACTAACAGAGTTGAACCTTTCTTTTTACAGAGCAGTTTTGAAACACTCTTTTTGTAGAATCTGCGAGGGGATATTTGGATAGATTTCAGGATTTCGTTGGAAACGCGAATATCTTCATATAAAATCTCGACAGAAGCATTCTCAGAAACTTCTTTGTGATATCTGCCTTCAAGTCACAGAGTTGAATATTCCCTTTCACAGAGTAGGTTTGAAACACTCTTTTTGTAGTATCTGGAAGTGGACATTTGGAGTGCCTTGACGCCTACGGTGAAAAGGGAAATATCTTCCCATAAAGCTAGACAGAAGCAATCTCAGAATCTTCTTTGGGATATATGCACGCAGCTAACAGAGTTGAACCTTTCTATTGACAGAGCAGTTTTGAAACAGTGTTTCTGTGGAATCTGCAAGTGGATATTTGGATAGCTTGGAGGATTTCGTTGGAAACGGGATTAAGTATAAAAAGTAGACAGCAGCATCCTCAGAAACTTCTTTGTGATGTGTGCATTCAAGTCACAGAGTTGAACATTCCCTTTCGTACAGCAGTTTTGAAACACTCTTTCTGTAGTAACTGGAAGTGAACATTAGGACAGCTTTCAGGTCTATGGTGAGAAAGGAAATATGCTTCAAATAAAAACTAGACAGAAGCATTCTCATAAACTTGTTTGTGATGTGTGAACTCAGGTAACAGACGTGGATCTTTCTTTTGATAGAGCAGTTTTGAAAAACACTTTTTGTTGAATCTGCAAGTGGACATTTGGATAGATTTGAAGATTTCGTTGGAAACGGGAATATCTTCATATCAAATCTAGACAGAAGCATTCTCGGAAACGTCTTTGTCATGTTTGCATTCACCTCATAGAGTTGAACATTCCGTTTCAGAGAGCAGCTTTGAAGCACTCTTTTTGTAGTATGTGCAAGGGGATATTTGGAGCGCTCTGAGGCCTAAGGTGAAAAAGCAAATATCTTCCCATAACCACTAGACAGAAACATTCTCAGAAACTCCTTTATGACGTATGTACTCAACTAACAGAGAAGAACCTTCCTTTTGACAGAGCAGTTTTGATACACTCTTTTTGTAGAATCTGCAAGTGGATATTTGGATACCTGTGAAGATTTCGTTGGAAACGGGAATATCTTCCTATAAAATCTAGACAGAAGCATTCTCAGAAACTGCTCTGTGATGTCTGCATTCAAGTCACAGAGTTGAACATTGCCTTTCATAGAGCAGGTTTGAAATGCTCTTTTTGTAGTATATGGAAGTGGACGTTTCAGACGGTTTGAGGTCCATGGTGATAAAGGGAATATCTTCCCCTACAAGCTAGAAAGAAGCATTCTGTGAAACTTGTTTGTGATGTGTGTAGTCAACTAACAGAGTTGAACCTTTCTTTTTACAGAGCAGTTTTGAAACACTCTTTTTGTAGAATCTGCGAGGGGATATTTGGATAGATTTCAGGATTTCATTGGAAAGGGGAATATCTTCATATAAAATCTCGACAGAAGCATTCTCAGAAACTTCCTTGTGATATGTGCATTCAAGTCACAGAGTTGAATATTCCCTTTCACAGAGTAGGTTTGAAACACTCTTTTTGTAGTATCTGGAAGTGGACATTTGGAGCGCCTGGATGCCTACGGTGAAAAGGGAAATATCTTCCCATAAAAACTAGACAGAAGCAATCTCAGAATCTTCTTTGGGATATATGCACGCAGCTAACTGAGTTGAACCTTTCTATTGACAGAGCAGTTTTGAAACATTCTTTCTGTGGAATCTGCAAGTGGATATTTGGATAGCTTGGAGGATTTCGTTGGAAACAGGATTACGTATAAAAAGTAGACAGCAGCATCCTCAGAAACTTCTTTGTGATGTGTGCATTCAAGTCACAGAGTTGAACATTTCCTTTCGTACAGCAGTTTTGAAACACTCTTTCTGTAGTATCTGGAAGTGAACATTAGGACAGCTTTCAGCTCTATGGTGAGAAAGGAAATATCTTCAAATAAAAACTAGACAGAAAGCATTCTCATAAACTTGTTTGTGATGTGTGAACTCAGCTAACAACGGTGGATCTTTCTTTTGATAGAGCAGTTCTGAAAAACACTTTTTGTTGAATCTGCAAGTGGACATTTGGATAGTTTTGAAGATTTCCTTGGAAAAGGGAATATCTTCATATCAAATCTAGACAGAAGCATTCTCAGAAACGTCTTTGTGATGTTAGCATTCAACTCATAGAGTTGAACATTCCATTTCAGAGAGCAGCTTTGAGGCACTCTTTTTGTAGTATGTGCAAGTGGATATTTGGAGCGCTCTGAGGCCTACGGTGAAAAAGCAAATATCTTCCCATAACCACTAGACAGAAACATTCTCAGAAACTCCTTTATGACGTATGTACTCAACTAACAGAGAAGAACCTTCCTTTTGACAGAGAAGTTTTGATACACTCTTTTTGTAGAATCTGCAAGTGGATATTTGGATAGCTGTGAAGATTTCGTTGGAAACGGGAATATCTTCCTATAAAATCTAGACAGAAGCATTCTCAGAAACTGCTCTGTGATGTCTGCATTCATGTCACAGAGTTGAACATTGCCTTTCATAGAGCAGGTTTCAAACACTCTTTTTTTAGTATATGGAAGTGGACGTTTCGGACGGTTTGAGGCCCAAGGTGATACAGGGAATATCTTCCCCTACAAGCTAGAAAGAATCATTCTGTGAAACTTGTTTGTGATGTGTGTACTCAACTAACAGAGTTGAACCTTTCTTTTTACAGAGCAGTATTGAAACACTCTTTTTGAAGAATCTGCGAGGGGATATTTGAATAGATTTCAGGATTTCGTTGGAAACGGGAATATCTTCATATAAAATCTCGACAGAAGCATTCTCAGAAACTTCATTGTGATATCTGCATTCAAGTCACAGAGTTGAATATTCCCTTTCACAGAGTAGGTTTGAAACACTCTTTTTGTAGTATCTGTAAGTGGACATTTGGAGCGCCTTTACACCTACGGTGAAAAGGGAAATATCTTCCCATAAAAACTAGACAGAAGCAATCTCAGAATCTTCTTTGTGATATATGCACGCAGCTAACAGAGTTGAACCTTTCTATTGACAGAGCAGTTTTGAAACACTCTTTCTGTGGAATCTGCAAGTGGATATTTGCATAGATTGGAGGATTTCGTTGGAAACGGGATTACGTATAAAAAGTAGACAGCAGCATCCTCAGAAACTTCTTTGTGATGTGTGCATTCAAGTCACAGAGTTGAACATTCCCTTTCGTACAGCAGTTTTGAAACACTCTTTGTGTAGTATCTGGAAGTGAACATTAGGACAGCTTTCAGGTCTATGGTGAGAAAGGAAATATCTTCAAATAAAAACTAGACAGAAGCATTCTCATAAACTTGTTTGTGATGTGTGAACTCAGCTAACAGAGGTGGATCTTTCTTTTGATAGAGCAGTTCTGAAAAACACTTTTTGTTGAATCTGCAAGAGGACATTTGGATAGATTTGAAGATTTCGTTGGAAACGGGAATATCTTCATATCAAATCTAGACAGAAGCATTCTCAGAAACGTCTTTGTGATGTTTGCATTCAACACATAGAGTTGAACATTCCCTTTCAGAGAGCAGCTTTGAAGCACTCTTTTTGTAGCATGTGCAAGTGGACATTTGGAGCGCCCTGAGGCCTACGGGGAAAAAGCAAATATCTTCCCATAACCACTAGACAGAAACATTCTCAGAAACTCCTTTATGACGTATGCACTCACCTAACAGAAAAGAACCTTCCTTTTGACAGAGCTGTTTTGATACACTCTTTTTGTAGAATCTGCAAGTGGATATTTGGATAGCTGTGAAGATTTCGTTGGAAACGGGAATATCTTCCTATAAAATCTAGACAGAAGCATTCTCAGAAACTGCTCTGTGATGTCTGCATTCAAGTCACAGAGTTGAACATTGCTTTTCCTAGAGCAGGTTTGAAACGCTCTTTTTGTAGTATATGGAAGTGGACGTTTCGGACGGTTTGAGGCCCATGGTGATAAAGGGAATATCTTTCCCTACAAGCTAGAAAGAACCATTCTGTGAAACTTGTTTGTGATGTGTGTACTCAACTAACAGAGTTGAACCTTTCTTTTTACAGAGCAGTTTTGAAACACTCTTTTTGTAGAATCTGCGAGGGGATATTTGGATACATTTCAGGATTTCGTTGGAAACGGGAATATCTTCAGTATCAAAATCTCGATCAGAAGCATTCTCAGAAACTTCCTTGTGATATGTGCATTCAAGTCACAGTAGTTGAATATTCCCTTTCACAGAGTAGGTTTGAAACACTCTTTTTGTAGTATCTGGAAGTGGACATTTGGAGCGCCTTGACGCCTACGGTGAAAAGGGAAATATCTTCCCATAAAAACTAGACAGAAGCAATCTCAGAATCCTCTTTAGGATATATGCACGCAGCTAACAGAGTTGAACCTTTCTATTGACAGAGCAGTTTTGAAACAGTCTTTCTGTGGAATCTGCAAGTGGATATTTGGATAGCTTGGAGGATTTCGTTGGAAACGGGATTACGTATAAAAAGTAGACAGCAGCATCCTCAGAAACTACTTTGTGATGTGTGCATTCAAGTCACAGAGTTGAACATTCCCTTTCGTACAGCAGTTTTGAAACACTCTTTCTGTAGTATCTGGAAGTGAACATTAGGACAGCTTTCAGCTCTATGGTGAGAAAGGAAATATCTTCAAATAAAAACTAGACAGAAGCATTCTCATAAACTTGTTTGTGATGTGTGAACTCAGCTAACAGAGGTGAATCTTTCTTTTGATAGAGCAGTTCTGAAAAACACTTTTTGTTGAATCTGCAAGTGGACATTTGGATAGATTTGAAGATTTCGTTGGAAACGGGAATATCTTCATATCAAATACTAGACAGAAGCATTCTCAGAAACGTCTTTGTGATGTTTGCATTCAACTCATAGAGTTGAACATTCCGTTTCAGAGAGCAGCTTTGAGGCACCCTTTTTGTAGTATGTGCAAGTGGATATTTGGAGCGCTCTGAGGCCTACGGTGAAAAAGCAAATATCTTCCCATAACCACTAGACAGAAACATTCTCAGAAACTCCTTTATGACGTATGCACTCACCTAACAGAGGAGAACCTTCCTTTTGACAGAGCAGTTTTGATACACTCTTTTTGTAGAATCTGCAAGTGGATATTTGGATAGCTGTGAAGATTTCGTTGGAAACGGGAATATCTTCCTATAAAATCTAGACAGGAAGCATTCTCAGAAACTGCTCTGTGATGTCTGCATTCAGGTCACAGAGTTGAACATTGCCTTTCATAGAGCAGGTTTCAAACACTCTTTTTTTAGTATATGGAAGTGGACGATTCGGACGGTTTGAGGACCATGGTGATAAAGGAAATATCTTCCCCTACAAGCTAGAAAGAAGCATTCTGTGAAACTTGTTTGTGATGTGTGTACTCAACTAACAGAGTTGAACCTTTCTTTTTACAGAGCAGTTTCGAAACACTCTTTTTGTAGAATCTGCGAGGGGATATTTGGATAGATTTCAGGATTTCGTTGGAAACGGGAGTATCTTCATATAAAATCTCGACAGAAGCATTCTCAGAAGCTTCTTTGTGATATGTGCATTCAAGTCACAGAGTTGAATCTTCCCTTTCACAGAGTAGGTTTGAAACACTCTTTTTGTAGTATCTGGAAGTGGACATTTGGAGCGCCTTGACGCCTACGGTGAAAAGGGAAATATCTTCTCATAAAAAGTAGACACAAGCAATCTCAGAATCTTCTTTGGGATATATGCACGCAGCTAACAGAGTTGAACCTTTCTATTGACAGAGCAGTTTTGAAACAGTCTTTCTGTGGAATCTGCAAGTGGATACTTGGATAGCTTGGAGGATTTCGTTGGAAACGGGATTACGTATAAAAAGAAGACAGCAGCATCCTCAGAAACTTCTTTGTGATGTGTGCATTCAAGTCACAGAGTTGAACATTCCCTTTCGTACAGCAGTTTTGAAACACTCCTTCTGTAGTATCTGGAAGTGAACATTAGGACAGCTTTCAGGTCTATGGTGAGAAAGGAAATATCTTCAAATAAAAACTAGACAGAAGCATTCTCATAAACTTGTTTCTGATGTGTGAACTAAGCTAACAGAGGTGGATCTTTCTTTTGATAGAGCAGTTCTGAAAAACACTTTTTGTTGAATCTGCAAGTGGACATTTGGATAGATTTGAAGATTTCGTTGGAAACGGGAATATCTTCATATCAAATCTAGACAGAAGCATTCTCAGAAACGTCTTTGTGATGTTTGCATTCAACTCATAGAGTTGCACATTCCGTTTCAGAGAGCAGCTTTGAGGCACTCTTTTTGTAGTATGTGCAAGTGGATATTTGGAGCGCTCTGAGGCCTACGGTGAAAAAGCAAATATCTTCCCATAACCACTAGACTGAAACATTCTCAGAAACTCCTTTATGACGTATGTACTCAACTAACAGAGGAGAACATTCCTTTTGACAGAGCAGTTTTGATACACTCTTTTTGTAGAATCTGCAAGTGGATATTTGGATAGCTTGGAAGATTTCGTTGGAAAAGGGAATATCTTCCTATAAAACCTAGACAGAAGCATTCTCAGAAACTGCTCTGTGATGTCTGCATTCAAGTCACAGAGTTGAACATTGCCTTTCATAGAGCAGGTTTGAAACGCTCTTTTTGTAGTATATGGAAGTGGACGTTTCAGACGGTTTGAGGCCCATGGTGTTAAAGGGAATATCTTGCCCTACAAGCTAGAAAGAAGCATTCTGTGAAACTTGTTTGTGATGTGTGTACTCAACTAACAGAGTTGAACCTTTCTTTTTACAGAGCAGTTTTGAAACAATCTTTTTGTAGAATCTGCGAGGGGATATTTGGATAGATTTCAGGATTTCGTTGGAAAGGGGAATATCTTCATATAAAATCTCGACAGAAGCATTCTCAGAAACTTCCTTGTGATATGTGCATTCAAGTCACAGAGTTGAATATTCCCTTTCACAGAGTAGGTTTGAAACACTCTTTTTGTAGTATCTGGAAGTGGACATTTGGAGCGCCTTGACGCCTACGGTGAAAAGGGAAATATCTTCCCTTAAAAACTACACAGAAGCAATCTCAGAATCTTCTTTGGGATATATGCACGCAGCTAAGAGAGTTGAACCTTTCTATTGACAGTGCAGTTTTGAAATAGTCTTTCTGTGGAATCTGCAAGTAGATATTTGGATAGCTTGGAGGATTTCGTTGGAAACGGGATTACGTATAAAAAGTAGACAGCAGCATCCTCAGAAAACTTCTTTGTGATGTGTGCATTCAAGTCACAGAGTTGAACATTCCCTTTCGTACAGCAGTTTTGAAACACTCTTTCTGTAGTATCTGGAAGTGAACATTAGGACAGCTTTCAGGTCTATGGTGAGAAGGGAAATATCTTCAAATAAAAACTAGACAGAAGCATTCTCATAAACTTGCTTGTGATGTGTGAACTCAGCTAACAGAGGTGGATCTTTCTTTTGATAGAGCAGTTCTGAAAAACACTTTTTGTTGAATCTGCAAGTGGACATTTGGATAGATTTGAAGATTTCGTTGGAAACGGGAATATCTTCATATCAAATCTAGACAGAAGCATTCTCAGAAACGTCTTTGCGATGTTTGCATTCAACTCATAGAGTTGAACATTCCGTTTCAGAGAGCAGCTGTGAGGCACTCTTTTTGTAGTATGTGCAAGTGGATATTTGGAGCGCTCTGAGGCCTACGGTGAAAAGGCAAATATCTTCCCATAACCACTAGACAGAAACATTCTCAGAAACTCCTTTATGACGTATGCACTCACCTAAAAGAGAAGAACCTTCCTTTTGACAGAGCAGTTTTGATACACTCTTTTTGTAGAATCTGCAAGTGGATATTTGGATAGCTGTGAAGATTTTGCTGGAAACGGGAATATCTTCTTATAAAATCTAGACAGCAGCATTCTCAGAAACTGCTCTGTGATGTCTGCATTCAAGTCACAGAGTTGAACATTGCCTTTCATAGAGCAGGTTTGAAATGCTCTTTTTTTAGTATATGGAAGTGGACTTTTCGGACGGTTTGAGGCCCATGGTGATAAAGGGAATATCTTCCCCTACAAGCTAGAAAGAAGCATTCTGTGAAACTTGTTTGTGATGTGTGTACTCAACTAACAGAGTTGAACCTTTCTTTTTACAGAGCAGTTTTGCAACACTCTTTTTGTAGAATCTGCGAGGGGATATTTGGATAGATTTCAGGATTTCGTTGGAAACGGGAATATCTTCATATAAAATCTCGACAGAAGCATTCTCAGAATCTTCTTTGTGATATGTGCATTCAAGTCACAGAGTTGAATATTCCCTTTCACAGAGTAGGTTTGAAACACTCTTTTTGTAGTATCTGGAAGTGGACATTTGGAGCGCCTTGACACCTACGGTGAAAAGCAAAATATCTTCCCATAAAAACTAGACAGAAGCAATCTCAGAATCTTCTTTGGGATATATGCACGCAGCTAACAGAGTTGAACCTTTCTATTGACAGAGCAGTTTTGAAACAGTCTTTCTGTGGAATCTGCAAGTGGATACTTGGATAGCTTGGAGGATTTCGTTGGAAACGGGATTAAGTATAAAAAGTAGACAGCAGCATCCTCAGAAACTTCTTTGTGATGTCTGCATTCAAGTCACAGAGTTGAACATTCCCTTTCGTACAGCAGTTTTGAAACACTCTTTCTGTAGTATCTGCAAGTGAACATTAGGACAGTTTTCAGGTCTATGGTGAGAAAGGAAATATCTTCAAATAAAAACTAGACAGAAGCATTCTGATAAACTTGTTTGTGAAGTGTGAACTCAGCTAACAGAGGTGGATCTTTCTTTTGATAGAGCAGTTCTGAAAAACACTTTTTGTTGAATCTGCAAGTGGACATTTGGATAGATTTGAAGATTTCGTTAGAAACGGGAATATCTTCATATCAAATCTAGACAGAAGCATTCTCAGAAACGTCTTTGTGATGTTTGCATTCAACTCATAGAGTTGAACATTCCCTTTCAGAGAGCAGCTTTGAAGCACTCTTTTTGTAGTATGTTCAAGTGGACATTTGGAGCGCTTTGAGGCCTACGGGGAAAAAGCAAATATCTTCCCATAACCACTAGACAGAAACATTCTCAGAAACTCCTTTATGACGTATGCACTCACCTAACAGAAAAGAACCTTCCTTTTGACAGAGCAGTTTTGATACACTCTTTTTGTAGAATCTGCAAGTGGATATTTGGGATAGCTGTGAAGATTTCGTTGGAAACGGGAATATCTTCCTATAAAATCTAGACAGAAGCATTCTCAGAAACTGCTCTGTGATGTCTGCATTCAAGTCACAGAGTTGAACATTCCCTTTCATACAGCAGTTTTGAAACACTCTTTCTGTAGTATCTGGAAGTGAACATTAGGACAGCTTTCAGGTCTATGGCGAGAAAGGAAATATCTTCAAATAAAAACTAGACAGAAGCATTCTGTGAAACTTGTTTGTGATGTGTGTACTCAACTAACAGAGTTGAACCTTTCTTTTCACAGAGCAGTTTTGAAACACTCTTTTTGTAGAATCTGCGAGGGGATATTTGGATAGATTTCAGGATTTCGTTGGAAACAGGAATATCTTCATATAAAATCTCGACAGAAGCATTCTCAGAAACTTCTTTGTGATATGTGCATTCAAGTCACAGAGTTGAATATTCCCTTTCACAGAGTAGGTTTGAAACACTCTTTTTGTAGTATCTGGAAGTGGACATTTGGAGCGCCTTGACGCCTACGGTGAAAAGGGAAATATCTTCCCATAAAAAGTAGACAGAAGCAATCTCAGAATCTTCTTTGTGATATATGCACGCAGCTAACAGAGTTGAACCTTTCTATTGACAGAGCAGTTTTGTAACAGTCTTTCTGTGGAATCTACAAGTGGATATTTGGATAGCTTGGAGGATTTCGTTGGAAACGGGATTAGGTATAAAAAGTAGACAGCAGCATCCTCAGAAACTGCTTTGTGATGTGTGCATTCAAGTCACAGAGTTGAACATTCCCTTTCATACAGCAGTTTTGAAACACTCTTTCTGTAGTATCTGGAAGTGAACTTTAGGAGAGCTTTCAGGTCTATAGTGAGAAAGGATATATCTTCAAATAAAACTAGACAGAAGCATTCTCATAAACTTGTTTCTGATGTGTGAACTCAGCTAACAGAGGTGGATCTTTCTTTTGATAGAGAAGTTCTGAAAAACACTTTTTGTTGAATCTGCAAGTGGACATTTGGATAGATTTGAAGATTTCGTTGGAAACGGGAATATCTTCATATCAAATCTAGACAGAAGCATTCTCAGAGACGTCTTTGTGATGTTTGCATTCAACTCATAGAGTTGAACATTCCGTTTCAGAGAGCAGCTTTGAGGCACTCTTTTTGTAGTATGTGCAAGTGGATATTTGGACCGCTCTGTGGCCTACGGTGAAAAAGCAAATATCTTCCCATAACCACTAGACAGAAACATTCTCAGAAACTCCTTTATGACGTGTGCACTCACCTAACAGAGAAGAACCTTCCTTTTGACAGAGCAGTTTTGATACACTCTTTTTGTAGAATCCGCAAGTGGATATTTGGATAGCTGTGAAGATTTCGTTGGAAACGGGAATATCTTCCTATAAAATCTAGACAGAAAGCATTCTCAGAAACTGCTCTGTGATGTCTGCATTCAAGTCACAGAGTTGAACATTGCCTTTCATAGAGCAGGTTTGAAACGCTCTTTTTGTAGTATATGGAAGTGGACTTTTCGGAAGGTTTGAGGCCCATGGTGATAAAGGGAATATCTTCCCCTACAAGCTAGAAAGAAGCATTCTGTGAAACTTGTTTGTGATGTGTGTACTCAACTAACAGAGTTGAACCTTTCTTTTCACAGAGCAGTTTTGAAACACTCTTTTTGTAGAATCTGCGAGCGGATATTTGGATAGATTTCAGGATTTCGATGGAAACGGGAATATCTTCATATAAAATCTCGACAGAAGCATTCTCAGAAACTTCTTTGTGATATGTGCATTCAAGTCACAGAGTTGAATATTCCCTTTCACAGAGTAGGTTTGAAACACTCTTTTTGTAGTATCTGGAAGTGGACATTTGGAGCGCCTTGATGCCTACGGTGAAAAGGGAAATATCTTCCCATAAAAACTAGACAGAAGCAATCTCAGAATCTTCCTTGGGATATATGCACGCAGCTAACAGAGTTGAACCTTTCTATTGACAGAGCAGTTTTGAAACAGTCTTTCTGTGGAATCTGCAAGTGGACATTTGGATAGCTTGGAGGATTTCGTTGGAAACGGGATTACGTATAAAAAGTAGACAGCAGCATCGTCAGAAACTTCTTTGTGATGTGTGCATTCAAGTCACAGAGTTGAACATTCCCTTTCGTACAGCAGTTTTGAAACACTTTTTCTGTAGCATCTGGAAGAGAACATTAGGACAGCTTTCAGGTCTAGGGTGAGAAAGGCAATATCTTCAAATAAAAACTAGACAGAAGCATTCTCATAAACTTTTTTGTGATGTGTGAACTCAGCTAACAGAGGTGGATCTTTCTTTTGATAGAGCAGTTCTGAAAAACACTTTTTGTTGAATCTGCAAGTGGACATTTGGATAGATTTGAAGATTTCGTTGGAAACGGGAATATCTTCATAACAAATCTAGACAGAAGCATTCTCAGAAACGTCTTTGTGATGTTTGCATTCAACTCATAGAGTTGAACATTCCCTTTCAGAGAGCAGCTTTGAAGCACTCTTTTTGTAGTATGTGCAAGTGGATATTTGGAGCGCTACTGAGGCCTACGGTGAAAAAGCAAATATCTTCCCATAACCACTAGGCAGAATCATTCTCAGAAACTCCTTTATGACGTATGTACTCAACTAACAGAGAAGAACCTTCCTTTTGACAGAGCAGTTTTGATACACTCTTTTTGTAGAATCTGCAAGTGGATATTTGGATAGCTGTGAAGATTTCGTTGGAAACGGGAATATCTTCCTATAAAATCTAGACAGAAGCATTCTCAGAAACTGCTCTGTGATGTCTGTATTCAAGTCACAGAGTTGAACATTGCATTTCATAGAGCAGGTTTGAAACGCTCTTTTTGTAGTATATGGAAGTGGATGTTTCGGACGGTTGGAGGCCCATGGTGATAAAGGGAATATCTTCCCCTACAAGCTAGAAAGAAGCATTCTGTGAAACTTGTTTGTGATGTGTGTACTCAACTAAGAGAGTTGAACCTTTCTTTTCACAGAGCAGTTTTGAAACACTGTTTTTGTAGAATCTGCGAGGGGATATTTGGATAGATTTCAGGATTTCGTTGGAAACGGGAATATCTTCATACAAAATCTCGACAGGAGCATTCTCAGAAACTTCTTTGTGATATGTGCATTCAAGTCACAGAGTTGAATATTCCCTTTCACAGAGTAGGTTTGAAACACTCTTTTTGTAGTATCTGGAAGTGGACATTTGGAGCGCCTTGACACCTACGGTGAAAAGGGAAATATCTTCCAATAAAAACTAGACAGAAGCAATCTCAGAATCTTCTTAGGGATATATGTACGCAGCTAATAGAGTTGAACCTTTCTATTGACAGAGCAGTTTTGAAACAGTCTTTCTGTGGAATCTGCAAGTGGATATTTGGATAGCTTGGAGGATTTCGTTGGAAACGGGATTACGTATAAAAAGTAGACAGCAGCATCCTCAGAAACTTCTTTGTGATGTGTGCATTCAAGTCACAGAGTTGAACATTCCCTTTCATACAGCAGTTTTGAAACACTGTTTCTGTAGTATCTGGAAGTGAACATTAGGACAGCTTTCAGGTCTATGGTGAGAAAGGCAATATCTTCAAATAAAAACTAGACAGAAAGAATTCTCATCAACTTGTTTGTGATGTGTGAACTCAGCTAACACACGTGGATCTTTCTTTTGATAGAGCAGTTCTGAAAAACACTTTGTTGAATCTGCAAGTGGACATTTGGATAGATTTCAAGATTTCGTTGGAAACGGGAATATCTTCATATCAAATCTAGACAGAAGCATTCTCAGAAACGTCTTTGTGATGTTTGCATTCAACTCATAGAGTTGAACATTCCGTTTCAGAGAGCAGCTTTGAAGGACTCTTTTTGTAGTATGTGCAAGTGGATATTTGGAGCGCTCTGAGGCCTACGGTGAAAAAGCAAATATCTTCCCATAACCACTAGACAGAAACATTCTCAGAAACTTCTTTATGACGTATGTACTCAACTAACACAGAAGAACCTTCCTTTTGACAGAGCAGTTTTGATAAACTCTTTTTGTAGAATCTGCAAGTGGATATTTGGATATCTGTGAAGAATTCGTTGGAAACGGGAATATCTTCCTATAAAATCTAAACAAAAGCATTCTCAGAAACTGCTCTGTGATGTCTGCATTCAAGTCACAGAGTTGAACATTGCCTTTCATAGAGCAGGTTTGAAACGCTCTTTTTGTAGTATATGGAAGTGGAAGTTTCGGACGGTTGGAGGCCCATGGTGATAAAGGGAATATCTTCCCCTACAAGCTAGAAAGAAGCATTCTGTGAAACTTGTTTGTGATGTGTGTACTCAACTAACAGAGTTGAACCTTTCTTTTTACAGAGTAGTTTTGAAACACTCTTTTTGTAGAATCTGCGAGGGGATATTTGGATAGGTTTCAGGATTTCGTTGGAAACGGGAATATCTTCATATAAAATCTCGACAGAAGCATTCTCAGAAACTTCTTTGTGATATCTGCATTCAAGTCACAGAAGTGAATATTCCCTTTCACAGAGTAGGTTTGAAACACTCTTTTTGTAGTATCTGGAAGTGGACATTTGGAGCGCCTTGACGCCTATGGTTAAAAGGGAAATATCTTCCCATAAAAACTAGACAGAAGCAATCTCAGAATCCGCTTTGGGATATATGCACGCAGCTAACAGAGTTGAACCTTTCTATTGACAGAGCAGTTTTGAAACAGTCTTTCTGTGGAATCTGCAAGTGGATATTTGGATAGCTTGGAGGATTTCGTTGGAAACGGGATTACGTATAAATAGTAGACAGCAGCATCCTCAGAAACTTTTTTGTGATATGTGCATTCAAGCCACAGATTTGAACATTCCCTTTCGTACAGCAGTTTTGAAACACTCTTTCTGTAGTATCTGGAAGTGAACATTAGGACAGCTTTCAGGTCTATGGTGAGAAAGGAAATATCTTCAAATAAAAACTAGACAGAAGCATTCTGATAAACTTGTTTGTGAAGTGTGATCTCAGCTAACAGAGGTGGATCTTTCTTTTGATAGAGTAGTTCTGAAAAACACTTTGTTGAATCTGCAAGTGGACATTTGGATAGATTTGAAGATTTCGTTGGAAACGGGAATATCGTCATAAATCTAGACAGAATCATTCTCAGAAACGTCTTTGTCATGTTTGCATTCAACTCATAGAGTTGAACATTCCGTTTCAGAGAGCAGCTTTGAAGCACTCTTTTTGTAGTATGTGCAAGTGGATATTTGGAGCGCTCTGAGGCCTAAGGTGAAAAAGCAAATATCTTCCCGTAACCACTAGACAGAAACATTCTCAGAAACTCCTTTATGACGTATGCACTCACCTAACAGAGAAGAACCTTCCTTTTGACAGAGCAGTTTTGATACACTCTTTTTGTAGAATCTGCAAGTGGATATTTGGATAGCTGTGAAGATTTCGTTGGAAAGGGGAATATCTTCCTATAAAATCTAGACGGAAGCATTCTCAGAAACTGCTCTGTGATGTCTGCATTCAAGTCACAGAGTTGAACATTGCATTTCATAGAGCAGGTTTGAAATGCTCTTTTTGTAGTATATGGAAGTGGACGTTTCAGACGGTTTGAGGCCCATGGTGATAAAGGGAATATCTTCCCCTACAAGCTAGAAAGAAGCATTCTGTGAAACTTGTTTGTGATGTGTGTACTCAACTAACAGAGTGGAACCTTTCTTTTTACAGAGCAGTTTTGAAACACTCTTTTTGTAGAATCTGCGAGGGGATATTTGGATAGATTTCAGGATTTCGTTGGAAACGGGAATATCTTAATATAAAATCTCGGCAAAAGCATTCTCAGAAACTTCTTTGTGATATGTGCATTCAAGTCACAGAGTTGAATATTCCCTTTCACAGAGTAGGTTTGAAACACTCTTTTTGTAGCATCTGGAAGTGGACATTTGGAGTGCCTTGACTCCTACGGTGAAAAGGGAAATATCTTCCCATAAAAACTAGACAGAAGCAATCTCAGAATCTTCTTTGGGATATATGCACGCAGCTAATAGAGTTGAACCTTTCTATTGACAGAGCAGTTTTGAAACAGTCTTTCTGTGGAATCTGCAAGTGGATATTTGGATAGCTTGGAGGATTTCGTTGGAAACGGGATTACGTAGAAAAAGTAGACAGCAGCATCCTCAGAATCTTCTTTGTGATGTGTGCATTCAAGTCACAGAGTTGAACATTCCCTTTCGTACAGCAGTTTTTAAACACTCTTTCTGTAGTATCTGGAAGTGAACATTAGGACAGCTTTCAGGTCTATGGTGAGAAAGGAAATATCTTCAAATAAAAACTAGACAGAAGCATTCTCATAAACTTGTTTGTGATGTGTGAACTCAGCTAACAGAGGTGGATCTTTCTTTTGATAGAGCAGTTCTGAAAAACACTTTTTGTTGAATCTGCAAGTGGACATTTGGATAGATTTGAAGATTTCGTTGGAAACGGGAATATCTTCATATCAAATCTAGACAGCAGCATTCTCAGAAACGTCTTTGCGATGTTTGCATTCAACTCACAGAGTTGAACATTCCGTTTCAGAGAGCAGCTTTGAGGCACTCTTTTTGTAGTATGTGCAACTGGATATTTGGAGCGCTCTGAGGCCTACGGTGAAAAAGAAAATATCTTCCCATAACCACTAGACAGAAACATTCTCAGAAACTTCTTTATGACGTATGTACTCAACTAGCAGAGAAGAACTTTCCTTTTGACAGAGCATTTTTGATACATTCTTTTTGTAGTATCTGCAAGTGGATATTTGGATAGCTGTGAAGATTTCGTTGGAAACGGGAATATCTTCCTATAAAGTCTGGACAGAAGCATTCTCAGAAACTGCTCTGTGATGTCTGCATTCAAGTCACAGAGTTGAACATTGCCTTTCATAGAGCAGGTTTGAAACGCTCTTTGTGTAGTATATGGAAGTGGATGTTTCGGACGGTTGGAGGCCCATGGTGATAAAGGGAATATCTTCCCCTACAAGCTAGAAAGAAGCATTCTGTGAAAGTTGTTTGTGATGTCTGTACTCAACTAACAGAGTTGAACCTTTCTTTTTACAGAGCAGTTTTGAAACACTCTTTTTGTAGAATCTGCGAGGGGATATTTGGATAGATTTCAGGATTTCGTTGGAAACGGGAATATCTTCATAAAAAATCTCGACAGAAGCATTCTCAGAAACTTCTTTGTGATATGTGCATTCAAGTCACAGAGTTGAATATTCCCTTTCACACAGTAGGTTTGAAACACTCTTTTTGTAGTATCTGGAAGTGGACATTTGGAGCGCCTTGACGCCTACGGTGAAAAGGGAAATATCTTCCCACAAAAACTAGACAGAAGCAATCTCAGAATCTTCTTTGGGATATATGCACGCAGCTAACAGAGTTGAACCTTTCTATTGACAGAGCAGTTTTGAAACATTCTTTCTGTGGAATCTGCAAGTGGATATTTGGATAGCTTGGAGGATTTCGTTGGAAACAGGATTACGTATAAAAAGTAGACAGCAGCATCCTCAGAAACATCCTTGTGATGTGTGCATTCAAGTCACAGAGTTGAACATTCCCTTTCGTACAGCAGTTTTGAAACACTCTTTCTGTAGTATCTGGAAGTGAACTTTAGGACACCTTTCAGGTCTATAGTGAGAAAGGATATATCTTCAAATAAAAACTAGACAGAAGCATTCTCATAAACTTGTTTGTGATGTGTGAACTCAGCTAACAGAGGTGGATCTTTCTTTTGATAGAGCAGTTCTGATAAACACTTTTTGTTGAATCTGCAAGTGGACATTTGGATAGATTTGAAGATTTCGTTGGAAACGGGAATATCTTCATATCAAATCTAGACAGAAGCATTCTCGGAAACGTCTTTGTGATGTTTGCATTCAACTCATAGAGTTGAACATTCCGTTTCAGAGAGCAGCTTTGAAGCACTCTTTTTGTAGTATGTGCAAGTGGATATTTGGAGCGCTGTGAGGCCTACGGTGAAAAAGCAAATATCTTCCCATAACCACTAGACAGAAACATTCTCAGAAACTCCTTTATGACGTATGCACTCACCTAACAGAGAAGAACCTTCCTTTTGACAGAGCAGTTTTGATACACTCTTTTTGTAGAATCTGAAAGTGGATATTTGGATAGCTGTGAAGAGTTCGTTGGAAACGGGAATATCTTCCTATAAAATCTAGACAGAAGCATTCTCAGAAACTGCTCTGTGATGTCTGCATTCAAGTCACAGAGTTGAACATTGCCTTTCATAGAGCAGGTTTGAAACGCTCTTTTTGTAGTATATGGAAGTGGACGTTTCGGACGGTTTGAGGCCCATGGTGATAAAGGGAATATCTTCCCCTACAAGCTAGAAAGCAGCATTCTGTGAAACTTGTTTGTGATGTGTGCACTCAACTAACAGAGTTGAACCTTTCTCTTTACAGAGCAGTTTTGAAACACTCTTTTTGTAGAATCTACGAGGGGATATTTGGATACATTTCAGGATTTCGCTGGAAACGGGAATATCTTCATATAAAATCTCGACAGAAGCACTCTCAGAAACTTCTTTGTGATATGTGCATTCAAGTCACAGAGTTGAATATTCCCTTTCACAGAGTAGGTTTGAAACACTCTTTTTGTAGTGTCTGGAAGTGGACATTTGGAGCGCCTTGACACCTACGGTGAAAAGGGAAATATCTTCCCATAAAAACTAGACAGAAGCAATCTCAGAATCTTCTTTGGGATATATGCACGCAGCTAACAGAGTTGAACCTTTCTATTGACAGAGCAGTTTTGAAACAGTCTTTCTGAGGAATCTGCAAGTGGATATTTGGATAGCTTGGAGGATTTCGTTGGAAACGGGATTACGTATAAAAAGTAGACAGCAGCATCCTCAGAAACTTCTTTGTGATGTGTGCATTCAAGTCACAGGGTTGAACATTCCCTTTCGTACAGCAGTTTTGAAACACTCTTTCTATAGTATCTGGAAGTGAACATTAGGACAGCTTTCACGTCTATGGTGAGAAAGGAAATATCTTCAAATAAAAACTAGACAGAAGCATTCTCATAAACTTGTTTGTGATGTGTGAACTCAGCTAACAGAGGTGGATCTTTCTTTTGATAGAGCAGTTCTGAAAAACACTTTTTGTTGAATCTGCAAGCGGACATTTGGATATATTTGAAGATTTCGTTGGAAACGGGAATATCTTCATATCAAATCTAGACAGAAGCATTCTCAGAAACGTCTTTGTGATGTTTGCATTCAACTCATAGAGTTGAACGTTCCGTTTCAGAGAGCAGCTTTGAAGCACTCTTTTTGTAGTATGTGCAAGTGGATATTTGGAGCGCTCTGAGGCCTACGGTGAAAAAGCAAATATCTTCCCATAACCACTAGACAGAAACATTCTCAGAAACTCCTTTATGACGTATGCACTCACCTAACAGAGAAGAACCTTCCTTTTGACAGAGCAGTTTTGATACACTCTTTTTGTAGAACCTGCAAGTGGATATTTGGATAGCTGTGAAGATTTCGTTGGAAACGGTAATATCTTCCTATAAAATCTAGACAGAAGCATTCTCAGAAACTGCTCTGTGATGTCTGCATTCAAGTCACAGAGTTGAACATTGCCTTTCATAGAGCAGGTTTGAAACGCTCTTTTTGTAGTATATGGAAGTGGACGTTTCGGACGGTTTGAGTCCCATGGTGATAAAGGGAATATCTTCCACCACAAGCTAGAAAGAAGCATTCTGTGAAACTTGTTTGTGATGTGTGTACTCAACTAACAGAGTTGAACCTTTCTTTTTAAAGAGCAGTTTTGAAACACTCTTTTTGTAGAATCTGCGAGGGGATATTTGGATAGATTTCAGGATTTCGTTGGAAACGGGAATATCTTCATATGAAATCTCGACAGAAGCATTCTCAGAAACTTCCTTGTGATATGTGCATTCAAGTCACAGAGTTGAATATTCCCTTTCACAGAGTAGGTTTGAAACACTCTTTTTGTAGTATCTGGAAGTGGACATTTGGAGCGCCTTGACGCCTACGGTGAAAAGGGAAGTATCTTCCCATCAAAACTAGACAGAAGCAATCTCAGAATCTTCTTTGGGATATACGCACGCAGCTAACAGAGTTGAACCTTTCTATTGACAGAGCAGTTTTGAAACAGTCTTTCTGTGGAATCTGCAAGTGGATATTTGGATAGCTTGGAGGATTTCGTTGGAAACGGGATTACGTATAAAAAGTAGACAGCAGCATCCTCAGAAACTTCTTTGTGATGTGTGCATTCAAGTCACAGAGTTGAACATTCCCTTTCGTACAGCAGCTTTGAAACACTCTTTCTGTAGTATCTGGAAGTGAACATTAGGACAGCTTTCAGGTCTGTGGTGAAAAAGGGAATATCTTCAAATAAAAACTAGACAGAAGCATTCTCATAAACTTGTTTGTGATGTGTGAACTCAGCTAACAGAGGTGGATCTTTCTTTTGATAGAGCAGTTCTGAAAAACACTTTTTGTTGAATCTGCAAGTGGACATTTGGATAGATTTGAAGATTTCGTTGGAAACGGGAATATCTTCATATCAAATCTAGACAGAAGCATTCTCAGAAACGTCTTTGCGATGTTTGCATTCAACTCATAGAGTTGAACATTCCGTTTCAGAGAGCAGCTTTGAGGCACTCTTTTTGTAGTATGTGCAAGTGGATATTTGGAGCGCTCTGAGGCTTACGGTGAAAAAGCAAATATCTTCCCATAACCACTAGTCAGAAACATTCTCAGAAACTCCTTTATGACGTATGCACTCACCTAACAGAGAAGAACCTTCCTTTTGACAGAGCAGTTTTGATACACTCTTTTTGTAGAATCTGCAAGTGGATATTTGGATAGCTGTGAAGATTTCGTTGGAATCGGGAATATCTTCCTACAAAATCTAGACAGAAGCATTCTCAGAAACTGCTCTGTGATGTCTGCATTCAAGTCATAGAGTTGAACATTGCCTTTCATAGAGCAGGTTTGAAACGCTCTTTTTGTAGTATATGGAAGTGGACGTTTCGGACGGTTTGAGGCCCATGGTGATAAAGGGAATATGTTCCCCTACAAGCTAGAAAGAAGCATTCTATGAAACTTGTTTGTGATGTGTGTACTCAACTAACAGAGTTGAACCTTTCTTTTTAAAGAGCAGTTTTGAAACACTCTTTTTGTAGAATCTGTGAGGGGATATTTGGATAGATTTGAGGATTTCGTTGGGAACGGGAATATCTTCATATAAAATCTCGACAGAAACATTCTCAGAAACCTCTTTGTGATATGTGCATTCAAGTCACAGAGTTGAATATTCCCTTTGACAGAGTAGGTTTGAAACACTCCTTTTGTAGTATCTGGAAGTGGACATTTGGAGCACCTTGACGCCTACGGTGAAAAGGGAAATATCTTCCCATAAAAACTAGACAGAAGCAATCTCAGAATCTTCTTTGGGATATATGCACGCAGCTAACAGAGTTGAACCTTTCTATTGACAGAGCAGTTTTGAAAGAGTCTTTCTGTGGAATCTGCAAGTGGATATTTGGATAGCTTGGAGGATTTCGTTGGAAACGGGATTACGTATAAAAAGTAGACAGCAGCATCCTCAGAAACTCCTTTGTGATGTGTGCATTCAAGTCACAGAGTTGAACATTCCCTTTCGTACAGCAGTTTTGAAACACTCTTTCTGTAGTATATGGAAGTGAACATTAGGACAGCTTTCAGCTCTATGGTGAGAAAGGAAATATCTTCAAATAAAAACTAGACAGAAGCATTCTCATAAACTTGTTTGTGATGTGTGAACTCAGCTAACAGAGGTGGATCTTTCTTTTGATAGAGCAGTTCTGAAAAACACTTTTTGTTGAATCTGCAAGTGGACATTTGGATAGATATGAAGATTTCGTTGGAAACGGGAATATCTTCATATCAAATCTAGACAGAAGCATTCTCAGAAACGTCTTTGTGATGTTTGCATTCAACTCATAGAGTTGAACATTCCGTTTCAGAGAGCAGCTTTGAGGCACTCTTTTTGTAGTATGTGCAAGTGGATATTTGGAGCGCTCTGAGGCCTACGGTGAAAAAGCAAATATCTTCCCATGACCACTAGACAGAAACATTCTCAGAAACTCCTTTATGACGTATGCACTCACCTAACAGAAAAGAACCTTCCTTTTGACAGAGCAGTTTTGATACACTCTTTTTGTAGAATCTGCAAGTGGATATTTGGATAGCTGTGAAGATTTCGTTGGAAACTTGAATATCTTCCTATAAAATCTAGACAGAAGCATTCTCAGTAAACTGCTCTGTGATGTCTGCATTCAAGTCACAGAGTTGAACATTGCCTTTCATGGAGCAGGTTTGAAACGCTCTTTTTGTAGTATATGGAAGTGGACTTATCGGACGGTTTGAGGCCCACGGTGATAAAGGGAATATCTTCCCCTACAAGCTAGAAAGAAGCATTCTGTGAAACTTGTTTGTGATGTGTGTACTCAACTAACAGAGTTGAACCTTTCTTTTTACAGCGCAGTTTTGAAACACTCTTTTTGTAGAATCTGCGAGGGGATATTTGGATAGATTTCAGGATTTCGTTGGAAACGGGAATATCTTCATATAAAATCTCGACAGAAGAATTCTCAGAAACTTCTTTGTGATATCTGCATTCAAGTGACAGAGTTGAATATTCCCTTTCACAGAGTAGGTTTGAAACACTCTTTTTGTAGTATCTGGAAGTGGACATTTTGAGCGCCTTGACACCTACGGTGAAAAGGGAAATATCTTCCCATAAAAACTAGACAGAAAGCAATCTCAGAATCTTCTTTGGGATATATGCACGCAGCTAACAGAGTTGAACCTTTCTATTGACAGAGCAGTTTTGTAACAGTTTTTCTGTGGAATCTGCAAGTGGATATTTGGATAGCTTGGAGGATTTCGTTGGAAACGGGTTTACGTATAAAAAGTAGACAGTAGCATCCTCAGAAACTTCTTTGTTATGTGTGCATTCAAGTCACAGAGTTGAACATTCCCTTTCGTACAGCAGTTTTGAAACACTCTTTCTGTAGTATCTGGAAGTGAACATTAGGACAGCTTTCAGCTCTATGGTGAGAAAGGAAATATCTTCAAATAAAAACTAGACAGAAGCATTCTCATAAACTTGTTTGTGATGTGTGAACTCAGCTAACAGAGGTGGATCTTTCTTTTGATAGAGCAGTTCTGAAAAACACTTTTTGTTGAATCTGCAAGTGGATATTTGGATAGATTGAAGATTTCGTTGGAAACGGGAATATCTTCATATCAAATCTAGACAGAAGCATTCTCAGAAACGTCTTTGTGATGTTTGCATTCAACTCATAGAGTTGAACATTCCCTTCCATAGAGCAGATATGAAGCACTCTTTTTGTAGCATGTGCAAGTGGACATTTGGAGCGCCCTGAGACCTACGGGGAAAAAGCAAATATCTTCCCATAACCACTAGACAGAAACATTCTCAGAAACTCCTTTATGAAGTATGCACTCACCTAACAGAGAAGAACCTTCCTTTTGACAGAGCAGTTTTGATAAACTCTTTTTGTAGAATCTGCAAGTGGATATTTGGATAGCTGTGAAGATTTCGTTGGAAACGGGAATATCTTCCTATAAAATACTAGACAGAAGCATTCTCAGAAACTGCTCTGTGATGTCTGCATTCAAGTCACAGAATTGAACATTGCCTTTCATAGAGCAGGTTTGAAACGCTCTTTTTGTACTATATGGAAGAGGACGTTTCGGACGGTTTGAGGACCATGGTGATAAAGGGAATATCTTCCCCTACAAGCTAGAAAGAAGCATTGTGTGAAACTAGTTTGGGATGTGTGTACTCAACTAACAGAGTTGAACCTTTCTTTTTACAGAGCAGTTTTGAAACACTCTTTTTGTAGAATCTGCGAGGGGATATTTGGATAGATTTCAGGATTTCGTTGGAAACGGGAATATCTTCATATAAAAGTCTCGACAGAAGCATTCTCAGAAACTTCTTTGTGATATCTGCATTCAAGTCACAGAGTTGAATATTCCCTTTCACCGAGTAGGTTTGAAACACTCTTTTTGTAGTATCTGGAAGTGGACATTTGGAGCGCCTTGACGCCTACGGTGAAAAGGGAAATATCTTCCCATAAAAACTAGACAGAAGCAATCTCAGAATCTTCTTTGTGATATATGCACGCAGCTAACAGAGTTGAACCTTTCTATTGACTGAGCAGATTTGAAACAGTCTTTCTGTGGAATCTGCAAGTGGATATTTGGATAGCTTGGAGGATTTCATTGGAAACGGGATTACGTATAAAAAGTAGACAGCAGCATCCTCAGAAACTTCTTTGTGATGTGTGCATTCAAGTCACAGAGTTGAACATTCCCTTTCGTACAGCAGTTTTGAAACACTCTTTCTGTAGTATCTGGAAGTGAACATTAGGACAGCTTTCAGGTCTATGGTGAGAAAGGAAATACCTTCCAATAAAAACTAGACAGAAGCATTCTCATAAACTTGTTTGTGATGTGTGAACTCAGCTAACAGAGGTGGATCTTTCTTTTGATAGAGCAGTTCTGAAAAACACTTTTTGTTGAATCTGCAAGTGGACATTTGGATAGAGTTGAAGATTTCGTTGGAAACGGGAATATCTTCATATCAAATCTAGACAGAAGCATTCTCAGAAACGTCTTTGTGATGTTTGCATTCAACTCATAGAGTTGAACATTCCCTTTCAGAGAGCAGCTTTGAAGTACTCTTTTTGTAGCATGTGCAAGTGGACATTTCGAGCGCCCTGAGGCCTACGGGGAAAAAGCAAATATCTTCCTATAACCACTAGACAGAAACATTCTCAGAAACTGCTTTAGGACGTATGCACTCACCTAACAGAGAAGAACCTTCCTTTTGACAGAGCAGTTTTGATACACTCTTTTTGTAGAATCTGCAAGTGGATATTTGGATAGCTGTGAAGATTTCGTTGGAAACGGGAATATCTTCCTATAAAATCTAGACAGAAGCATTCTCAGAAACTGCTCTGTGATGTCTGCATTCAAGTCACAGAGTTGAACATTGCCTTTCATAGAGCAGGTTTGAAACGCTCTTTTTGTAGTATAGGGAAGTGGATGTTTCGGACGGTTGGAGGCCCATGGTGATAAAGGGAATATCTTCCCCTACAAGCTAGAAAGAAGCATTCTGTGAAACTTGTTTGTGATGTGTGTACTCAACTAACAGAGTTGAACCTTTCTTTTTACAGAGCAGTTTTGAAACACTCTTTTTGTAGAATCTGTGAGGGGATATTTGGATAGATTTCAGGATTTCGTTGGAAACGAGAATATCTTCATATAAAATCTCGACAGAAGCATTCTCAGAAACTTCCTTGTGATATCTGCATTCAAGTCACAGAGTTGAATATTCCCTTTCACAGAGTAGGTTTCAAACACTCTTTTTATAGTATCTGGAAGTGGACATTTGGAGCGCCTTGACGCCTACGGTGAAAAGGGAAATATCTTCCCATAAAAACTAGACAGAAGCAATCTGAGAATCTTCTTTGGGATATATGCACGCAGCTAACAGAGTTGAACCTTTCTGTTGACAGAGCAGTTTTGAAACAGTCTTTCTGTGGAATCTGCAAGTGGATATTTGGATAGATTGGAGGATTTCGTTGGAAACGGGATTACGTATAAAAAGTAGACTGCAGCATCCTCAGAAACATCCTTGTGATGTGTGCATTCAAGTCACAGAGTTGAACATTCCCTTTCGTACAGCAGTTTTGAAACACTCTTTCTGTAGTATCTGGAAGTGAACTTTATGAGAGCTTTCAGGTCTATAGTGAGAAAGGATATATCTTCAAATAAAAACTAGACAGATAAGCATTCTCATAAACTTGTTTGTGATGTGTGAACTCAGCTAACAGAGGTGGATCTTTCTTTTGATAGAGCAGTTCTGAAAAACACTTTTTGTTGAATCTGCAAGTGGACATTAGGATAGATTTGAAGATTTCGTTGGAAACGGGAATATCTTCATATCAAATCTAGACAGAAGCATTCTCAGAAACGTCTTTGTGATGTTTGCATTCAACTCATAGAGTCGAACATTCCGTTTCAGAGAGCAGCTTTGAGGCACTCTTTTTGTAGTATGTGCAAGTGGATATTTGGAGCGCTCTGAGGCCTACGGTGAAAAAGCAAATATCTTCCCATAACCACTAGACAGAAACATTCTCAGAAACTCCTTTATGACGTATGCACTCACCTAACAGAGGAGAACCTTCCTTTCGACAGAACAGTTTTGATACACTCTTTTTGTAGAATCTGCAAGTGGATATTTGGATAGCTGTGAAGATTTCGTTGGAAACGGGAATATCTTCCTATAAAATCTAGACAGAAGCATTCTCAGAAACTGCTCTGTGATGTCTGCATTCAAGTCACAGAGTTGAACATTGCCTTTCATAGAGCAGGTTTGAAACGCTCTTTTTGTAGTATATGGAAGTGGACTTTTCGGACGGTTTGAGGCCCATGGTGATAAAGGGAATATCTTCCACTACAAGCTAGAAAGAAGCATTCTGTGAAACTTGTTTGTGATGTGTGTACTCAAGTAACAGAGTTGAACCTTTCTTTTTACAGAGCAGTTTTGAAACACTCTTTTTGTAGAATCTGCGAGGGGATATTTGGATAGATTTCAGGATTTCGTTGGAAAAGGTAATATCTTCATATAAAATCTCGACAGAAGCATTCTCAGAAACTTCTTTGTGATATGTGCATTCAAGTCACAGAGTTGAATATTCCCTTTCACAGAGTAGGTTTGAAACACTCTTTTTGTAGTATCTGGAAGTGGACATTTGGAGCACCTTGACACCTACGGTGAAAAGGGAAATATCTTCCCATAAAAACTAGACAGAAGCAATCTCAAAATCTTCTTTGGGATATATGCACGCAGCTAACAGAGTTGAACCTTTCTATTGACAGAGCAGTTTTGAAACAGTCTTTCTGTGGAATCTGCAAGTGGGTATTTGGATAGCTTGGAGGATTTCTTTGGAAACGGGATTACGTATAAAAAGTAGACAGCAGCATCCTCAGAAATTTCCTTGTGATGTGTGCATTCAAGTCACAGAGTTGAACATTCCCTTTCGTACAGCAGTTTTGAAACACTCTTTCTGTAGTATCTGGAAGTGAACTTTAGGAGAGCTTTCAGGTCTATAGTGAGAAAGGATATATCTTCAAATAAAAACTAGACAGAAGCATTCTCATAAACTTGTTTGTGATGTGTGAACTCAGCTAACAGAGGTGGATCTTTCTTTTGATAGAGCAGTTCTGAAAAACACTTTTTGTTGAATCTGCAAGTGGACATTTGGATAGATTTGAAGATTTCGTTGGAAAGGGGAATATCTTCATATCAAATCTAGACAGAAGCATTCTCAGAAACGTCTTTGTGATGTTTGCATTCAACTCATAGAGTTGAACATTCGGTTTCAGAGAGCAGCTTTGAGGCACTCTTTTTGTAGTATGTGCAAGTGGATATTTGGAGCGCTCTGAGGCCTACGGTGAAAAAGCAAATATCTTCCCATAACCACTAGACAGATAAACATTCTCAGAAACTCCTTTATGACGTATGCACTCACCTAACAGAAAAGAACCTTCCTTTTGACAGAGCAGTTTTGATACACTCTTTTTGTAGAATCTGCAAGTGGATATTTGGATAGCTGTGAAGGTTTCGTTGGAAACGGGAATATCTTCCTATAAAATCTAGACAGAAGCATTCTCAGAAACTGCTCTGTGATGTCTGCATTCAAGTCACAGAGTTGAACATTGCCTTTCATAGAGCCGGTTTGAAACGCTCTTTTTGTAGTATATGGAAGTGGATGTTTCGGACGGTTGGAGGCCCATGGTGATAAAGGGAATATCTTCCCCTACAAGATAGAAAGAAAGCATTGTGTGAAACTTGTTTGTGATGTGTGTACTCAACTAACAGAGTTGAACCTTTCTTTTCACAGAGCAGTTTTGAAACACTCTTTTTGTAGAATCTGCGAGGAGATATTTGGATAGATTTCAGCATTTGGTTGGAAACGGGAATATCTTCATGTAAAATCTCGACAGAAGCATTCTCAGAAACTTCTTTGTGATATCTGCATTCAAGTCACAGAGTTGAATATTGCCTTTCACATAGTAGGTTTGAAATACTCTTTTTGTAGTATCTGGAAGTGGACATTTGGAGCGCCTTGACACCTACGGTGAAAAGGGAAATATCTTCCCATAAAAACTAGACAGAAGCAATCTCAGAATTTTCTTTGGGATATATGCACGCAGCTAAAAGAGTTGAACCTTTCTATTGACAGAGCAGTTTTGAAACAGTCTTTCTGTGGAATCTGCAAGTGGATATTTGGATAGCTTGGAGGATTTCGTTGGAAACGGGATTACGTATAAAAAGTAGACAGCAGCATCCTCAGAAACTACTTTGTGATGTGTGCATTCAAGTCACAGAGTTGAACATTCCCTTTCGTACAGCAGTGTTGAAACACTCTTTCTGTAGTATCTGGAAGTGAACATTAGGACAGCTTTCAGGTCTATGGTGAGAAAGGAAATATCTTCAAATAAAAACTAGACAGAAGCATTCTCATAAACTTGTTTGTGATGTGTGAACTCAGCTAACAGACCTGGATCTTTCTTTTGATACAGCAGTTTTGAAAAACACTTTTTGTTGAATCTGCAAGTGGACATTTGGATAGATATGAAGATTTCGTTGGAAACGGGAATATCTTCATATCAAATCTAGACAGAAGCATTCTCAGAAACGTCTTTGTGATGTTTGCATTCAACTCATAGAGTTGAACATTCGGTTTCAGAGAGCAGCTTTGAAGCACTCTTTTTGTAGCATGTGCAAGTGGACATTTGGAGCGCCCTGAGGCCTACGGGGAAAAAGCAAATATCTTCCCATAACCACTAGACAGAAACATTCTCAGAAACTTCTTTATGACGTATGTACTCAACTAACCGAGAAGAACCTTCCTTTTGACAGAGCAGTTTTGATACACTCTTTTTGTAGACTCTGCAAGTGGATATTTGGATATCAGTGAAGAATTCGTTGGAAACGGGAATATCTTCCTATAAAATCTAAACAGAAGCATTCTCAGAAACTGCTCTGTGATGTCTGCATTCAAGTCACAGAGTTGAACATTGCCTTTCATAGAGCAGGTTTGAAACACTCTTTTTTTAGTATATGGAAGTGGACGTTTCGGACGGTTTGAGGCCCATGGTGATAAAGGAAATATCTTCACCTACAAGGTAGAAAGAAGCATTCTGTGAAACTTGTTTGTGATGTGTGTACTCAACTAACAGAGTTGAACCTTTCTTTTTACAGAGCAGTTTTGAAACACTCTTTTTGTAGAATCTGCGAGGGGATATTTGGATACATTTCAGGATTTCGTTGGAAAGGGGAATATCTTCATATAAAATCTCGACAGATGCATTCTCGGAAGCTTCTTTGTGATATGTGCATTCAAGTCACAAAGTTGAATATTCCCTTTCACAGAGTAGGTTTGAAACACTCTTTTTCTAGTATCTGGAAGTGGACATTTGGAGCGCCTTGATGCCTACGGTGAAAAGGGAAATATCTTCTCATAAAAAGTAGACAGAAGCAATCTGAGAATCTTCTTTGGGATATATGCACGCAGCTAACACAGTTGAACCTTTCTATTGAAAGAGCAGTTTAGAAACAGTCTTTCTGTGGAATCTGCAAGTGGATATTTGGATAGCTGTGAAGATTTCGTTGGAAACAGGAATATCTTCCTATAAAGGCTGGACAGAAGCATCCTCAGAAACTTCTTTGTGATGTGTGCATTCAAGTCACAGAGTTGAACATTCCCTTTCGTACAGCAGTTTTGAAACACTCTGTAGTATCTGGAAGTGAACATTAGGACAGCTTTCAGGTCTATGGTGAGAAAGGAAATATCTTCAAATAAAAACTAGACAGAAGCATTCTCATCAACTTGTTTGTGATGTGTGAACTCAGCTAACAGAGGTGGATCTTTCTTTTGATAGGGCAGTTCTGAAAAACACTTTTTGTTGAATCTGCAAGTGGACATTTGGATAGATTTGAAGATTTCGTTGGAAACGGGAATATCCTCATATCAAATCTAGACAGAAGCATTCTCAGAAACGTCTTTGTGATGTTAGCATTCAACTCATAGAGTTGAACATTCCCTTTCAGAGAGCAGCTTTGAAGCACTCTTTTTGTACTATGTGCAAGTGGATATTTGGAGCGCTCTGAGGCCTATGGTGAAAAAGCAAATATCTTCCCATAACCACTAGACAGAAACATTCTCAGAAACTCCTTTATGACGTATGCACTCACCTAACAGAGAAGAACCTTCCTTTTGACAGAGCAGTTTTGATACACTCTTTTTGTAGAATCTGCAAGTGGATATTTGGATAGCTGTGAAGATTTCGTTGGAAAGGGGAATATCTTCCTATAAAATTTAGACGGAAGCATTCTCAGAAACTGCTCTGTGATGTCTGCATTGAAGTCACAGGGTTGAACATTGCCTTTCATAGAGCAGGTTTGAAACGCTCTTTTTGTAGTATATGGAAGTGGACGTTTCGGACGGTTTGAGGCCCATGGTGATAAAGGGAATATCTTCCCCTACAAGCTAGAAAGAAGCATTCTGTGAAACTTGTTTTTGATGTGTGTACTCAACTAACAGAGTTGAACCTTTCTTTTTACAGAGCAGTTTTGAAACACTCTTTTTGTAGAATCTGCGAGGGGATATTTGGATACATTTCAGCATTTCGTTGGAAACGGGAATATCTTCATATAAAATCTCGACAGAAGCATTCTCAGAAACTTCTTTGTGATATGTACATTCAAGTCACAGAGTTGAATATTCCCTTTCACAGAGTAGGTTTGAAACACTCTTTTTGTAGTATCTGGAAGTGGACATTTGGAGCGCCTTGACACCTACGGTGAAAAGGGAAATATCTTCCCATAAAAACTAGACAGAAGCAATCTCAGAATCTTCTTTGGGATATATGCACGCAGCTAACAGAGTTGAACCTTTCTATTGACAGAGCAGTTTTGAAACAGTCTTTCTGTGGAATCTGCAAGTGGATATTTGGATAGAGTGGAGGATTTCGTTGGAAACGGGATTACGTATAAAAAGTAGACCGCAGCATCCTCAGAAACTTCTTTGTGATGTGTGCATTCAAGTCACAGAGTTGAACATTCCCTTTCGTACAGCAGTTTTGAAACACTCTTTCTGTAGTATCTGGAAGTGAACATTAGGACAGCTTTCAGGTCTATGGTGAGAAAGGAAGCATCTTCAAATAAAAACTAGACAGAAGCATTCTCATAAACTTGTTTGTGATGTGTGAACTCATCTAACAGAGGTGGATCTTTCTTTTGATAGAGCAGTTCTGAAAAACACTTTTTGTTGAATCTGCAAGTGGACATTTGGATAGATTTGAAGATTTCGTTGGAAACGGGAATATCTTCATATCAAATGCTAGACAGAAGCATTCTCAGAAACGTCTTTGTGATGTTTGCATTCAACTCATAGAGTTGAACATTCCGTTTCAGAGACCAGCTTTGAAGCACTCTTTTTGTAGTATGTGCACGTGGATATTTGGAGCGCTCTGAGGCCTACGGTGAAAAAGCAAATATCTTCCCATAACCACTAGACAGAAACATTCTCAGAAACTCCTTTATGACGTATGCACTCACCTAACAGAGAAGAACCTTCCTTTTGACAGAGCAGTTTTGATACACTCTTTTTGTAGAATCTGCAAGTGGATATTTTGATAGCTGTGAAGATTTCGTTGGAAACGGGAATATCTTCCTATAAAATCTAGACAGAAGCATTCTCAGAAACTGCTCTGTGATGTCTGCATTCAAGTCACAGAGTTGAACATTGCCTTTCATAGAGCAGGTTTGAAACGCTCTTTTTGTAGTATATGGAAGTGGATGTTTCGGACGGTTTGAGGCCCACGGTGATAAAGGGAATATCTTCCCCTACAAGCTAGAAAGAAGCATTCTGTGAATCTTGTTTGTGATGTGTGTACTCAACTAACAGGGTTGAACCTTTCTTTTTACAGAGCAGTTTTGAAACACTCTTTTTGTAGAATCTGCGAGGGGATATTTGGATAGATTTCAGGATTTCGTTGGAAACGGGAATATCTTCATATAAAATCTCGACAGAAGCATTCTCAGAAACTTCCTTGTGATATGTGCATTCAAGTCACAGAGTTGAATATTCCCTTTCACAGAGTAGGTTTGAAACACTCTTTTTGTAGTATCTGGAAGTGGACATTTGGAGCGCCTTGACGCCTACAGTGAAAAGGGAAATATCTTCCCATAAAAACTAGACAGAAGCTATCTCAGAATCTTCTTTGGGATATATGCACGCAGCTAACAGAGTTGAACCTTTCTATTGACAGAGCAGTTTTGAAACAGTCTTTCTGTGGAATCTGCAAGTGGATATTTGGATAGCTTGGAGGATTTCGTTGGAAACGGGATTACGTATAAAAAGTAGACAGCAGCATCCTCAGAAACTTCTTTGTGATGTGTGCATTCAAGTCACAGAGTTGAACATCACCTTTCGTACAGCAGTTTTGAAACACTCTTTCTGTAGTATCTGGAAGTGAACATTAGGATAGCTTTCAGGTCTATGGTGAGAAAGGAAATATCTTCAAATAAAAACTAGACAGAAGCATTCTCATAAACTTGTTTGTGAGGTGTGAACTCAGCTAACAGAGGTGGATCTTACTTTTGATAGAGCAGTTCTGAAAAACACTTTTTGTTGAATCTGCAAGTGGACATTTGGATAGATTTGAAGATTTCGTTGGAAACGGGAATATCTTCATATCAAATCTAGACAGAAGCATTCTCAGAAACGTCTTTGTGATGTTTGCATTCAACTCATAGAGTTGAACATTCCGTTTCAGAGAGCTGCTTTGAAGCACTCTTTTTGTAGCATGTGCAAGTGGATATTTGGAGCGCTCTGAGGCCTACGGTGAAAAAGCAAATATCTTCCCATAACCACTAGACAGAAACATTCTCAGAAACTTCTTTATGACGTATGTACTCAACTAGCAGAGAAGAACTTTCCTTTTGACAGAGCATTTTTGATACACTCTTTTTGCAGTATCTGCAAGTGTATATTTGGATAGCTGTGAAGATTTCTTTGGAAACGGGAATATCTTCCTATAAAGTCTGGACAGAAGCATTCTCAGAAACTGCTCTGTGATGTCTGCATTCAAGTCACAGAGTTGAACATTGCCTTTCATAGAGCAGGTTTGAAATGCTCTTTTTGTAGTATATGGAAGTGGACGTTTCAGACGGTTTGAGGCCCATGGTGATAAAGGGAATATCTTCCCCTTCAAGCTAGAAAGAAGCATTCTGTGAAACTTGTTTGTGATGTTTGTACTCAACTAACAGAGTTGAACCTTTCTTTTTACAGAGCAGTTTTGAAACACTCTTTTTGTAGAATCTGCGAGGGGATATTTGGATACATTTCAGGATTTCGTTGGAAACGGGAATATCTTCATAGAAAATCTCGACAAAAGCATTCTCAGAAACTTCCTTGTGATATGTGCATTCAAGTCACAGAGTTGAATATTCCCTTTCATAGAGTAGGTTTGAAACACTCTTTTTGTAGTATCTGGAAGTGGACATTTGGAGCGCCTTGACGCCTACGGTGAAAAGGGAAATATCTTCCCATAAAAACTAGACAGAAGCAATCTCAGAATCTGCTTTGGGATATATGCACGCAGCTAACAGAGTTGAACCTTTCTATTGACAGAGCAGTTTTGAAACAGTCTTTCTGTGGAATCTGCAAGTGGATATTTGGATAGCTTGGAGGATTTCGTTGGAAACGGGATTAAGTATAAAAAGTAGACAGCTGCATCCTCAGAAACTTCTTTGTGATGTGTGCATTCAAGTCACAGAGTTGAACATTCCCTTTCGTACAGCAGTTTTGAAACACTCTTTCTGTAGTATCTGGAAGTGAACATTAGGACAGCTTTCAGCTCTATGGTGAGAAAGGAAATATCTTCAAATAAAAACTAGACAGAAGCATTCTCATAAACTTGTTCGTGATGTGTGAACTCAGCTAACACACGTCGATCTTTCTTTTGATAGAGCAGTTCTGAAAAACACTTTTTGTTGAATCTGCAAGAGGACATTTGGATAGATTTGAAGATTTCGTTGGAAACGGGAATATCTTCATATCAAATCTAGACAGAAGCTTTCTCAGAAACGTCTTTGTGATGTTTGCATTCAACTCATAGAGTTGAACATTCCGTTTCAGAGAACAGCTTTGAGGCACTCTTTTTGTAGTATGTGCAAGTGGATATTTGGAGCGCTCTGAGGCCTACGGTGAAAAAGCAAATATCTTCCCATAACCACTAGACAGAAACTTTCTCAGAAACTCCTTTATGACGGTATGCACTCACCTAACAGAGAAGAACCTTCCTTTTGACAGAGCAGTTTTGATACACTCTTTTTGTAGAATCTGCAAGTGGATATTTGGATACCTGTGAAGATTTCGTTGGAAACGGGAATATCTTCCTATAAAATCTAGACAGAAGCATTCTCAGCAAACTGCTCTGTGATGTCTGCATTCAAGTCACAGAGTTGAACATTGCCTTTCATAGAGCAGGTTTGAAACGCTCTTTTTGTAGTATATGGAAGTGGACTTATCGGACGGTTTGAGGCCCATGGTGATAAAGGGAATATCTTCCCCTACAAGCTAGAAAGAAGCATTCTGTGAAACTTGTTTGTGATGTGTGTACTCAACTAACAGAGTTGAACCTTTCTTTTTACAGAGCAGTTTTGAAACACTCTTTTTGTAGAATCTGCGAGGGGATATTTGAATAGATTTCAGGATTTCGTTGGAAACGGGAATATCTTCATATAAAATCTCGACAGAAGCATTCTCAGAAACTTCTTTGTGATATGTGCATTGAATTCACAGAGTTGAATATTCCCTTTCACAGAGTAGGTTTGAAACACTCTTTTTGTAGTATCTGGAAGTGGACATTTGGAGCGCCTTGACACCTACGGTGAAAAGGGAAATATCTTCCCATAAAAACTAGACAGAAGCAATCTCAGAATCTTCTTTGGGATATATGCACGCAGCTAACAGAGTTGAACCTTTCTATTGACAGAGCAGTTTTGAAACAGTCTTTCTGTGGAATCTGCAAGTGGATATTTGGATAGCATGGAGGATTTCGTTGGAAACGGGATTACGTATAAAAGTAGACAGCAGCATCCTCAGAAACATCCTTGTGATGTGTGCATTCAAGTCACAGAGTTGAACATTCCCTTTCGTACAGCAGTTTTGAAACACTCTTTCTGTAGTATCTGGAAGTGAACATTAGGACAGCTTTCAGGTCTATGGTGAGAAAGGAAATATCTTCTAATAAAAACAAGACAGAAGCATTCTCATAAACTTGTTTGTTATGTGTGAACTCAGCTAACACACGTGGATCTTTCTTTTGATAGAGCAGTTCTGAAAAACAATTTTTGTTGAATCTGCAAGTGGACATTTGGGTAGATTTGAAGATTTCGTTGGAAACGAGAATATCTTCATATCAAATCTAGACAGAAGCATTCTCGGAAACGTCTTTGCGATGTTTGCATTCAACTCATAGTGTTGAACATTCCGTTTCAGAGAGCAGCTTTGAGGCACTCATTTTGTAGTATGTGCAAGTGGATATTTGGAGCGCTCTGAGGCCTTCGGTGAAAAAGCAAATATCTTCCCATAACCACTAGACAGAAACATTCTCAGAAACTCCTTTATGACGTATGCACTCACCTAACAGAGAAGAACCTTCCTTTTGACAGAGCAGTTTTCATACACTCTTTTGGTAGAATCTGCAAGTGGATATTTGGATAGCTGTGAAGATTTCGTTGGAAACGGGAATATCTTCCTATAAAATCTAGACAGAAGCATTCTCAGAAACTGCTCTGTGATGTCTGCATTCAAGTCACAGTAGTTGAACATTGCCTTTCATAGAGCAGGTTTGAAACGCTCTTTTTGTAGTATATGGAAGTGGACTTATCGGACGGTTTGAGGCCCATGGTGATAAAGGGAATATCTTCCCCTACAAGCTAGAAAGAAGCATTGTGTGAAACTTGTTTGTGATGTGTGTACTCAACTAACAGAGTTGAACCTTTCTTTTTACAGAGCAGTTTTGAAACACTCTTTTTGTAGAATCTGCAAGGGGATATTTGGATACATTTCAGGATTTCGTTGGAAACGGGAATATCTTCATATAAAATCTCGACAGAAGCATTCTCAGAAACTTCCTTGAGATATGTGCATTCAAGTCACAGAGTTGAATATTCCCTTTCACAGAGTAGGTTTGAAACACTCTTTTTGTAGTATCTGGAAGTGGACATTTGGAGCGCCTTGACGCCTACGGTGAAAAGGGAAATATCTTCCCATAAAAACTAGACAGAAGCAATCTCAGAATCTTCTTTGGGATATATGCACGCAGCTAACAGAGTTGAACCTTTCTATTGACAGAGCAGTTTTGAAACAGTCTTTCTGTGGAATCTGCAAGTGGATATTTGGATAGCCTGGAGGATTTCGTTGGAAACGGGATTACGTATAAAAAGTAGACAGCAGCATCCTCAGAAACTTCTTTGTGATGTGTGCATTCAAGTCACATAGTTGAACATTCCCTTTCGTACAGCAGTTTTGAAACACTCTTTCTGTAGTATCTGGAAGTGAACATTAGGACAGCTTTCAGGTCTATGGTGAGAAAGGAAATATCTTCAAATAAAAACTAGACAGACAAGCATTCTCATAAACTTGTTTGTTATGTGTGAACTCAGCTAACACACGTGGATCTTTCTTTTGATAGAGCAGTTCTGAAAAACAATTTTTGTTGAATCTGCAAGTGGACATTTGGATAGATTTGAAGATTTCGTTGGAAACGGGAATATCTTCATATCAAATCTAGACAGACGCATTCTCAGAAACGTCTTTGTGATGTTTGCATTCAACTCATAGAGTTGAACATTCCGTTTCAGAGAGCAGCTTTGAAGCACTCTTTTTGTAGTATGTGCAAGTGGATATTTGGTGCGCTCTGAGGCCTACGGTGAAAAAGCAAATATCTTCCCATAACCACTAGACAGAAACATTCTCAGAAACTCCTTTATGACGTATGCACTCACCTAACAGAAAATAACCTTCCTTTTGACAGAGCAGTTTAGATACACTCTTTTTGTAGAATCTGCAAGTGGATATTTGGATAGCTGTGAAGATTTCGTTGGAAACGGGAATATCTTCCTATAAAATCTAGACAGAAGCATTCTCAGAAACTGCTCTGTGATGTCTGCATTCAAGTCACAGAGTTGAACATTGCCTTTCATAGAGCAGGTTTGAAACGCTCCTTTTCTATTATATGGAAGTGGATGTTTCGGACGGTTGGAGGCCCATGGTGATAAAGGGAATATCTTCCCCTACAAGCTAGAAAGAAGCATTCTGTGAAACTTGTTTGTGATGTGTGTACTCAACTAACAGAGTTGAACCTTTCTTTTTACAGAGCAGTTTTGAAACACTCTTTTTGTAGAATCTGCGAGGGGATATTTGGATAGATTTCAGGATTTCGTTGGAAACTGGAATATCTTCATATAAAATTTCGACAGAAGCATTCTCAGAAACTTCTTTGTGATATCTGCATTCAAGTAACAGAGTTGAATATTCCCTTTCACAGAGTAGGTTTGAAACACTCTTTTTGTAGTATCTGGAAGTGGACATTTGGAGCGCCTTGACGCCTACGGTGAAAAGGGAAATATCTTCCCATAAAAACTAGACAGAATCAATCTCAGAATCTTCTTTGGGATATATGCACGCAGCTAACAGAGTTGAACCTTTCTATTGACAGAGCAGTTTTGAAACAGTCTTTCTGTGGAATCTGCAAGTGGATATTTGGATAGCCTGGAGGATTTCGTTGGAAACGGGATTACGTATAAAAAGTAGACAGCAGCATCCTCAGAAACTTCTTTGTGATGTGTGCATTCAAGTCACAGAGTTGAACATTCCCTTTCGTACAGCAGCTTTGAAACACTCTTTCTGTAGTATCTGGAAGTGAACATTAGGACAGCTTTCAGGTCTATGGTGAGAAAGGAAATATCTTCAAATAAAAACTAGACAGAAGCATTCTCATAAACTTGTTTGTGATGTGTGAACTCAGCTAACAGAGGTGGATCTTTCTTTTGATAGAGCAGTTCTGAAAAACACTTTTTGTTGAAACTGCAAGTGGACATTTGGATAGATTTGAAGATTTCGTTGGAAACGGGAATATCTTCATATCAAATCTAGACAGAAGCATTCTCAGAAACGTCTTTGTGATGTTTGCATTCAACTCATAGAGTTGAACATTCCCTTTCAGAGAGCAGCTTTGAAGCACTCTTTTTGTAGCATTTGCAAGTGGACATTTGGAGCGCCCTGAGGCCTACGGGGAAAAAGCAAATATCTTCCCATAACCACTAGACAGAAACATTCTCAGAAACTCCTTTGTGACGTATGCACTCACCTAACAGAGAAGAACCTTCCTTTTGACAGAGCAGTTTTGATACACTCTTTTTGTAGAATCTGCAAGTGGATATTTGGATAGCTGTGAAGATTTCGTTGGAAACGGGAATATCTTCCTATAAAATCTAGACAGAAGCATTCTCAGAAACTGCTCTGTGATGTCTGCATTCAAGTCACAGAGTTGAACATTGCCTTTCATAGAGCAGGTTTGAAACCCTCTTTTTGTAGTATATGGA
Source organism: Homo sapiens (assembly GCF_000001405.40). NCBI lineage: Eukaryota > Metazoa > Chordata > Mammalia > Primates > Hominidae > Homo > Homo sapiens. The sequence continues at coordinate 16,410,218 of NC_000013.11, forward strand.
AGTGGACGTTTCGGACGGTCTGAGGCCCATGGTGATAAAGGGAATATCTTCCCCTACAAGCTAGAAAGAAGCATTCTGTGAAACTTGTTTGTGATGTGTGTACTCAACTAACAAAGTTGAACCTTTCTTTTTACAGAGCAGTTTTGAAACACTCTTTTTGTAGAATCTGCGAGGGGATATTTGGATACATTTCAGGATTTCGTTGGAAACGGGAATATCTTCATATAAAATCTCGACAGAAGCATTCTCAGAAACTTCTTTGTGATATGTGCATTCAAGTCACAGAGTTGAATATTCCCTTTCACAGAGTAGGTTTGAAACACTCTTTTTGTAGTATCTGGAAGTGGACATTTAGAGCGCCTTGACACCTACGGTGAAAAGGGAAATATCTTCCCATAAAAACTAGACAGAAGCAATCTCAGAATCTTCTTTGGGATATATGCACGCAGCTAACAGAGTTGAACCTTTCTATTGAGAGAGCACTTTTGAAACAGTCTTTCTGTGGAATCTGCAAGTGGATATTTGGATAGCTTGGAGGATTTCGTTGGAAACGGGATTACGTATAAAAAGTAGACAGCAGCATCCTCAGAAACTTCTTTGTGATGTGTGCATTCAAGTCACAGAGTTGAACTTTCCCTTTCGTACAGCAGTTTTGAAACACTCTTTCTGTAGTATCTGGAAGTGAACACTAGGACAGCTTTCAGGTCTATGGTGAGAAAGGAAATATCTTCAAATAAAAACTAGACAGAAACATTCTCATAAACCTGTTTGTGATGTGTGAACTCAGCTAACAGACGTGGATCTTTCTTTTGATACAGCAGTTTTGAAAAACACTTTTTGTTGAATCTGCAAGTGGACATTTGGATAGATTTGAAGATTTCGTTGGAAACGGGAATATCTTCATATCAAATCTAGACAGATAAGCATTGTCAGAAACGTCTTTGTGATGTTTGCATTCAACTCATAGAGTTGAACATTCCGTTTCAGAGAGCAGCTTTGAAGCACTCTTTTTGTAGTATGTGCAAGTGGATATTTGGAGCGCTCTGAGGCCTAAGGTGAAAAAGCAAATATCTTCCCATAACCACTAGACAGAAACATTCTCAGAAACTCCTTTATGACGTATGCACTCACCTAACAGAAAAGAACCTTCCTTTTGACAGAGCAGTTTTGATACACTCTTTTTGTAGAATCTGCAAGTGGATATTTGGATAGCTGTGAAGATTTCTTTGGAAACCGGAATATCTTCCTATAAAATCTAGACAGAAGCATTCTCAGAAACTGCTCTGTGATGTCTGCATTCAAGTCACAGAGTTGAACATTGCCTTTCATAGAGCAGGTTTGAAACGCTCTTTTTGTAGTATATGGAAGTGGACTTATTGGACGGTTGGAGGCCCATGGTGATAAAGGGAATATCTTCCCCTACAAGCTAGAAAGAAGCATTCTGTGAAACTTGTTTGTGATGTGTGTACTCAACTAACAGAGTTGAACCTTTCTTTTTACAGAGCAGTTTTGAAACACTCTTTTTGTAGAATCTGCGAGGGGATATTTGGATAGATTTCAGGATTTCGTTGGAAACGGGAATATCTTCATATAAAATATCGACAGAAGCATTCTCAGAAACTTCTTTGTGATATCTGCATTCAAGTCACAGAGTTGAATATTCCCTTTCACAGAGAAGGTTTGAAGCACTCTTTTTGTAATATCTGGAAGTGGACATTTGGAGCGCCTTGACGCCTACGGTGAAAAGGGAAATATCTTCCCATAAAAACTAGACAGAAGCAATCTCAGAATCTTCTTTGGGATATATGTACGCAGCTAATAGAGTTGAACCTTTCTATTGACAGAGCAGTTTTGAAACAGTCTTTCTGTGGAATCTGCAAGTGGATATTTGGATAGCTTGGAGGATTTCGTTGGAAACGGGATTATGTATAAAAAGTAGACAGCAGCATCCTCAGAAACTTCTTTGTGATGTGTTCATTCAAGTCACAGAGTTGAACATTCCCTTTCGTACAGCAGTTTTGAAACACTCTTTCTGTAGTATCTGGAAGTGAACATTAGGACAGCTTTCAGGTCTATGGTGAGAAAGGCAATATCTTCAAATAAAAACTAGACAGAAGGTTTCTCATAAACCTGTTTGTGATGTGTGAACTCAGCTAACAGACGTGGATCTTTCTTTTGATACAGCAGTTTTGAAAAACACTTTTTGTTGAATCTGCAAGAGGACATTTGGATAGATTTGAAGATTTCGTTGGAAACGGGAATATCTTCCTATCAAATCTAGACAGAAGCATTCTCAGAAACGTCTTTGTCATGTTTGCATTCAACTCATAGAGTTGAACATTCCCTTTCAGAGAGCAGCTTTGGAACACTCTTTTTGTAGTATGTGCAAGTGGATATTTGGAGCGCTCTGAGGCCTACGGTGAAAAAGCAAATATCTTCCCATAACCACTAGACAGAAACATTCTCAGAAACTCCTTTATGACGTATGCACTCACCTAACAGAGAAGAACCTTCCTTTTGACAGAGCAGTTTTGATACACTCTTTTTGTAGAATCTGCAAGTGGATCTTTGGATAGCTGTGAAGATTTCGTTGGAATCGGGAATATCTTCCTACAAAATCTAGACAGAAGCATTCTCAGAAACTGCTCTGTGATGTCTGCATTCAAGTCACAGAGTTGAACATTGCCTTTCATAGAGCAGGTTTGAAACGCTCTTTTTGTAGTATATGGAAGTGGACGTTTCGGACGGTTTGAGGCCCATGGTGATAAAGGGAATATCTTACCCTACAAGCTAGAAAGAGAGCATTCTGTGAAACTTGTTTGTGATGTGTGTACTCAACTAACAGAGTTGAACCTTTCTTTTTACAGAGCAGTTTTGAAACACTCTTTTTGTAGAATCTGCGAGGGGATATTTGGATAGATTTCAGGATTTCGTTGGAAACGGGAATATCTTTATATAAAATCTCGACAGAGCATTCTCAGAAACTTCTTTGTGATATCTGCATTCCAGTCACAGAGTTGAATATTCCCTTTCACAGAGTAGGTTTGAAACACTCTTTTTATAGTATCTGGAATTGGACATTTGGAGCGCCTTGACGCCTACGGTGAAAAGGGAAATATCTTCCCATAAAAACTAGACAGAAGCAATCTCAGAATCTTCTTTGGGATATACGCACGCAGCTAACAGAGTTGAACCTTTCTATTGACAGAGCAGTTTTGAAACAGTCTTTCTGTGGAATCTGCAAGTGGATATTTGGATAGATTGGAGGATTTCGTTGGAAACGGGATTACGTATAAAAAGTAGACAGCAGCATCCTCAGAAACTACTTTGTGATGTGTGCATTCAAGTCACAGAGTTGAAAATTCCCTTTCGTACAGCAGTTTTGAAACACTCTTTCTGTAGTATCTGGAAGTGAACTTTAGGACAGCTTTCAGGTCTATAGTGAGAAAGGATATATCTTCAAATAAAAACTAGACAGAAGCATTCTCATAAACGTGTTTGTGATGTGTGTACTCAGCTAACAGACGTGGATCTTTCTTTTGATACAGCAGTTTTGAAAAACACTTTTTGTTGAATCTGCAAGTGGACATTTGGATAGATATGAAGATTTCGTTGGAAACGGGAATATCTTCATATCAAATCTAGACAGAAGCATTCTCAGAAACGTCTTTGCGATGTTTGCATTCAACTCATAGAGTTGAACATTCCGTTTCAGAGAGCAGCTTTGAAGCACTCTTTTTGTAGTATGTGCAAGTGGATATTTGGAGGGCTCTGAGGCCTACGGTGAAAAAGCAAATATCTTCCCATAACCACTAGACAGAAACATTCTCAGAAACTCCTTTATGACGTGTGCACTTACCTAACAGAGAAGAACCTTCCTTTTGACAGAGCAGTTTTGATACACTCTTTTTGTAGAATCTGCAAGTGGATATTTGGATAGCTGTGAAGATTTCGTTGGAAACGGGAATATCTTCCTATAAAATCTAGACAGAAGCATTCTCAGAAACTGCTCTGTGATGTCTGCATTCAAGTCACAGAGTTGAACATTGCCTTTCCTAGAGCAGGTTTGAAACGCTCTTTTTGTAGTATATGGAAGTGGACTTATCGGACGGATTGAGGCCCATGGTGATAAAGGGAATATCTTCCCCTACAAGCTAGAAAGAAGCATTGTGTGAAACTTGTTTGTGATGTGTGTACTCAACTAACAGAGTTGAACCTTTCTTTTTACAGAGCAGTTTTAAAACACTCTTTTTGTAGAATCTGCGAGGGGATATTTGGATAGATTTCAGGATTTCGTTGGAAACGGGAACATCTTCATAGAAAATCTCGACAGAAGCATTCTCAGAAGCTTCTTTGTGATATGTGCATTCAAGTCACAGAGTTGAATATTCCCTTTCACAGAGTAGGTTTGAAACACTCTTTTTGTAGTATCTGAAGTGGACATTTGGAGCGCCTTGACGCCTACGGTGAAAAGGGAAATATCTTCTCATAAAAAGTAGACAGAAGCAATCTCAGAATCTTCCTTGGGATATATGTACGCAGCTAACAGAGTTGAAACTTGCTATTGACAGAGCAGTTTTGAAACAGTCTTTCTGTGGAATCTGCAAGTGGATATTTGGATAGCTTGGAGGATTTCGTTGGAAACGGGATTACGTATAAAAAGTAGACAGCAGCATCCTCAGAAACTTCTTTGTGATGTGTTCATTCAAGTCACAGAGTTGAACATTCCCTTTCGTACAGCAGTTTTGAAACACTCTTTCTGTAGTATCTGGAAGTGAACATTAGGACAGCTTTCAGGTCTATGGTGAGAAAGGAAATATCTTCAAATAAAAACTAGACAGAAGCATTCTCATAAACTTGTTTGTGATGTGTGAACTCAGCTAACAGAGGTGGATCTTTCTTTTGATAGAGCAGTTCTGAAAAACACTTTTTGTTGAATCTGCAAGTGGACATTTGGATAGATTTGAAGATTTCGTTGGAAACGGGAATATCTTCATATCAAATCCAGACAGAAGCATTCTCAGAAACGTCTTTGAGATGTTTGCATTCAACTCATAGAGTTGAACATTCCCTTTCAGAGAGCAGCTTTGAAGCACTCTTTTTGTAGTATGTGGAAGTGGATATTTGGAGCAGCTCTGAGGCCTACGGTGAAAAATCAAATATCTTCCCATAACCACTAGACAGAAGCATTCTGTGAAACTTGTTTGTGATGTGTGTACTCAACTAACAGAGTTGAACCTTTCTTTTTACAGAGCAGTTTTGAAACACTCTTTTTGTAGAATCTGCGAGGGGTTATTTGGATAGATTTCAGGATTTCGTTGGAAACGGGAATATCTTCCTATAAAATCTAGACAGAAGCATTCTCAGAAACTGCTCTGTGATGTCTGCATTCAAGTCACAGAGTTGAACATTGCCTTTCATAGAGCAGGTTTGACACGCTCTTTTTGTAGTATATGGAAGTGGACGTTTCGGACGGTTTGAGGCCCATGGTGATAAAGGGAATATGCTTCCCCTACTAGCTAGAAAGAAGCATTGTGTGAAACTTGTTTGTGATGTGTGTACTCAACTAACAGAGTTGAACCTTTCTTTTTACAGAGCAGTTTTGATACACTCTTTTTGTAGAATCTGCGAGGGGATATTTGGATAGATTTCAGGATTTCGTTGGAAACGGGAATATCTTCATATAAAATCTCGACAGAAGCATTCTCAGAAACTTCTTTGTGATATGTGCATTCAAGTCACAGAGTTGAATATTCGCTTTCACAGAGTAGGTTTGAAACACTCTTTTTGTAGTATCTGGAAGTGGACATTTGGAGCGCCTTGACACCTACGGTGAAAAGGAAAATATCTTCCCATAAAAACTAGACAGAAAGCAATCTCAGAATCTTCTTTGGGATATATGCACGCAGCTAACAGAGTTGAACCTTTCTATTGACAGAGCAGTTTTGAAACAGTCTTTCTGTGGAATCTGCAAGTGGATATTTGGAAAGCTTGGAGGATTTCGTTGGAAACGGGATTAAGTATAAAAAGTAGACAGCAGCATCCTCAGAAACTTCTTTGTGATGTGTGCATTCAAGTCACAGAGTTGAACATTCCCTTTCGTACAGCAGTTTTGAAACACTCTTTCTGTAGTATCTGGAAGTGAACATTAGTACAGCTTTCAGGTCTATGGTGAGAAAGGCAATATCTTCAAATAAAAACTAGACAGAAGCATTCTCAAAAACTTGTTTGGGAAGTGTGAACTCAGGTAACAGAGGTGGATCTTTATTTTGATAGAGCAGTTCTGAAAAACACTTTTTGTTGAATCTGCAAGTGGACATTTGGATAGATTTGAAGATTTCGTTGGAAACGGGAATATCTTCATATCAAATCTAGACAGAAGCATTCTCAGAAACGTCTTTGTGATGTTTGCATGCAACTCATAGAGTTGAACATTCCGTTTCAGAGAGCAGCTTTGAAGCACTCTTTTTGTAGTATGCGCAAGTGGATATTTGGAGCGCTCTGAGGCCTACGGTGAAAAAGCAAATATCTTCCCATAACCACTAGACAGAAACATTCTCAGAAACTTCTTTATGACGTATGTACTGAACTAGCAGAGAAGAACTGTCCTCTTGACAGAGCATTTTTGATACACTCTTTTTGTAGTATCAGCAAGTGGATATTTGGATAGATGTGAAGATTTCGTTGGAATCGGGAATATCTTCCTATAAAGTCCGGACAGAAGCATTCTCAGAAACTGCTCTGTGATGTCTGTATTCAAGTCACAGAGTTGAACATTGCCTTTCATAGAGCAGGTTTGAAATGCTCTTTTTGCAGTATATGGAAGTGGACGTTTCAGACGGTTTGAGGCCCATGGTGATAAAGGGAATATCTTCCCCTACAAGCTAGAAAGAAGCATTCTGTGAAACTTGTTGGTGATGTGTGTACTCAACTAACAGAGTTGAACCTTTCTTTTTACAGAGCAGTTTTGAAACACTCTTTTTGTAGAATCTGCGAGGGGATATTTGGATAGATTTCAGGATTTCGTTGGAAACGGGAATATCTTCATATAAAATCTCGACAGAAGCATTCTCAGAAACTTCCTTGTGATATGTGCATTCAAGTCACAGAGTTGAATATTCCCTTTCACAGAGTAGGTTTGAAACACTCTTTTTGTAGTATCTGGAAGTGGACATTTGGAGCGCCTTGACGCCCACGGTGAAAAGGGAAATATCTTCCCATAAAAACTAGACAAAAGCAATCTCAGAATCTTCTTTGGGATATATGCACGCAGCTAACAGAGTTGAACCTTTCTATTGACAGAGCAGTTTTGAAACAGTCTTTCTGAGGAATCTGCAAGTGGATATTTGGATAGCTTGGAGGATTTCGTTGGAAACGGTATTATGTATAAAAAGTAGACAGCAGCATCCTCAGAAACTTCTTTGTGATGTGTGCATTCAAGTAACAGAGTTGAACATTCCCTTTCGTACAGCAGTTTTGAAACACTCTTTCTGTAGTATCTGGAAGTGAACATTAGGACAGCTTTCAGCTCTATGGTGAGAAAGGAAATATCTTCAAATAAAAACTAGACAGAAGCATTCTCATAAACTTGTTTGTGATGTCTGAACTCAGCTAACAGAGGTGGATCTTTCTTTTGATAGAGCAGTTCTGAAAAACACTTTTTGTTGAATCTGCAAGTGGACATTTGGATAGATTTGAAGATTTCGTTGGAAACGGGAATATCTTCATATCAAATCTACACAGAAGCATTCTCAGAAACGTCTTTGTGATGTTTGCATTCAACTCATAGAGTTGAACATTCCGTTTCAGAGACCAGCTTTGAAGCACTCTTTTTGTAGGATGTGCAAGTGGATATTTGGAGCGCTCTGAGGCCTACGGTGTAAAAGCAAATATCTTCCCATAACCACTAGACAGAAACATTCTCAGAAACTCCTTTATGACGTATGCACTCACCTAACAGAGAAGAACCTTCCTTTTGACAGAGCAGTTTTGATACACACTTTTTGTAGAATCTGCAAGTGGATATTTGGATAGCTGTGAAGATTTCGTTGGAAACGGAAATATCTTCCTATAAAATCTAGACAGAAGCATTCTCAGCAAACTGCTCTGTGATGTCTGCATTCAAGTCACAGAGTTGAACATTGCTTTTCCTAGAGCAGGTTTGAAACGCTCTTTTTGTAGTATATGGAAGTGGACGTTTCGGACGGTTTGAGGCCCATGGTGATAAAGGGAATATCTTCCCCTACAAGCTAGAAAGAAGCATTCTGTGAAACTTGTTTGTGATGTGTGTACTCAACTAACAGAGTTGAACCTTTCTTTTACAGAGCAGTTTTGAAACACTCTTTTTGTAGAATCTGCGAGGGGATATTTGGATAGATTTCAAGATTTCGTTGGGAACGGGAATATCTTCATATAAAATCTCGACAGAAGCATTCTCAGAAACTTCTTTGTGATATCTGCATTCAAGTCACAGAGTTGAATATTCCCTTTCACAGAGAAGGTTTGAAACACTCTTTTTGTAGTATCTGGAAGTGGACATTTGGAGCGCCTTGACGCCTACGGTGGAAAGGGAAATATCTTCCCATAAAAACTAGACAGAAAGCATCTCAGAATCTTCTTTGGGATATATGCACGCAGCTAACAGAGTTGAACCTTTCTATTGACAGAGCAGTTTTGAAACAGTCTTTCTGTGGAATCTGCAAGTGGATATTTGGATAGCTTGGAGGATTTCGTTGGAAACGGGATTACGTATAAAAAGTAGACAGAGCATCCTCAGAAACTTCTTTGTGATGTGTGCATTCAAGTCACAGAGTTGAGCATTCCCTTTCGTACAGCAGTTTTGAAACACTCTTTCTGTAGTATCTGGAAGTGAACATTAGGACAGCTTTCATCTCTATGGTGAGAAAGGAAATATCTTCAAATAAAAACTAGACAGAAAGCATTCTCATAAACTTGTTTGTGATGTGTGAACTCAGCTAACACACGTGGATCTTTCTTTTGATACAGCAGTTTTGAAAAACACTTTTTGTTGAATCTGCAAGTGGACATTTGGATAGATATGAAGATTTCGTTGGAAACGGGAATATCTTCATATCAAATCTAGACAGAAGCATTCTCAGAAACGTCTTTGTGATGTTTGCATTCAACTCATAGAGTTGAACATTCCGTTTCAGAGAGCAGCTTTGAAGCACTCTTTTTGTAGTATGTGCAAGTGGACATTTGGAGCGCTTTGAGGCCTACGGTGAAAAAGCAAATATCTTCCCATAACCACTAGACAGAAAACATTCTCAGAAACTCCTGTATGACGTATGCACTCACCTAACAGAGAAGAACCTTCCTTTTGACAGAGCAGTTTTGATACACTCTTTTTGTAGAATCTGCAAGTGGATATTTGGATAGCTGTGAAGCTTTCGTTGGAAACGGGAATATCTCCCTATAAAATCTAGACAGAAGCATTCTCAGAAACTTCTCTGTGATGTCTGCATTCAAGTCACAGAGTTGAACATTGCCTTTCATAGAGCAGGTTTCAAACACTCTTTTTTTAGTATATGGAAGTGGACGTTTCGGACGGTTTGAGGCCCATGGTGATAAAGGAAATATCTTCCCCTACAAGCTAGAAAGAAAGCATTCTGTGAAACTTGTTTGTGATGTGTGTACTCAACTAACAGAGTTGAACCTTTCTTTTTACAGAGCAGTTTTGAAACACTCTTTTTGTAGAATCTGCGAGGGGATATTTGGATACATTTCAGGATTTCGTTGGAAAGGGGAATATCTTCATATAAAATCTCGACAGAAGCATTCTCAGAAACTTCTTTGTGATATCTGCATTCAAGTCACAGAGTTGAATATTCCCTTTCACAGAGTAGGTTTGAAACACTCTTTTTGTAGTATCTGGAAGTGGACATTTGGAGCGCCCTGACGCCTACGGTGAAAAGAGAAATATCTTCCCATAAAAACTAGACAGAAGCAATCTCAGAATCTTCTTTGGGATATATGCACGCAGCTAACAGAGTTGAACCTTTCTATTGACAGAGCAGTTTTGAAACAGTCTTTCTGTGGAATCTGCAAGTGGATATTTGGATAGCTTGGAGGATTTCGTTGGAAACGGGAATACGTATAAAAAGTAGACAGCAGCATCCTCAGAAACTTCTTTGTGATGTCTGCATTCAAGTCACAGAGTTGAACATTCCCTTTCGTACAGCAGTTTTGAAACACTCTTTCTGTAGTATCTGGAAGTGAACATTAGGAGAGCTTTCAGGTCTATGGTGAGAAAGGAAATATCTTCAAATAAAAACTAGACAGAAGCATTCTCATAAACTTGTTTGTGATGTGTGAACTCAGCTAACAGAGGTGGATCTTTCTTTTGATAGAGCAGTTCTGAAAAACACTTTTTGCTGAATCTGCAAGTGGACATTTGGATAGATTTGAAGATTTCGTTGGAAACGGGAATATCTTCATATCAAATCTAGACAGAAGCATTCTCAGAAACGGCTTTGTGATGTTTGCATTCAACTCATAGAGTTGAAAATTCCCTTTCAGAGAGCAGCTTTGAAGCACTCTTTTTGTAGTATGTGCAAGTGGATATTTGGAGCGCTCTGAGGCCTACGGTGAAAAAGCAAATATCTTCCCATAACCACTAGACAGAAACATTCTCAGAAACTCCTTTATGACGTATGCACTCACCTAACAGAAAAGAACCTTCCTTTTGACAGGGCAGTTTTGATACACTCTTTTTGTAGAATCTGCAAGTGGATATTTGGATAGCTGTGAAGATTTCGTTGGAAACGGGAATATCTTCCTATAAAATCTAGACAGAAGCATTCTCAGAAACTGCTCTGCGATGTCTGCATTCAAGTCACAGAGTTGAACATTGCCTTTCATAGAGCAGGTTTGAAACGCTCTTTTTGTAGTATATGGAAGTGGACTTATCGGACGGTTTGAGGCCCATGGTGATAAAGGGAATATCTTCCCCTACAAGCTAGAAAGAAGCATTCTGTGAAACTTGTTTGTGATGTGTGTACTCAACTAACAGAGTTGAACCTTTCTTTTTACAGAGCAGTTTTGAAACACTCTTTTTGTAGAATCTGCGAGGGGATATTTGGATACATTTCAGGATTTCGTTGGAAACGGGAATATCTTCATATAAAATCCTCGACAGAAGCATTCTCAGAAGCTTCTTTGTGATATGTGCATTCAAGTCACAGAGTTGAATATTCCCTTTCACAGAGTAGGTTTGAAACACCCTTTTTCTAGTATCTGGAAGTGGACATTTGGAGCGCCTTGACGCCTACAGTGAAAAGGGAAATATCTTCTCATAAAAAGTAGACAGAAGCAATCTCAGAATCTCCTTTGGGATATATGCACGCAGCTAACAGAGTTGAACCTTTCTATTGACAGACCAGTTTTGAAACAGTCTTTCTGTGGAATCTGCAAGTGGATATTTGGATAGCTTGGAGGATTTCGTTGGAAACGGGATTACGTATAAAAAGTAGACAGCAGCATCCTCAGAAACTTCTTTGTGATGTGTGCATTCAAGTCACAGAGTTGAACATTCCCTTTCATACATCAGTTTTGAAACACTCTTTCTGTAGTATCTGGAAGTGAATTTTAGGAGAGCTTTCATGTCTATAGTTGGAAAGGATATATCTTCAAATAAAAACTAGACAGAAGCATTCTCATAAACTTCTTTGTGATGTGTGAACTCAGCTAACCAAGGTGGATCTTTCTTTTGATAGAGCAGTTCTGAAAAACACTTTTTGTTGAATCTGCAAGTGGACATTTGGATAGATTTGAAGGTTTCGTTGGAAACGGGAATATCTTCATATCAAATCTAGACAGAAGCATTCTCAGAGACGTCTTTGTGATGTTTGCATTCAACTCATAGAGTTGAACATTCCCTTCCAGAGAGTAGCTTTGAAGCACTCTTTTTGTAGCATGTGCAAGTGGACATTTGGAGCGCCCTGAGGCCTACGGGGAAAAAGCAAATATCTTCCCATAACCACTAGACAGAAACATTCTCAGAAACTTCTTTCTGACGTATGTACTCAACTAACAGAGAAGAACCTACCTTTTGACAGAGCATTTTTGATACACTCTTTTTGTAGAATATGCAAGTGGATATTTGGATAGCTCTGAAGATTTCTTTGGAAACGGGAATATCTTCATATCAAATCTAGACAGAAGCATTCTCAGAAACTGCTCTGTGATGTCTGCATTCAAGTCACAGAGTTGAACATTGCCTTTCAGAGACCAGGTTTGAAACGCTCTTTTTGTAGTATATGGAAGTGGATGTTTCGGACGGTTGGAGGCCCATGGTGATAAAGGGAATATCTTCCCCTACAAGCTAGAAAGAAGCATTCTGTGAAACTTGTTTGTGATGTGTGTACTCAACTAAAAGAGTTGAACCTTTCTTTTCACAGAGCAGTTTTGAAACACTCTTTTTGTAGAATCTGCGAGCGGATATTTGGATAGATTTCAGGATTTCGTTGGAAACGGGAATATCTTCATATAAAATCTCGACAGAAGCATTCTCAGAAACTTCTTTGTGACATCTGCCTTTAAGTCACAGAGTTGAATATTCCCTTTCACAGAGTAGGTTTGAAGCACTCTTTTTGTAGTATCTGGAAGTGGACATTTGGAGCGCCTTGACACCTACGGTGAAAAGGGAAATATCTTCCCATAAAAACTAGACAGAAGCAATTTCAGAATCTTCTTTGGGATATATGCACGCAGCTAACAGAGTTGAACCTTTCTATTGACAGAGCAGTTTTGAAACAGTCTTTCTGTGGAATCTGCAAGTGGATATTTGGATAGTTGGAGGATTTCGTTGGAAACGGGATTACGTATAAAAAGTAGACAGCAGCATCCTCAGAAACATCCTTGTGATGTGTGCATTCAAGTCACAGAGTTGAACATTCCCTTTCGTACAGCAGTGTTGAAATACTCTTTCTGTAGTATCTGGAAGTGAACTTTAGGACAGCTTTCAGGTCTATAGTGAGAAAGGATATATCTTCAAATAAAAACTAGACAGAAGCATTCTCATAAACTTGTTTGTTATGTGTGAACTCAGCTAACACACGTGGATCTTTCTTTTGATAGAGCAGTTCTGAAAAACAATTTTTGTTGAATCTGCAAGTGGACATTTGGATAGATTTGAAGATTTCCTTGGAAACGGGAATATCTTCATATCAAATCTAGACAGAAGCATTCTCAGAAACGTCTTTGTCATGTTTGCATTCAACTCATAGAGTTGAACATTCCCTTTCAGAGAGCAGCTTTGAAAGACTCTTTTTGTAGTATGTGCAAGTGGATATTTGGAGCGCTCTGAGGCCAACGGTGAAAAAGCAAATATCTTCCCATAACCACTAGACAGAAACATTCTCAGAAACTCCTTTATGACGTATGCACTCACCTAACAGAGAAGAACCTTCCTTTTGACAGAGCAGTTTTGATACACTCTTTTTGTAGAATCTGCAAGTGGATATTTGAATAGCATTGAAGATTTCGTTGGAAACGGGAATATCTTCCTATAAAATCTAGACAGCAGCATTCTCAGAAACTGCTCTGTGATGTCTGCATTCAAGTCACAGAGTTGAACGTTGCCTTTCATAGAGTAGGTTTCAAACACTCTTTTTTTAGTATATGGAAGAGCACGTTTCGGACGGATTGAGGACCATGGTGATAAAGGAAATATCTTCCCCTACAAGCTAGAAAGAAGCATTCTGTGATACTTGTTTGTGATGTGTGTACTCAACTAACAGAGTTGAACCTTTCTTTTTACAGAGCAGTTTTGAAACACTCTTTTTGTAGAATCTGCGAGGGGATATTTGGATAGATTTCAGAATTTCGTTGGAAACGGGAATATCTTCATATAAAATCTCGACAGAAGCATTCTCAGAAACTTCTTTGTGATATGTGCATTCAAGTCACAGAGTTGAATATTCCCTTTCACAGAGTAGGTTTGAAACACTCTTTTTGTAGTATCTGGAAGTGGACATTTGGAGAGCCTTGACGCCTACGGTGAAAAGGGAAATATCTTCCCATAAAAACTAGACAGAAGCAATCTCAGAATCTTCTTTGGGATATATGCACGCAGCTAACAGAGTTGAACATTTCTATTGACAGAGCAGTTTTGAAACAGTCTTTCTGTGGAATCTGCAAGTGGATATTTGGATAGCTTGGAGGATTTTGTTGGAAACGGGATTACGTATAAAAAGTAGACAGCAGCATCCTCAGCAAACTTCTTTGTGATGTGTGCATTCAAGTCACAGAGTTGAACATTCCCTTTCGTACAGCAGTTTTGAAACACTCTTTCTGTAGTAACTGGAAGTGAACATTAGGACAGCTTTCAGGTCTATGGTGAGAAAGGAAATATCTTCAAATAAAAACTAGACAAAAGCATTCTCATAAACTTGTTTGTGATGTGTGAACTCAGCTAACAGAGATGGATCTTTCTTTTGATAGAGCAGTTCTGAAAAACACTTTTTGTTGAATCTGCAGGTGGACATTTGGATAGATTTGAAGATTTCGTTGGAAACGGGAATATCTTCATATCAAATCTAGGCAGAAGCATTCTCGGAAACGTCTTTGTGATGTTTGCATTCAACTCATAGAGTTGAACATTCCGTTTCAGAGAGCAGCTTTGAGGCACTCATTTTGTAGTATGTGCAAGTGGATATCTGGAGTGCTCTGAAGCCTTTGGTGAAAAAGCAAATATCTTCCCATAACCACCAGACAGAAACATTCTCAGAAACTCCTTTATGACGTATGCACTCACCTAACAGAGAAGGACCTTCCTTTTGACAGAGCACTTTTGATACACTCTTTTTGTAGAATCTGCAAGTGGATATTGGGATAGCTGTGAAGATTTCATTGGAAACGGGAATATCTTCCTATAAAATCTAGACAGAAGCATTCTCAGAAACTGCTCTGTGATGTCTGCATTCATGTCACGGAGTTGACCATTGCCTTTCATAGAGCAGGTTTGAAACGCTCTTTTTGTAGTATATGGAAGTGGACGTTTCGGACGGTTTGAGGCCCATGGTGATAAAGGGAATATCTTCCCCTACAAGCTAGAAAGAATCATTCTGTGAAACTTGTTTGTGATGTGTGTACTCAAGTAACAGAGTTGAACCTTTCTTTTTACAGAGCAGTTTTGAAACACTCTTTTTGTAGAATCTGCGAGGGGATATTTGGAGAGATTTCAGGATTTCGTGGGAAACGGGAATATCTTCATATAAAATCTCGACAGAAGCATTCTCAGAATCTTCTTTGTGATATCTGCATTCAAGTCACAGAGTTGAATATTCCCTTTCACAGAGTAGGTTTGAAACACTCTTTTTGTAGTATCTGGAAGTGGACATTTGGAGCGCCTTGACGCCTACGGTGAAAAGGGAAATATCTTCCCATAAAAACTAGACAGAAGCAATCTCAGAATCTTCTTTGGGATATATGCACGCAGTTTACAGAGTTGAACCTTTCTATTGACAGAGCAGTTTTGAAACAGTCTTTCTGTGGAATCTGCAAGTGGATATTTGGATAGCTTGGAGGATTTCGTTGGAAACGGGATTACGTATAAAAAGTAGACAGCAGCATTCTCAGAAACTTCGTTGTGATGTGTGCATTCATGTCACAGAGTTCAACATTCCCTTTCATACAGCAGGTTTCAAACACTCTTTCTGTAGTATCTGGAAGTGAACATTATGAGAGTTTTCAGGTCTGCGGTGAGAAAGGAAATATCTAAAAATAAAAACTAGACAGGAAGCATTCTCATAAACTTGTTTGTGATGTCTGAACTCAGCTAACAGAGGTGGATCTTTCTTTTGATAGAGCAGTTCTGAAAAACACTTTTTGTTGAGTCTGCAAGTGGACATTTGGATAGATTTGAAGATTTCGTTGGAAACGGGAATATCTTCATATCAAATCTAGACAGAAGCATTCTCAGAAACGTCTTTGTGATGTTTACATTCAACTCATAGAGTTGAACATTCCCTTTCAGAGAGCAGCTTTGAAGCACTCTTTTTGTAGCATGTGCAAGTGGACATTTGGAGCGCTCTGAGGCCTACGGGGAAAAAGCAAATATCTTCCCATAACCACTAGACAGAAAACATTCTCAGAAACTCCTTTATGACGTATGCACTCACCTAGCAGAGAAGAACCTTCCTTTTGACAGAGCAGTTTTGATACACTCTTTTTGTAGAATCTGCAAGTGGATATTTGGATAGCTGTGAAGATTTCGTCGGAAACGGGAATATCTTCCTATAAAATCTTGACAGAAGCATTCTCAGAAACTGCTCTGTGATGTCTGCATTCAAGTCACAGAGTTGAACATTGTCTTTCATAGAGCAGGTTTGAAACGCTCTTTTTGTAGTATATGGAAGTAGACGTTTCGGACGGTTTGAGGCCCATGGTGATAAAGGGAATATCTTCCCCTACAAGCTAGAAAGAAGCATTCTGTGAAACTTGTTTGTGAGGTGTGTACTCAACTAACAGAGTTGAACCTTTCTTTTTACAGAGCAGTTTTGAAACACTCTTTTTGTAGAATATGTGAGGGGATATTTGGATAGATTTCAGGATTTCGTTGGAAACGGGAATATCTTCATATAAAATCTCGACAGAAGCATTCGCAGAAACTTCTTCGTGATATGTGCATTCAAGTCACAGAGTTGAATATTCCCTTTCACAGAGTAGGTTTGAAACACTCTTTTTGTAGTATCTGGAAGTGGACATTTGGAGCGCCTTGATGCCTATGGTGAAAAGGGAAATATCTTCCCATAAAAACTAGACAGAAGCAACCTCAGAATCTTCTTTGGGATGTATGCACCCAGCTAACAGAGGTGAACCTTTCTATTGACAGAGCAGTTTTGAAACACTCTTTTTGTGGAATCTGCAAGTGGATATTTGGATAGCTTGGAGGATTTCGTTGGAAACGGGATTACGTATACAAAGTAGACAGCAGCATCCTCAGAAACATCCTTGTGATGTGTGCATTGAAGTCACAGAGTTGAACATTCCCTTTCGTACAGCAGTTTTGAAACACTCTTTCTGTAGTATCTGGAAGTGAACTTTAGGACAGCTTTCAGGTCTATAGTGAGAAAGGATATATCTTCAAATAAAAACTAGACAGATAAGCATTCTCATAAACTTGTTTGTGATGTGTGAACTCAGCTAACAGAGGTGGATCTTTCTTTTGATAGAGCAGTTCTGAAAAACACTTTTTGTTGAATCTGCAAGTGGACATTTGGATAGATTTGAATATTTCGTTGGAAACGGGAATATCGTCATATCAAATCTAGACAGAAGCATTCTCAGAAACGTCTTTGCGATGTTTGCATTCAACTCATAGAGTTGAACATTCCGTTTCAGAGAGCAGCTTTGAAGCACTCTTTTTGTAGTATGTGCAAGTGGATATTTGGAGCGCTCTGAGGCCTACGGTGAAAAAGCAAATATCTTCTCATAACCACTAGACAGAAACATTCTCAGAAACTCCTTTATGACGTATGTACTCAACTAACAGGAGAAGAACCTTCCTTTTGACAGAGCAGTTTTGATACACTCTTTTTGTGGAATCTGCAAGTGGATATTTGGATAGCTGTGAAGATTTCGTTGGAAACGGGAATATCTTCCTATAAAATCTAGACAGAAAGCATTCTCAGAAACTGCTCTGTGATGTCTGCATTCAAGTCACAGAGTTGAACATTGCCGTTCATAGAGCAGGTTTGAAACACTCTTTTTGTAGTATATGGAAGTGGACGTTTCGGACGGTTTGAGGCCCATGGTGATAAAGGGAATATCTTCCCCTACAAGCTAGAAAGAGCATTCTGTGAAACTTGTTTGTGATGTGTGTACTCAACTAACAGAGTTGAACCTTTCTTTTTACAGAGCAGTTTTGAAACACTCTTTTTGTAGAATCTGCGAGGGGATATTTGGATAGATTTCAGGATTTCGTTGGAAAGGGGAATATCTTCATATAAAATCTTGACAGAAGCATTCTCTGAAACTTCTTTGTGATATGTGCATTCAAGTCACAGAGTTCAATATTCCCTATCACAGAGTAGGTTTGAAACACTCTTTTTGTAGTATCTGAAGTGGACATTTGGAGCGCCTTGACGCCTACGGTGAAAAGGGAAATATCTTCTCATAAAAAGTAGACAGAAGCAATCTCAGAATCTTCTTTGGGATATATGTACGCAGCTAATAGAGTTGAACCTTTCTATTGACAGAGCAGTTTTGAAACAGTCTTTCTGTGGAATCTGTAAGTGGATATTTGGATAGCTTGGAGGATTTCGTTGGAAACGGGATTACGTATAAAAAGTAGACAGCAGCATCCTCAGAAACAACCTTGTGATGTGTGCATTCAAGTCACAGAGTTGAACATTCCCTTTCGTACAGCAGTTTTGAAACACTCTTTCTGTAGTATCTGGAAGTGAACTTTAGGAGAGCTTTCAGGTCTATAGTGAGAAAGGATATATCTTCAAATAAAAACTAGACAGAAGCATTCTGATAAACTTGTTTGTGAAGTGTGATCTCAGCTAACAGAGGTGGATCTTTCTTTTGATAGAGCAGTTCTGAAAAACATTTTGTTGAATCTGCAAGTGGACATTTGGATAGATTTGAAGATTTCGTTGGAAACGGGAATATCTTCATATCAAATCTAGACAGAAGCATTCTCAGAAACGTCTTTGTGATGTTTGCATTCAACCCATAGAGTTGAACATTCTGTTACAGAGAGCAGCTTTGAAGCGCTCTTTTTGTAGTATGTGCAAGTGGATATTTTGAGCGCTCTGAGGCCTAAGGTGAAAAAGCAAATATCTTCCCATAACCACTAGACAGAAACATTCTCAGAAACTCCTTTATGACGTATGCACTCACATAACAGAGAAGAACCTTCCTTTTGACAGAGCAGTTTTGATACACTCTTTTTGTAGAATCTGCAAGTGGATATTTGGATAGCTGTGAAGATTTCGTTGGAAACGGGAATATCTTCCTATAAAATCTAGACAGAAGCATTCTCAGAAACTGCTCTGTGATGTCTGCATTCAACTCACAGAGTTGAACATTGCCGTTCATAGAGCAGGTTTGAAACACTCTTTTTGTAGTATATGGAAGTGGACGTTTCGGACGGTTTGAGGCCCATGGTGATAAAGGGAATATCTTCCCATACAAGCTAGAAAGAAACATTCTCAGAAACTCCTTTATGACGTATGTACTCAACTAACAGAGAAGAACCTTCCTTTTGACAGAGCAGTTTTGAAACACTCTTTTTGTAGAATCTGCGAGGGGATATTTGGATAGCTTTCAGGATTTCATTGGAAACGGGAATATCTTCATATAAAATCTCGACAGAAGCATTCTCAGAAACTTCTTTGTGATATCTGCATTCAAGTCACAGAGTTGAATATTCCCTTTCAGAGAGTAGGTTTGAAACACTCTTTTTGTAGTATCTGGAAGTGGACATTTGGAGCGCCTTGACACCTACGGTGAAAAGGGAAATATCTTCCCATAAAAACTAGACAGAAGCAATCTCAGAATCTTCTTTGGGATATATGCACGCAGCTAAAAGAGTTGAACCTTTCTATTGACAGAGCAGTTTTGAAACAGTCTTTCTGTGGAATCTGCAAGTGGATATTTGGATAGCTTGGAGGATTTCGTTGGAAACGGGATTACGTATAAAAAGTAGACAGCAGCATCCTCAGAAACTTCTTTGTGATGTGTGCATTCAAGTCACAGAGTTGAACATTCCCTTTCGTACAGCAGTTTTGAAACACTCTTTCTGTAGTATCTGGAAGTGTACATTAGGACAGCTTTCAGGTCTATGGTGAGAAAGGAAATATCTTCAAATAAAAACTAGACAGAAGCATTCTCATAAACTTGTTTGTGATGTGTGAACTCAGCTAACAGACGTGGATCTTTCTTTTGATACAGCAGTTTTGAAAAACACTTTTTGTAGAATCTGCAAGTGGACATTTGGATAGATTTGAAGATTTCGTTGGAAACGGGAATATCTTCATATCAAATCTAGACAGAGGCATTCTCAGAAACGTCTTTGTGATGTTTGCATTCAACTCATAGAGTTGAACATTCCGTTTCAGAGAGCAGCTTTGAGGCACTCTTTTTGTAGTATGTGCAAGTGGATATTTGGAGCGCACTGAGGCCTACGGTGAAAAAGCAAATATCTTCCCATAACCACTAGACAGAAAACATTCTCAGAAACTCCTTTATGACGTATGCACTCACCTAACAGAGAAAAACCTTCCTTTTGACAGAGCAGTTTTGATACACTCTTTTTGTAGAATCTGCAAGTGGATATTTGGATAGCTGTGAAGATTTCGTTGGAAACGGGAATATCTTCCTATAAAATCTAGACAGAAGCATTCTCAGAAACTGCTCTGTGATGTCTGCATTCAAGTCACAGAGTTGAACATTGCCTTTCCTAGAGCAGGTTTGAAACGCTCTTTTTGTAGTATATGGAAGTGGACGTTTCAGACGGTTTGAGGCCGATGGTGATAAAGGGAATATCTTCCCCTACAAGCTAGAAAGAAGCATTCTGTGAAACTTGTTTGTGATGTGTGTACTCAACTAACAGAGTTGAACCTTTCTTTTTACAGAGCAGTTTTGATACACTCTTTTTGTAGAATCTGCGAGGGGATATTTGGATAGATTTCAGGATTTCGTTGGAAACGGGAATATCTTCATATAAAATCTCGACAGAAGCATTCTCAGAAACTTCTTTGTGATATGTGCATTCAAGTCACAGAGCTGAATATTCTGCCTTTCACAGAGTAGGTTTGAAACACTCTTTTTGTAGTATCTGGAAGTGGACATTTGGAGCGCCTTGACGCCTACGGTGAAAAGGGAAATATCTTCCCATAAAAACTAGACAGAAGCAATCCTCAGAATCTTCTTTGGGATATATGCACGCAGCTAACAGAGTTGAACCTTTCTATTGACAGAGCAGTTTTGAAACAGTCTTTCTGTGGAATCTGCAAGTGGATATTTGGATAGCTTGGAGGATTTCGTTGGAAACGGGATTACGTATAAAAAGTAAGACAGCAGCATCCTCAGAAACTTCTTTGTGATGTGTGCATTCAAGTCACAGAGTTGAACATTCCCTTTCGTACAGCAGTATTGAAACACTCTTTCTGTAGTATCTGGAAGTGAACATTAGGACAGCTTTCAGGTCTATGGTGAGAAAGTAAATATCTTCAAATAAAAACTAGACAGAAGCATTCTCATAAAGTTGTTTGTGATGTGTGAACTCAGCTAACAGAGGTGGATCTTTCTTTTGATAGAGCAGTTCTGAAAAACACTTTTTGTTGAATCTGCAAGTGGACATTTGGATAGATTTGAAGATTTCGTTGGAAACGGGAATATCTTCATATCAAATCTAGACAGAAGCATTCTCAGAAACGTCTTTGTGATGTTTGCATTCAACTCATAGAGTTGAACATTCCCTTTCAGAGAGCAGCTTTGATGCACTCTTTTTGTAGCATGTGCAAGTGGACATTTGGAGCGCCCTGAGGCCTACGGGGAAAAAGCAAATATCTTCCCATAACCACTAGACAGAAACATTCTCAGAAACTTCTTTATGACGTATGTACTCAACTAGCAGAGAAGAACTTTCCTTTTGACAGAGCACTTTTGATACACTCTTTTTGTAGAATCTGCAAGTGGATATTTGGATAGCTGTGAAGATTTCGTTGGAAACGGGAATATCTTCCTATGAAATCTAGACAGAAGCATTCTCAGAAACTGCTCTGTGATGTCTGCATTCACGTCACAGAGTTGAACATTGCCTTTCATAGAGCAGGTTTGAAACGCTCTTTTTGTAGTATATGGAAGTGGACGTTTCGGACGGTTTGAGGCCCATGGTGATAAAGGGAATATCTTCCCCTACAAGCTAGAAAGAAGAATTGTGTGAAACTTGTTTGTGATGTGTGTACTCAACTAACAGAGTTGAACCTTTCTTTTCACAGAGCAGTTTTGAAACACTCTTTTTGTAGAATCTGCGAGGGGATATTTGGATAGATTTCAGGATTTCGTTGGAAACGGGAATATCTTCATATAAAATCTCGACAGAAGCATTCTCAGAAACTTCTTTGTGATATGTGCATTCAAGTCACAGAGTTGAATATTCCCTTTCACAGAGTAGGTTTGAAACACTCTTTTTGTAGTATCTGGAAGTGGACATTTGGAGCGCCTTGACACCTACGGTGAAAAGGGAAATATTTCCCATGAAAACTAGACAGAAGCAATCTCAGAATCTTCTTTGGGGATATATGCACGCAGCTAACAGAGTTGAACCTTTCTATTGACAGAGCAGTTTTGAAACAGTCTTTCTGTGGAATCTGCAAGTGGATATTTGGATAGCTTGGAGGATTTCGTTGGAAACGGGATTACGCATAAAAAGTAGACAGCAGCATCCTCAGAAACTTCTTTGTGATGTGTGCATTCAAGTCACAGAGTTGAACATTCCCTTTCGTACAGCAGTTTTGAAACACTCTTCCTGTAGTATCTGGAAGTGAACATTAGAACAGCTTTCAGCTCTATGGTGAGAAAGGAAATATCTTCAAATAAAAACTAGACAGAAGCATTCTGATAAACTTGTTTGTGAAGTGTGAACTCAGCTAACAGAGGTGGATCTTTCTTTTGATAGAGCAGTTCTGAAAAACACTTTTTGTTGAATCTGCAAGTGGACATTTTGATAGAATTGAAGATTTCGTTGGAAACGGGAATATCTTCATATCAAATCTAGACAGAAGCATTCTCAGAAACGTCTTTGTGATGTTTGCATTCAACTCATAGAGTTGAACATTCCGTTTCAGAAAGCAGCTTTGAAGCACTCTTTTTGTAGTATGTGCAAGGGGATATTTGGAGCGCTCTGAGGCCTAAGGTGAAAAAGCAAATATCTTCCCATAACCACTAGACAGAAACATTCTCAGAAACTCCTTTATGACGTATGTACTCAACTAACAGAGAAGATCCTTCCTTTTGACAGAGCAGTTTTGATACACTCTTTTTGTAGAATCTGCAAGTGGATATTTGGATAGCTGTGAAGATTTCGTTGGAAACGGGAATATCTTCCTATAAAATCTAGACAGAAGCATTCTCAGAAACTGCTCTGTGATGTCTGCATTCAAGTCACAGAGTTGAACATTGCCTTTCATAGAGCAGGTTTGAAACGCTCTTTTTGTAGTATATGGAAGTGGATGTTTCGGACGGTTGGAGGCCCATGGTGATAAAGGGAATATCTTCCCGTACAAGCTAGAAAGAAGCATTCTGTGAAACTTGTTTGTGATGTGTGTACTCAACTAACAGAGTTGAACCTTTCTTTTTACAGAGCAGTTTTGAAACACTCTTTTTGTAGAATCTGCGAGGGGATATTTGGATAGATTTCAGGATTTCGTTGGTAACGGGAATATCTTCATATAAAATCTCGACAGAAGCATTCTCAGAAACTTCTTTGTTATATGTGCATTCGAGTCACAGAGTTGAATATTCCCTTTCACAGAGTAGGTTTGAAACACTCTTTTTGTAGTATCTGGAAGTGGACATTTGGAGCGCCTTGACACCTACGGTGAAAAGGGAAATATCTTCCCATAAAAACTAGACAGAAGCAATCTCAGAATCTTCTTTGCGATATATGCACGCAGCTAACAGAGTTGAACTTTTCTATTGACAGAGCAGTTTTGAAACAGTCTTTCTGTGGAATCTGCAAGTGGATATTTGGATAGATTGGAGGATTTCGTTGGAAACGGGATTACGTATAAAAAGTAGACAGCAGCGTCCTCAGAAACTTCTTTGTGATGTGTGCATTCAAGTCACAGAGTTGAACATTCCCTTTCGTACAGCAGTTTTGAAACACTCTTTCTGTAGTATCTGGAAGTGAACATTAGGACAGCTTTCAGGTCTATGGTGAGAAAGGAAATATCTTCAAATAAAAACTAGACAGAAGCATTCTCATAAACTTGTTTGTGATGTGTGAACTCAGCTAACACACGTGGATCTTTCTTTTGATACAGCAGTTTTGAAAAACACTTTTTGTTGAATCTGCAAGTGGACATTTGGATAGATATGAAGATTTCGTTGGAAACGGGAATATCTTCACATCAAATCTAGACAGAAGCATTCTCAGAAACGTCTTTGTGATGTTTGCATTCAACTCATAGAGTTGAACATTCCGTTTCAGAGACCAGCTTTGAAGCACTCTTTTTGTAGTATGTGCAAGTGGATATTTGGAGCGCTCTGAGGCCTACGGTGAAAAAGCAAATATCTTCCCATAACCACTAGACAGGAACATTCTCAGAAACTCCTTTATGACGTATGCACTCACCTAACAGAGAAGAACCTTCCTTTTGACAGAGCAGTTTTGATACAGTCTTTTTGTAGAATCTGCAAGTGGATATTGGGATAGCTGTGAAGATTTCGTTGGAAACGGGAATATCTTCCTATAAAATCTAGACAGAAGCATTCTCAGAAACTGCTCTGTGATGTCTGCATTCAAGTCACAGAGTTGAACATTGCCTTTCATAGAGCAGGTTTGAAACGCTCTTTTTGCAGTATATGGAAGTGGATGTTTCGGACGGTTTGAGGCCCATGGTGATAAAGGGAATATCTTCCCCTACAAGCTAGAAAGAAGCATTCTGTGAAACTTGTTTGTGATGTGTGTACTCAACTAACAGAGTTGAACCTTTCTTTTCACAGAGCAGTTTTGAAACACTCTTTTTGTACAATCTGCGAGCGGATATTTGGATAGATTTCAGGATTTCGTTGGAAACGGGAATATCTTCATATAAAATCTCGACAGAAGCATTCTCAGAAACTTCTTTGTGATATCGGCATTCAAGCCACAGAGTTGAATATTCCCTTTCACAGAGTAGGTTTGAAACACTCTTTTTGTAGTATCTGGAAGTGGACATTTGGAGCGCCTTGACACCTACGGTGAAAAGGGAAATATCTTCCCATAAAAACTAGACAGAAAGCAATCTCAGAATCTTCTTTGGGATATATGCACGCAGCTAACAGAGTTGAACCTTTCTATTGACAGAGCAGTTTTGAAACAGTCTTTCTGTGGAATCTGCAAGTGGATATTTGGATAGCTTGGAGGATTTCGTTGGAAACGGGATTACGCATAAAAAGTAGACAGAGCATCCTCAGAAACTTCTTTGTGATGTGTGCATTCAAGTCACAGAGTTGAACTTTCCCTTTCGTACAGCAGTTTTGAAACACTCTTTCTGTAGTACCTGGAAGTGAACATTAGGACAGCTTTCAGGTCTATGGTGAGAAAGGAAATATCTTCAAATAAAAACTAGACAGAAGCATTCTGATAAACTTGTTTGTGAAGTGTGAACTCAGCTAACAGAGGTGGATCTTTCTTTTGATACAGCAGTTCTGAAAAACACTTTTTGTTGAATCTGCAAGTGGACATTTGGATAGATTTGAAGATTTCGTTGGAAACGGGAATATCTTCATATCAAATCTAGACAGAAGCATTTCTCGGAAACGTCTTTGTGATGTTTGCATTCAACTCATAGAGTTGAACATTCCGTTTCAGAGAGCAGCTTTGAAGCACTCTTTTTGTAGTATGTGCAAGTGGATATTTGGAGCGCTGTGAGGCCTGCAGTGAAAAAGCAAATATCTTCCCATAACCACTAGACTGAAACATTCTCAGAAACTCCTTTATGACGTATGCACTCACCTAACAGAGAAGAACCTTCCTTTTGACAGAGCAGTTTTGATACACTCTTTTTGTAGAATCTGCAAGTGGATATTTGGATACCTGTGAATATTTCGTTGGAAACGGGAATATCTTCCTATAAAATCTAGACAGAAGCATTCTCAGAAACTGCTCTGTGATGTCTGCATTCAAGTCACAGAGTTGAACATTGCCTTTCATAGAGCAGGTTTGAAACGCTCTTTTTGTAGTATATGGAAGTGGACGTTTCGGACGGTTTGAGTCCCATGGTGATAAAGGGAATATCTTCCCCCACAAGCTAGAAAGAAGCATTCTGTGAAACTTGTTTGTGATGTGTGTACACAACCAACAGAGTTGAACCTTTCTTTTTACAGAGCAGTTTTGAAACACTCTTTTTGTAGAATCTGCGAGGGGATATTTGGATAGATTTCAGGATTTCATTGGAAACGGGAATATCTTCATATAAAATCTCGACAGAAGCATTCTCAGAAACTTCTTTGTGATATGTGCATTCAAGTCAGAGAGTTGAATATTCCCTTTCACAGAGTAGGTTTGAAACACTCTTTTTGTAGTATCTGGAAGTGGACATTTGGAGCGCCTTGACGCCTACGGTGAAAAGGGAAATATCTTCCCATAAAAACTAGACAGAAGTAATCTCAGAATCTTCTTTGGGATATATGCACGGAGCTAACAGAGTTGAACCTTTCTATTGACATAGCAGTTTTGAAACAGTCTTTCTGTGGAATCTGCAAGTGGATATTTGGATAGCTTGGAGGATTTCGTTGGAAACGGGATTACGTATAAAAAGTAGACAGCAGCATCCTCAGAAACTTCTTTGTGATGTGTGCATTCAAGTCACAGAGTTGAACATTCCCTTTCGTACAGCAGTTTTGAAACACTCTTTCTGTAGTATCTGGAAGTGAACATTAGGACAGCTTTCAGGTCTATGGTGAGAAGGGAAATATCTTCCAATAAAAACTAGACAGAAGCATTCTCATAAACTTGTTTGTGATGTGTGAACTCAGCTAACAGAGATGGGTCTTTCTTTTGATAGAGCAGTTCTGAAAAACACTTTTTGTTGAATCTGCAAGTGGACATTTGGATAGATTTGAAGATTTCGTTGGAAACGGGAATATCTTCATATCAAATCTAGACAGAAGCATTCTCAGAAACGTCTTTGGGATGTTTGCATTCAACTCATAGAGTTGAACATTCCGTTTCAGAGAGCAGTTTGAGGCACTCTTTTTGTAGTATGTGCAAGTGGATATTTGGAGCGCTCTGAGGCCTACGGTGAAAAAGCAAATATCTTCCCATAACCACTAGACAGAAACATTCTCAGAAACTTCTTTATGACGTATGTACTCAACTAGCAGATAAGAACTTTCCTTTTGACAGAGCATTTTTGATACACTCTTTTTGTAGTATCTGCAAGTGGATATTTGGATAGCTGTGAAGATTTCGTTGGAAACGGGAATATCTTCCTATAAAGTCTGGACAGAAGCATTCTCAGAAACTGCTCTGTGATGTCTGCATTCAAGTCACAGAGTTGAACATTGCCCTTCATAGAGCAGGTTTGAAACGCTCTTTTTGTAGTATATGGAAGTGGACTTATCGGACGGTTTGAGGCCCATGGTGATAAAGGGAATATCTTCCCCTACAAGCTAGAAAGAAGCATTCTGTGAAACTTGTTTGTGAGGTGTGTACTCAACTAACAGAGTTGAACCTTTCTTTTTACAGAGCAGTTTTGAAACACTCTTTTTGTAGAATCTGCGAGGGGATATTTGGATAGATTTCAGGATTTGGTTGGAAACGGGAATATCTTCATATAAAATCTCGACAGAAGCATTCTCAGAAACTTCCTTGTGATATGTGCATTCAAGTCACAGAGTTGAATATTCCCTTTCACAGAGTAGGTTTGAAACACTCTTTTTGTAGTATCTGGAAGTGGACATTTGGAGCGCCTTGACGCCTATGGTGAAAAGGGAAATATCTTCCCATAAAAACTAGACAGAAGCAATCTCAGAATCTTCTTTGGGATATATGCACGCAGCTAACAGAGTTGAACCTTTCTATTGACAGAGCAGTTTTGAAACAGTCTTTCTGTGGAATCTGCAAGTGGATATTTGGATAGCTTGGAGGATTTCGTTGGAAACGGGATTACGTATAAAAAGTAGACCGCAGCATCCTCAGAAACATCTTTGTGATGTGGGCATTCAAGTCACAGAGTTGAACATTCCCTTTCGTACAGCAGTTTTGAAACACTCTTTCTGTAGTATCTGGAAGTGAACATTAGGACAGCTTTCAGGTCTATGGTGAGAAAGGAAATATCTTCAAATAAAAACTAGACAGAAGCATTCTCATAAACTTGTTTGTGATGTGTGAACTCAGCTAACAGAGGTGGATCTTTCTTTTGATAGAGCAGTTCTGAAAAACACTTTTTGTTGAATCTGCAAGTGGACATTTGGAAAGATTTGAAGATTTCGTTGGAAACGGGAATATCTTCATATCAAATCTAGACAGACGCATTCTCAGAAACGTCTTTGTGATGTTTGCATTCAACTCATAGAGTTGAACATTCCGTTTCAGAGAGCAGCTTTGAAGCACTCCTTTTGTAGTATGTGCAAGTGGATATTTGGTGCGCTCTGAGGCCTACGGTGAAAAAGCAAATATCTTCCCATAACCACTAGACAGAAACATTCTCAGAAACTCCTTTATGACGTATGTACTCAACTAACAGAGAAGAACCTTCCTTTTGACAGAGCAGTTTTGATACACTCTTTTTGTAGAATCTGCAAGTGGATATTTGGATAGCTGTGAAGATTTCGTTGGAAGCGGGAATATCTTCCTATAAAATCTAGACAGAAGCATTCTCAGAAACTGCTCTGTGATGTCTGCATTCAAGTCACAGAGTTGAACATTGCCTTTCATAGAGCAGGTTTGAAACGCTCTTTTTGTAGTATATGGAAGTGGATGTTTCGGACGGTTGGAGGCCTATGGTGATAAAGGGAATATCTTCCCCTACAAGCTAGAAAGAAGCATTCTGTGAAACTTGTTTGTGATGTCTGTACTCAACTAACAGAGTTGAACCTTTCTTTTCACAGAGCAGTTTTGAAACACTCTTTTTGTAGAATCTGCGAGGGGATATTTGGATAGATTTCAGGATTTCGTTGGAAACGGGAATATCTTCATATAAAATCTCGACAGAAGCATTCTCAGAAACTTCATTGTGATATCTGCATTCAAGTCACAGAGTTGAATATTCCCTTTCAGAGAGTAGGTTTGAAACACTCTTTTTGTAGTATCTGGAAGTGGACATTTGAAGCGCCTTGACACCTACGGTGAAAAGGGAAATATCTTCCCATAAAAACTAGACAGAAGCAATCTCAGAATCTTCTTTGGGATATATGCACGCAGCTAACAGAGTTGAACCTTTCTATTGACAGAGCAGTTTTGAAACAGTCTTTCTGTGGAATCTGCAAGTGGATATTTGGATAGCTTGAAGGATTTCGTTGGAAACGGGATTAAGTATAAAAAGTAGACAGCAGCATCCTCAGAAACTTCTTTGTGATGTGTGCATTCAAGTCACAGAGTTGAACATTCCCTTTCGTACAGCAGTTTTGAAACACTCTTTCTGTAGTATCTGGAAGTGAACATTAGGACAGCTTTCAGGTCTACGGTGAGAAAGGAAATATCTTCAAATAAAAACTAGACAGAAGCATTCTCATAAACTTGTTTGTGATGTGTGAACTCAGCTAACACACGTGGATCTTTCTTTTGATAGAGCAGTTCTGAAAAACAATTTTTGTTGAATCTGCAAGGGGACATTTGGATAGATTTGAAGATTTCGTTGGAAACGGGAATATCTTCATATCAAATCTAGACAGAAGCATTCTCAGAAAGGTCTTTGTGATGTTTGCATTCAACTCATAGAGTTGAACATTCCCTTCCAGAGAGTAGCTTTGAAGCACTCTTTTTGTAGCATGTGCAAGTGGACATTTGGAGCGCCCTGAGGCCTACGGGGAAAAAGCAAATATCTTCCCATAACCACTAGACAGAAACATTCTCAGAAACTCCTTTATGACGTATGCACTCACCTAACAGAGGAGAACCTTCCTTTCGACAGAGCAGTTTTGATACACTCTTTTTGTAGAATCTGCAAGTGGATATTTGGATAGCTGTGAAGATTTCGTTGGAAACGGGAATATCTTCCTATAAAATCTAGACAGAAGCATTCTCAGAAACTGCTCTGTGATGTCTGCATTCAAGTCACAGAGTTGAACATTGCCTTTCCTAGAGCAGGTTTGAAACGCTCTTTTTGTAGTATATGGAAGTGGACGTTTCGGACGGTTTGAGGCGCATGGTGATAAAGGGAGTATCTTCCCCTACAAGCTAGAAAGAAGCATTCTGTGAAACTTGTTTGTGATGTGTGTACTCAACTAACAGAGTTGAACCTTTCTTTTTACAGAGCAGTTTTGAAACACTCTTTTTGTAGAATCTGTGAGGGGATATTTGGATAGATTTCAGGATTTCGTTGGAAACGGGAATATCCTCATATAAAATCTCGACAGAAGCATTCTCAGAAACTTCTTTGGGATATCTGCATTCAAGTCACATAGTTGAATATTCCCTTTCACAGAGTAGGTTTCAAACACTCTTTTTGTAGTATCTGGAAGTGGACATTTGGAGCGCCTTGATGCCTACGGTGAAAAGGGAAATATCTTCCCATAAAAACTAGACAGAAGGAATCTCAGAATCTTCTTTGGGATATATGCACGCAGCTAACAGAGTTGAACCTTTCTATTGACAGAGCGGTTTTGAAACAGTCTTTCTGTGGAATCTGCAAGTGGATATTTGGATAGCTTGGAGGATTTCGTTGGAAACGGGATTAAGTATAAAAAGTAGACAGCAGCATCCTCAGAAACTTCTTTGTGATGTGTGCATTCAAGTCACAGAGTTGAACGTTCCCTTTCGTACAGCAGTTTTGAAACACTCTTTCTGTAGTATCTGGAAGTGAACATTAGGACAGCTTTCAGGTCTATGGTGAGAAAGGAAATATCTTCAAATAGAAACTAGACAGAAAGCATTCTCATAAACTTGTTTGTGATGTGTGAACTCAGCTAACAGACGTGGATCTTTCTTTTGATACAGCAGTTTTGAAAAACACTTTTTGTTGAATCTGCAAGTGGACATTTGGATAGATATGAAGATTTCGTTGGAAACGGGAATATCTTCATATCAAATCTAGACAGAGCATTGTCAGAAACGTCCTTGTGATGTTTGCATTCAACTCATAGAGTTGAACATTCCCTTTCAGAGAGCAGCTTTGAAGCACTCTTTTTGTAGTATGTGCAAGTGGATATTTGGAGCGCTCTGAGGCCTAAGGTGAAAAAGCAAATATCTTCCCATAACCACTAGACAGAAACATTCTCAGAAACTTCTTTATGACGTATGTACTCAACTAACAGAGAAGAACCTTCCTTTTTACAGAGCAGTATTGATACACTCTTTTTGTAGACTCTGCAAGTGGATATTTGGATATCAGTGAAGAATTCGTTGGAAACGGGAATATCTTCCTATAAAATCTAAACAGAAGCATTCTCAGAAACTGCTCTGTGATGTCTGCATTCAAGTCAGAGAGTTGAACATTGCCTTTCACAGAGGAGGTATGAAACGCTCTTTTCGTAATATATGGAAGTGGACGTTTCGGACGGCTTGATGCCCATGGAGATAAAGGAAATATCTTCCCCTACAAGCTAGAAAGAAGCATTCTGTGAAACTTGTTTGTGATGTGTGTACTCAACTAACAGAGTTGAACTTTTCTTTTTACAGAGCAGTTTTGAAACACTCTTTTTGTAGAATCTGCGAGGGGATATTTGGATAGATTTCAGGATTTCGTTGGAAAGGGGAATATCTTCATATAAAATCTCGACAGAAGCATTCTCAGAAACTTCTTTGTGATATGTGCATTCAAGTCACAGAGTTGAATATTCCCTTTCACAGAGTAGGTTTGAAACAATCTTTTTGTAGTATCTGGAAGTGGACATTTGGAGCGCCTTGACGCCTACGGTGAAAAGGGAAATATCTTCCCATAAAAACTAGACAGAAGCAATCTCAGAATTATCTTTGGGATATATGCACACAGCTAACAGAGTTGAACTTTTCTATTGACATAGCAGTTTTGAAACAGTCTTTCTGTGGAATCTGCAAGTGGATATTTGGATAGCTTGGAGGATTTCGTTGGAAATGGGATTACGTATAAAAAGTAGACAGCAGCATCCTCAGCAAACTTCTTTGTGATGTGTGCATTCAAGTCACAGTGTTGAACATTCCCTTTCGTACAGCAGTTTTGAAACACTCTTTCTGTAGTATCTGGAAGTGAACATTAGGACAGCTTTCAGGTCTATGGTGAGAAAGGAAATATCTTCAAATAAAAACAAGACAGAAGCATTCTCATAAACTTGTTTGTGATGTGTGAACTCAGCTAACAGAGGTGGATCTTTCTTTTGATAGAGCAGTTCTGAAAAAAACTTTTTGTTGAATCTGCAAGTGGACATTTGGATAGATTTGAAGATTTCGTTGGAAACGGGAATATCTTCATATCAAATCTAGACAGAAGCATTCTCAGAAACGTCTTTGTGATGTTTGCATTCAACTCATAGAGTTGAACATTCCGTTTCAGAGAGCAGCTTTGAAGCACTCTTTTTGTAGTATGTGCAAGTGGATATTTGGAGCGCTCTGAGGCCTACGTTGAAAAAGCAAATATCTTCCCATAACCACTAGACAGAAACATTCTCAGAAACTCCTTTATGACGTATGCACTCACCTAACAGAGAAGAACCTTCCTTTTGACAGAGCACTTTTCATACACTCTTTTTGTAGAATCTGAAAGTGGATATTTGGATAGCTGTGAAGATTTCGTTGGAAACGGGAATATCTTCCTATAAAATCTAGACAGAAGCATTCTCAGAAACAGCTCTGTGATGTCTGCATTCAAGTCACAGAGTTGAACATTGCCTTTCATAGAGCAGGTTTGAAACGCTCTTTTTGAAGTATATGGAAGTGGACGTTTCGGACGGTTTGAGGCCCATGGTGATAAAGGGAATATCTTCCCCTACAAGCTAGAAAGAAGCATTGTGTGAAACTTGTTTGTGATGTGTGTACTCCACTAACAGAGTTGAACCTTTCTTTTTACAGAGCAGTTTTGAAACACTCTTTTTGTAGAATCTGCGAGGGGATATTTGGATAGATTTCAGGATTTCGTTGGAAACGGGAATATCTTCATATAAAATCTCGACAGAAGCATTCTCAGAAACTTCTTTGTGATATCTGCATTCAAGTCACAGAGTTGAATATTCCCTTTCACAGAGTAGGTTTGAAACACTCTTTTTGTAGTATCTGGAAGTGGACATTTGGAGCGCCTTGACACCTACGGTGAAAAGGGAAATATTTTCCCATAAAAAGTAGACAGAAGCAATCTCAGAATCTTCCTTTGGGATATATGCACGCAGCTAACAGAGTTGAACCTTTCTATTGACAGAGCAGTTTTGAAACAGTCTTTCTGTGGAATCTGCAAGTGGATATTTGGATAGCTTGGAGGATTTCGTTGGAAACGGGATTACGTATAAAAAGTAGACAGCAGCATTCTGTGAAACTTGTTTGTGATGTGTGTACTCAACTAACAGAGTTGAACCTTTCTTTTTACAGAGCAGTTTTGAAACACTCTTTCTGTAGTATCTGGAAGTGAACATTAGGACAGCTTTCAGGTCTATGGTGAGAAAGGAAATATCTTCAAATAAAAACTAGACAGAAGCATTCTCATAAACTTGTTTGTGATGTGTGAACTCAGCTAACAACGGTGGATCTTTCTTTTGATAGAGCAGTTCTGAAAAACACTTTTTGTTGAATCTGCAAGTGGACATTTGGATAGTTTTGAAGATTTCCTTGGAAAAAGGAATATCTTCATATCAAATCTAGACAGAAGCATTCTCAGAAACGTCTTTGTGATGTTTGCATTCAACTCATAGAGTTGAACATTCCCTTTCAGAGAGCAGCTTTGAAGCACTCTTTTTGTAGTATGTGCAAGGGGATATTTGGAGCGCTGTGAGGCCTACGGTGAAAAAGCAAATATCTTCCCATAACCACTAGACAGAAACATTCTCAGAAACTCCTTTATGACGTATGCACTCACCTAACAGAGAAGAACCTTCCTTTTGACAGAGCAGTTTTGATACACTCTTTTTGTAGAATCTGCAAGTGGATATTTGGATATCTGTGAAGATTTCGTTGGAAACGGGAATATCTTCCTATAAAATCTAGACAGAATCATTCTCAGAAACTGCTCTGTGATGTCTGCATTCAAGTCACAGAGTTGAACATTGCCTTTCCTAGAGCAGGTTTGAAACGCTCTTTTTGTAGTATATGGAAGTGGACGTTTCGGACGGTTTGAGGCCCTTGGTGATAAAGGGAATATCTTCCCCTACAAGCTAGAAAGAAGCATTCTGTGAAACTTGTTTGTGATGTGTGTACTCAACTAACAGAGTTGAACCTTTCTTTTTACAGAGCAGTTTTGAAACACTCTTTTTGTAGAATGTGCGAGGGGATATTTGGATAGATTTCAGGATTTCGTTGGAAACGGGAATATCTTCATATAAAATCTCGACAGAATCATTCTCAGAAACTTCTTTGTGATATGTGCATTCAAGTCACAGAGTTGAATATTCCCTTTCACAGAGTAGGTTTGAAACACTCTTTTTGTAGTATCTGGAAGTGGACATTTGGAGCGCCTTGACGCCTACGGTGAAAAGGGAAATATCTTCCCATAAAAACTAGACAGAAGCAATCTCAGAATCCTCTTTGGGATACATGCACGCAGCTAACAGAGTTGAACCTTTCTATTGACAGAGCAGTTTTGAAACAGTCTTTCTGTGGAATCTGCAAGTGGATATTTGGATAGCTTGGAGGATTTCGTTGGAAACAGGATTACGTATAAAAAGTAGACAGCAGCATCCTCAGAAACTTCTTTGTGATGTATGCATTCAAGTCCCAGAGTTGAACATTCCCTTTCGTACAGCAGTTTTGAAACACTCTTTCTGTAGTATCTGGAAGTGAACATTAGGACAGCTTTCAGGTCTAGGGTGAGAAAGGAAATACCTTCAAATAAAAACTAGACAGAAGCATTCTCATAAACTTGTTTATGATGTCTGAACTCAGCTAACAGAGGTGGATCTTTCTTTTGATAGAGCAGTTCTGAAAAACACTTTTTGTTGAATCTGCAAGTGGACATTTGGATAGATTTGAAGATTTCGTTGGAAACGTGAATATCTTCAAATCAAATCTAGACAGAAGCATTCTCAGAAAGGTCTTTGTGATGTTTGCATTCAACTCATAGTAGTTGAACATTCCCTTCCAGAGAGTAGCTTTGAAGCACTCTTTTTGTAGCATGTGCAAGTGGACATTTGGAGCGCCCTGAGGCCTACGGGGAAAAAGCAAATATCTTCCCATAACCACTAGACAGAAACATTCTCAGAAACTCCTTTATGACGTATGCACTCACCTAACAGAGAAGAACCTTCCTTTTGACAGAGCAGTTTTGATACACTCTTTTTGTAGAATCTGCAAGTTTATATTGGGATAGCTGTGAAGATTTCGTTGGAAACGGGAATATCTTCCTATAAAATCTAGACAGAAGCATTCTCAGAAACTGCTCTGTGATGTCTGCATTCAAGTCACAGAGTTCAACATTGCCTTTCCTAGAGCAGGTTTGAAACGCTCTTTTTGTAGTATATGGAAGTGGACGTTTCGGACGGTTTGAGGCCCATGGTGATAAAGGGAATATCTTCCCCTACAAGCTAGAAAGAAGCATTCTGTGAAACTTGTTTGTGATGTGTGTACTCAACTAACAGTGTTGAACCTTTCTTTATACAGAGCAGTTTTGAAACACTCTTTTTGTAGAATCTGCGAGGGGATATTTGGATAGATTTCAGGATTTCGTTGGAAACGGGAATATCTTCATATAAAATCTCGACAGAAGCATTCTCAGAAACTTCTTTGTGATATCTGCCTTCAAGTCACAGAGTTGAATATTCCCTTTCACAGAGTAGGTTTGAAACACTCTTTTTGTAGTATCTGGAAGTGGACATTTGGAGGGCCTTGACGCCTACGGTGAAAAGGGAAATATCTTCCCATAAAAACTAGACAGAGAAGCAATCTCAGAATCTTCTTTGGGATATATGCACGCAGCTAACATAGTTGAACCTTTCTATTGACAGAACAGTTTTGAAACAGTGTTTCTGTGGAATCTGCAAGTGGATATTTGGATAGCTTGGAGGATTTCGTTGGAAACGGGATTACGTATAAAAAGTAGACAGCAGCATCCTCAGAAACTTCTTTGTGATGTGTGCATTCAAGTCACAGAGTTGAACATTCCCTTTAGTACAGCAGTTTTGAAACACTCTTTCTGTAGTATCTGGAAGTGAACATTAGGACAGCTTTCAGGTCTATGGTGAGAAAGGAAATATCTTCAAATAAAAACTAGACAGAAGCATTCTGATAAACTTGTTTGTGAAGAGTGATCTCAGCTAACAGAGGTGGATCTTTCTTTTGATAGAGCAGTTCTGAAAAACACTTTGTTGAATCTGCAAGTGGACATTTGGATAGATTTGAAGATTTCGTTGGAAACGGGAATATCTTCATATCAAATCTAGACAGAAGCATTCTCAGAAACGTCTTTGTGATGTTGGCATTCAACTCATAGAGTTGAAGATTCCCTTTCAGAGAGCAGCTTTGAAGCACTCTTTTTGTAGTATGTGCAAGGGGATATTTGGAGCGCTCTGAGGCCTACGGTGAAAAAGCAAATATCTTCCCATAACCACTAGACAGAAACATTCTCAGAAACTCCTTTATGACGTATGCACTCACCTAACAGAAAAGAACCTTCCTTTTGACAGAGCAGTTTTGATACACTCTTTTTGTAGAATCTGCAAGTGGATATTTGGATAGCTGTGAAGATTTCGTTGGAAACGGGAATATCTTCCTATAAACTCTAGACAGAAGCATTCTCAGAAACTGCTCTGTGATGTCTGCATTCAAGTCACAGAGCTGAACATTGCCTTTCATAGAGCAGGTTTGAAACACTCTTTTTGTAGTATATGGAAGTGGACGTTTCGGACGGTTTGAGGCCCATGGTGATAAAGGGAATATCTTCCCCTACAAGCTAGAAAGAAGCATTCTGTGAAACTTGTTTGTGATGTGTGTACTCAACTAACAGAGTTGAACCTTTCGTTTTACAGAGCAGTGTTGAACCACTCTTTCTGTAGAATCTGCGAGGGGATATTTGGATAGATTTCAGGATTTCCTTGGAAACGGGAATATCTTCATATAAAATCTCGACAGAAGCATTCTCAGAAACTTCTTTGTGATATCTGCATTCAAGTCACAGAGTTGAATATTCCCTTTCACAGAGTAGGTTTGAAACACTCTTTTTGTAGTATCTTTAAGTGGACATTTGGAGCGCCTTGACACCTACGGTGAAAAGGGAAATATCTTCCCATAAAAACTAGACAGAAGCAATCTCAGAATCTTCTTTGGGATATATGCACGCAGCTAACAGAGTTGAACCTTTCTATTGACAGAGCAGTTTTGAAACAGTCTTTCTGTGGAATCTGCAAGTGGATATTTGGATAGCTTGGAGGATTTCGTTGGAAACGGGATTACATATAAAAAGTAGACAGCAGCATCCTCAGAAACTCCTTTGTGATGTGTGCATTCAAGTCACAGAGTTGAACATTCCCTTTCGTACAGCAGTTTTGAAACACTCTTTCTGTAGTATCTGGAAGTGAACATTAGGACAGCTTTCAGGTCTATGGTGAGAAAGGAAACATCTTCAAATAAAAACTAGACAGAAGCATTCTCATAAACTTGTTTGTGATGTGTGAACTCAGCTAACAGAGGTGGATCTTTCTTTTGATACAGCAGTTTTGAAAAACACTTTTTGTTGAATCTGCAAGTGGACATTTGGATAGATTTGAAGATTTCATTGGAAACGGGAATATCTTCATATCAAATCTAGACAGAAGCATTCTCAGAAACGTCTTTGCGTTGTTTGCATTCAACTCATAGAGTTGAACATTCCGTTTCAGAAAGCAGCTTTGAGGCACTCTTTTTGTAGTATGTGCAAGTGGATATTTGGAGCGCTCTGAGGCCTACGGTGAAAAAGCAAATATCTTCCCATAACCACTAGACAGAAACATTCTCAGAAACTCCTTTATGACGTATGCACTCACCTAACAGAAAAGAACCTTCCTTTTGACAGAGCAGTTTTGATACACTCTTTTTGTAGAATCTGCAAGTGGATATTTGGATAGCTGTGAAGATTTCGTTGGAAACGGGAATATATTCCTATAAAATCTAGACAGAAGCATTCTCAGAAACTGCTACTGTGATGTCTGCATTCAAGTCACAGAGTTGAACATTGCCTTTCATAGAGCAGGTTTCAAGCACTCTTTTTTTAGTATATGGAAGTGGACGTTTCGGACGGTTTGAGGCCCATGGTGATAAAGGAAATATCTTCCCCTACAAGCTAGAAAGAAGCATTCTGTGAAACTTGTTTGTGATGTGTGTACTCAACTAACAGAGTTGAACCTTTCTTTTTACAGAGCAGTTTTGAAACACTCTTTTTGTAGAATCTGCGAGGGCATATTTGGATAGATTTCAGGATTTCGTTGGAAATGGGAATATCTTCATATAAAATCTCGACAGAAGCATTCTCAGAAGCTTCTTTGTGATATGTGCATTCAAGTCACAGAGTTGAATATTCCCTTTCACAGAGTAGGTTTGAAACACTCTTTTTGTAGTATCTGGAAGTGGACATTGGGAGTGCCTTGACGCCTACGGTGAAAAGGGAAATATCTTCTCATAAAAAGTAGACAGAAGCAATCTCAGAATCTGTTTTGGGATATATGCACGCAGCTAACAGAGTTGAACCTTTCTATTGACAGAGCAGTTTTGAAACAGTCTTTCTGTGGAATCTGCAAGTGGATATTTGGATAGCTTGGAGGATTTCGTTGGAAACGGGATTACGTATAAAAAGTAGACAGCAGCATCCTCAGAAACTTCTTTGTGATGTGTGCATTCAAGTCACAGAGTTGAACATTCCCTTTCGTACAGCAGTTTTGAAACACTCTTTCTGTAGTATCTGGAAGTGAACTTTAGGAGAGCTTTCAGGTCTATAGTGAGAAAGGATATATCTTCAAATAAAAGCTAGACAGAAGCATTCTCATAAACTTGTTTGTGATGTGTGAACTCAGCTAACAGAGGTGGATCTTTCTTTTGATAGAGCAGTTCTGAAAAACACTTTTTGTTGGATCTGCAAGTGGACATTTGGATAGATTTGAAGATTTCATTGGAAACGGGAATATCTTTATATCAAATCTAGACAGAAGCATTCTCAGAAACTTCTTTGTGATGTTTGCATTCAACTCATAGAGTTGAACATTCACTTTCAGAGAGCAGCTTTGAAGCACTCTTTTTGTAGTATGTGCAAGTGGATGTTTTGATCGCTCTGTGGCCTACGGTGAAAAAGCAAATATCTTCCCATAACCACTAGACAGAAACATTCTCAGAAACTCCTTTATGACGTATGCCCTCACCTAACAGAGAATAACCTTCCTTTTGACAGAGCATTTTTGATACACTCTTTTTGTAGCATCTGCAAGTGGATATTTGGATAGCTGTGAAGATTTCTTTGGAAACGGGAATATCTTCCTATAAAATCTAGACAGAAGCATTCTCAGAAACTGCTCTGTGATGTCTGCATTCAAGTCACAGAGTTGAACATTGCCTTTCATAGAGCAGGTTTGAAACGCTCTTTTTGTAGGATATGGAAGTGGACTTATCGGACGGTTGGAGGCCCATGGTGATAAAGGGAATATCTTCCCCTACAAGCTAGAAAGAAGCATTCTGTGAAACTTCTTTGTGATGTGTGTACTCAACTAACAGAGTTGAACCTTTCTTTTCACAGAGCTGTTTTGAAACACTCTTTTTATAAAATCTGCGAGGGGATATTTGGATAGATTTCAGGATTTCGTTGGAAACGGGAATATCTTCATATAAAATCTCGACAGAAGCATTCTCAGAAACTTCTTTGTGATATCTGCCTTTAAGTCACAGAGTTGAATATTCCCTTTCACAGAGTAGGTTTGAAACACTCTTTTTGTAGTATCTGGAAGTGGACATTTGGAGCGCCTTGTCACCTACGGTGAAAAGGGAAATATCTTCCCATAAAAACTAGACAGAAGCAATCTCAGAATCTTCTTTGGGATATATGCACGCAGCTAACAGAGTTGAACCTTTCTATTGACAGAGCAGTTTTGAAACAGTCTTTCTGTGGAATCTGCAAGTGGATATTTGGATAGATTGGAGGATTTCGTTGGAAACGGGATTACGTATAAAAAGTGGACAGCAGCATCCTGAGAAACTTCCTTGTGATGTGTGCATTCAAGTCACAGAGTTGAATATTCCCTTTCGTACAGCAGTTTTGAAACACTCTTTCTGTAGTATCTGGAAGTGAACTTTAGGAGAGCTTTCAGGTCTATAGTGAGAAAGGATATATCTTCAAATAAAAACTAGACAGAAGCATTCTCATAAACTTGTTTGTGATGTGTGAACTCAGCTAACAGAGGTGGATCTTTCTTTTGATAGAGCAGTTCTGAAAAACACTTTTTGTTGAATCTGCAAGTGGACATTTCGATAGATTTGAAGATTTCGCTGGAAACGGGAATATCTTCATATCAAATCTAGACAGAAGCATTCTCAGAAACGTCTTTGCGATGTTTGCATTCAACTCATAGAGTTGAACATTCCGTTTCAGAGAGCAGTATGAGGCACTCTTTTTGTAGTATGTGCAAGTGGATATTTGGAGCGCTCTGAGGCCTACGGTGAAAAAGCAAATATCTTCCCATAACCACTAGACAGAAACATTCTCAGAAACTGCTTTATGACGTATGCACTCACCTAACAGAGAAGAACCTTCCTTTTGACAGAGCAGTTTTGACACACTCTTTTTGTAGAATCTGCAAGTGGATATTTGGATAGCTGTGAAGATTTCGTTGGAAACGGGAATATCTTCCTATAAAATCTAGACAGAAGCATTCTCAGAAACTGCTCTGTGATGTCTGCATTCAAGTCACAGAGTTGAACATTGCCTTTCATAGAGCAGGTTGGAAATGCTCTTTTTGTAGTATATGGAAGTGGACGTTTCAGACGGTTTGAGGCCCATGGTGATAAAGGGAATATCTTCCACTACAAGCTAGAAAGAAGCATTCTGTGAAACTTGTTTGTGATGTGTGTACTCAACTAACAGAGTTGAACCTTTCTTTTTACAGAGCAGTTTTGAAACACTCTTTTTGTAGAATCTGCGAGGGGATATTTGGATACATTTCAGGATTTTGTTGGAAACGGGAATATCTTCATATAAAATCTCGACAGAAGCATTCTCAGAAACTTCTTTGTGATATGTGCATTCAAGTCACAGAGTTGAATATTCCCTTTCACAGAGTAGGTTTGAAACACTCTTTTTGTAGTATCTGGAAGTGGACATTTGGAGCGCGTTGACACCTACGGTGAAAAGGGAAATATCTTCCCATAAAAACTAGACAGAAGCAATCTCAGAATCTTCTTTGGGATATATGCACGCAGCTAACAGAGTTGAACCTTTCTATTGACAGAGCAGTTTTGAAACAGTCTTTCTGTGGAATCTGCAAGTGGATATTTGGATAGCTTGGAGGATTTCGCTGGAAACGGGATTACGTATAAAAAGTAGACAGCAACATCCTCAGAACCTTCTTTGTGATGTGTGCATTCAAGTCACAGAGTTGAACATTCCCTTTCGTACAGCAGTTTTTAAACACTCTTTCTGTGGTATCTGGAAGTGAACATTAGGACAGCTTTCAGGTCTATGGTGAGAAAGGAAATATCTTCAAATAAAAACTAGACAGAAGCATTCTCATAAACTTGTTTGTGATGTGTGAACTCAGCTAACAGAGGTGGATCTTTCTTTTGATAGAGCAGTTCTGAAAAACACTTTTTGTTGAATCTGCAAGTGGACATTTGGATAGATTTGAAGATTTCGTTGGAAACGGGAATATCTCCATATCAAATCTAGACAGAAGCATTCTCAGAAACGTCTTTGTGATGTTTGCATTCAACTCATAGAGTTGAACATTCCGTTTCAGAGAGCAGCTTTGAAGCACTCTTTTTGTAGTATGTGAAAGTGGATATTTGGAGCGCTGTGAGGCCTAAGGTGAAAAAGCAAATATCTTCCCGTAACCACTAGACAGAAACATTCTCAGAAACTCCTTTATGACGTGTGCACTCACCTAACAGAGAAGAACTTTCCTTTTGACAGAGCAGTTTTGATACACTCTTTTTGTAGAATCTGCAAGTGGATATTTGGATAGCTGTGAAGATTTCGTTGGAAACGGGAATATCTTCCTATAAAATCTAGACAGAAGCATTCTCAGAAACTGCTCTGTGATGTCTGCATTCAAGTCACAGAGTTGAACATTGCCTTTCATAGAGCAGGTTTGAAACACTCTTTTTGTAGTATATGCAAGTGGACGTTTCGGACGGTTTGAGGCCCATGGTGATAAAGGGAATATCTTCCCCTACAAGCTAGAAAGAAGCATTCTGTGAAACTTGTTTGTGATGTGTGTACTCAACTAACAGAGTTGAACCTTTCTTTTTACAGAGCAGTTTTGAAACACTCTTTTTGTAGAATCTGCGAGTGGATATTTGGATACATTTCAGGATTTCGTTGGAAACGGGAATATCTTCATATAAAATCTCGACAGAAGCATTCTCAGAAACTTCTTTGTGATATGTGCATTCAAGTCACAGAGTTGAATATTCCCTTTCGCAGAGTAGGTTTGAAACACTCTTTTTGTAGTATCTGGAAGTGGACATTTGGAGTGCCTTGACGCCTACGGTGAAAAGGGAAATATCTTCCCATAAAAACTAGACAGAAGCAATCTCAGAATCTTCTTTGGGATATATGCACGCAGCTAACAGAGTTGAACCTTTCTATGGACAGAGTAGTTTTGAAATAGTCTTTCTGTGGAATCTGCAAGTGGATATTTGGATAGCTTGGAGGATTTCGTTGGAAACGGGATTACGTATAAAAAGTAGACAGCAGCATTCTCAGAAACTGCTCTGTGATGTCTGCATTCAAGTCACAGTAGTTGAACATTCCCTTTCATACAGCAGTTTTGAAACACTCTTTCTGTAGTATCTGGAAGTGAACATTAGGACAGCTTTCAGGTCTATGGTGAGAAAGGAAATATCTTCAAATAAAAACTAGACAGAAGCATTCTCATAAACTTGTTTGTGATGTGTGAACTCAGCTAACAGAGGTGGATCTTTCTTTTGATAGAGCAGTTGTGAAAAACACTTTTTGTTGAATCTGCAAGTGGACATTTGGATAGATTTGAAGATTTCGTTGGAAACGGGAATATCTTCATATCAAATCTAGACAGAAGCATTCTCAGAAACGTCTTTGTGATGTTTGCATTCAACTCATAGAGTTGAACATTCAGCTTCAGAGAGCACCTTTTAAGCACTCTTTTTGTAGTATGTGCAAGTGGATATTTAGAGCGCTGTGAGGCCTACGGTGAAAAAGCAAATATCTTCCCATAACCACTAGACAGAAACATTCTCAGAAACTCCTTTATGACGTATGCACTCACCTAACAGAGAAGAACCTTCCTTTTGACAGAGCAGTTTTGATACACTCTTTTTGTAGAATCTGCAAGTGGATATTTGGATAGCTGTGAAGATTTCGATGGAATCGGGAATATCTTCCTACAAAATCTAGACAGAAGCATTCTCAGAAACTGCTCTGTGATGTCTG
This sequence comes from Homo sapiens, assembly GCF_000001405.40. NCBI lineage: Eukaryota > Metazoa > Chordata > Mammalia > Primates > Hominidae > Homo > Homo sapiens. The sequence goes on from NC_000013.11 coordinate 16,453,813, forward strand.
CATTCAAGTCACAGAGTTGAACATTGCCTTTCATAGAGCAGGTTTGAAATGCTCTTTTTGTAGTATATGGAAGTGGACTTATCGGACGGTTTGAGGCCCATGGTGATAAAGGGAATATCTTCCCCTACAAGCTAGAAAGAAGCATTGTGTGAAAGTTGTTTGTGATGTGTGTACTCAACTAACAGAGTTGAACCTTTCTTTTTACAGAGCAGTTTTGAAACACTCTTTTTGTAGAATCTGCGAGGGGATATTTGGATACATTTCAGGATTTCGTTGGAAACGGGAATATCTTCATATAAAATCTCGACAGAAGCATTCTCAGAAGCTTCTTTGTGATATGTGCATTCAAGTCACAGAGTTGAATATTCCCTTTCACAGAGTAGGTTTGAAACACTCTTTTTGTAGTATCTGGAAGTGGACATTTAGAGCGCCTTGACGCCTACGGTGAAAAGGGAAATATCTTCTCATAAAAAGTAGACAGAAGCAATCTCAGAATCTTCTTTGGGATATGTGCACGCAGCTAACAGAGTTGAACCTTTCTATTGACAGAGCAGTTTTGAAACAGTCTTTCTGTGGAATCTGCAAGTGGATATTTGGATAGCTTGGAGGATTTCGTTGGAAACGGGATTACGTATAAAAAGTAGACAGCAGCATCCTCAGAAACTTCTTTGTGATGTGTGCATTCAAGTCACAGAGTTCAACATTCCCTTTCGTACAGCAGTTTTGAAACACTCTTTCTGTAGTAACTGGAAGTGAACATTAGGACAGCTTTCAGGTCTATGGTGAGAAAGGAAATATCTTCAAATAAAAACTAGACAGAAGCATTTTCATAAACTTGTTTGTGATGTGTGAACTCAGCTAACAGAGGTGGATCTTTCTTTTGATAGAGCAGTTCTGAAAAACACTTTTTGTTGAATCTGCAAGTGGACATTTAGATAGATTTGAAGATTTCGTTGGAAACGGGAATATCTTCATATCAAATCTATACAGAAGCATTCTCAGAAACGTCTTTGTGATGTTTGCATTCAACTCATAGAGTTGAACATTCCGTTTCAGAGAGCAGCTTTGAGGCACACTTTTTGTAGTATGTGCAAGTGGATATTTGGAGAGCTCTGAGGCCTACGGTGAAAAAGCAAATATCTTCCCATAACCACTAGACAGAAACATTCTCAGAAACTCCTTTATGACGTATGCACTCACCTAACAGAGAACAACCTTCCTTTTGACAGAGCAGTTTTGATACACTCTTTTTGTAGAATCTGCAAGTGGATATTTGGATAGCTGTGAAGATTTCGTTGGAAACGGGAATATCTTCCTATAAAATCTAGACAGAAGCATTCTCAGAAACTTCTTTGTGATATCTGCATTCAAGTCACAGAGTTGAATATTCCGTTTCACAGAGTAGGTTTGAAACACTCTTTTTGTAGTATCTGGAAGTGGACATTTGGAGCGCCTTGACGCCTACGGTGAAAAGGGAAATATCTTCTCATAAAAAGTAGACACAAGCAATCTCAGAATCTTCTTTGGGATATATGCACGCAGCTAACAGAGTTGAACCTTTCTATTGACAGAGCAGTTTTGAAACAGTCTTTCTGTGGAATCTGCAAGTGGATATTTGCATAGCTTGGAGGATTTCGTTGGAAACGGGATTACGTATAAAAAGTAGACAGCAGCATCCTCAGAAACTTCTTTGTGATGTGTGCATTCAAGTAACAGAGTTGAACATTCCCTTTCGTACAGCAGTTTTGAAACACTCTTTCTGTAGTATCTGGAAGTGAACATTAGGACAGCTTTCAGGTCTATGGTGAGAAAGGAAATATCTTCAAATAAAAACTAGACAGAAGCATTCTCATAAACTTGTTTGTGATGTGTGAACTCAGCTAACAGAGGTGGATCTTTCTTTTGATAGAGCAGTTCTGAAAAACACTTTTTGTTGAATCTGCAAGTGGACATTTGGATAGATTTGAAGATTTCGTTGGAAACGAGAATATCTTCATATCAAATCTAGACAGAAGCATTCTCAGAAACGTCTTTGTGATGTTTGCATTCAACTCATAGAGTTGAACATTCCGTTTCAGAGAGCAGCTTTGAGGCACTCTTTTTGTAGTTTGTGCAAGTGGATATTTGGAGCGCTCTGAGGCCTACGGTGAAAAAGCAAATATCTTCCCATAACCACTAGACAGAAACATTCTCAGAAACTCCTTTATGACGTATGTACTCAACTAACAGAGAAGAACCTTCCTTTTGACAGAGCAGTTTTGATACACTCTTTTTGTAGAATCTGCAAGTGGATATTTGGATAGCTGTGAAGATTTCGTTTGAAACGGGAATATCTTCCTATAAAATCTAGACGGAAGCATTCTCAGAAACTGCTCTGTGATGTCTGCATTCAAGTCACAGAGTTGAACATTGCCTTTCATAGAGCAGGTTTGAAACGCTCTTTTTGTAGTATATGGAAGTGGACGTTTCGGACGGTCTGAGGCCCATGGTGATAAAGGGAATATCTTCCCCTACAAGCTAGAAAGAAGCATTCTGTGAAACTTGTTTGTGATGTGTGTACTCAACTAACAGAATTGAACCTTTCTTTTCACAGAGCAGTTTTGAAACACTCTTTTTGTAGAATCTGCGAGGGGATATTTGGATAGATTTCAGCATTTCGTTGGAAACGGGAATATCTTCATATAAAATCTCGACAGAAGCATTCTCAGAAACTTCTTTGTGATATGTGCATTCAAGTCACAGAGTTGAATATTCCCTTTCACAGAGTAGGTTTGAAACACTCTTTTTGAGGTATCTGGAAGTGGATATTTGGAGCGCCTTGACGCCTACGGTGAAAAGGGAAATATCTTCCCATAAAAACTAGACAGCAGAAATCTCAGAATCTTCTTTGGGATATATGCACGCAGCTAACAGAGTTGAACCTTTCTATTGACAGAGCAGTTTTGAAACAGTCTTTCTGTGGAATCTGCAATTGGATATTTGGATAGCTTGGAGGATTTCGTTGGAAACGGGATTACGTATAAAAAGTAGACAGCAGCATCCTCAGAAACTTCTTTGTGATGTGTGCATTCAAGTCACAGAGTTGAACTTCCCTTTCGTACAGCAGTTTTGAAACACTCTTTCTGTAGTAACTGGAAGTGAACATTAGGACAGCTTTCAGGTCTATGGTGAGAAAGGAAATATCTTCAAATAAAAACTAGACAGAAGCATTCTCATAAACTTGTTTGTGATGTGTGAACTCAGCTAACAGAGGTGGATCTTTCTTTTGATGGAGCAGTTCTGAAAAACACTTTTTGTTGAATCTGCAAGTGCACATTTGGATAGATTTGAAGATTTCGTTGGAAACGGGAATATCTTCATATCAAATCTAGACAGAAGCATTCTCAGAAACGTCTTTGTGATGTTTGCATTCAACTCATAGAGTTGAACATTCCGTTTCAGAGACCAGCTTTGAAGCACTCTTTTTGTAGTATGTGCAAGTGGATATTTGGAGCGCTCTGTGGCCTACGGTGAAAAAGCAAATATCTTCCCATAACCACTAGACAGAAACATTCTCAGAAACTCCTTTATGACGTATGCACTCACCTAACAGAGAAGAACCTTCCTTTTGACAGAGCAGTTTTGATACACTCTTTTTGTTGAATCTGCAAGTGGATATTTGGATAGCTGTGAAGATTTCGTTGGAAACGGGAATATCTTCCTATAAAATCTAGACAGAAGCATTCTCAGCAAACTGCTCTGTGATGTCTGCATTCAAGTCACAGAGTTGAACATTGTCTTTCATAGAGCAGGTTTGAAGCGTTCTTTTTGTAGTATATGGAAGTGGACGTTTCGGACGGTTTGAGGCCCATGGTGATAAAGGGAATATCTTCCCCTACAAGCTAGAAAGAAGCATTCTGTGAAACTTGTTTCTGATGTGTGTACTCAACTAACAGAGTTGAACCTTTCTTTTTACAGAGCAGTTTTGAAACACTCTTTTTGTAGAATCTGCGAGGGGATATTTGGATAGATTTCAGGATTTTGTTGGAAACGGGAATATCTTCATATAAAATCTCGACAGAAGCATTCTCAGAAACTTCTTTGTGATATCTGCATTCAAGTCACAGAGTTGAATATTCCCTTTCACAGAGTAGGTTTGAAACACTCTTTTTGTAGTATCTGGAAGTGGACATTTGGAGCGCCTTGACGCCTATGGTGAAAAGGGAAATATCTTCCCATAAAAACTAGACAGAAGCAATCTCAGAATCTTCTTTGGGATATATGCACGCAGCTAACAGAGTTGAACCTTTCTATTGACAGAGCAGTATTGAAACAGTCTTTTTGTGAAATCTGCAAGTGGATATTTGGATAGCTTGGAGGATTTCGTTGGAAACGGGATTACGTATAAAAAGTAGACAGCAGCATCCTCAGAAACTTCTTTGTGATGTGTGCATTCAAGTCACAGAGTTGAACATTCCCTTTCGTACAGCAGTTTTAAAACACTCTTTCTGTAGTATCTGGAAGTGAACATTAGGACAGCTTTCAGGTCTATGGTGAGAAAGGAAATATCTTCAAATAAAAACTACACAGAAGCATTCTCATAAACTTGTTTGTGATGTGTGAACTCAGCTAACAGAGGTGGATCTTTCTTTTGATAGAGCAGTTCTGAAAAACACTTTTTGTAGAATCTGCAAGTGGACATTTGGATAGATTTGCAGATTTCGTTGGTAACGGGAATATCTTCATATCAAATCTAGACAGAAGCATTCTCAGAAACGTCTTTGTGATGTTTGCATTCAACTCATAGAGTTGAACATTCCGTTTCAGAGAGCAGGTTTGAAGCAATCTTTTTGTAGTATGTGCAAGTGGACATTTGGAGCGCTCTGAGGCCTACGGTGAAAAAGCAAATATCTTCCCATAACCACTAGACAGAAACATTCTCAGAAACTCCTTTATGACGTATGCACTCACCTAACAGAGAAGAACCTTCCTTTTGACTGAGCAGTTTGATACACTCTTTTTGTAGAATCTGAAAGTGGATATTTGGATAGCTGTGAAGATTTCGTTGGAAACGGGAATATCTTCCTATAAAATCTAGACAGAAGCATTCTCAGAAACTGCTCTGTGATGTCTGCATTCAACTCACAGAGTTGAACATTGCCTTTCATAGAGCAGGTTTGAAACACTCTTTTTGTAGTAAATGGAAGTGGACGTTTCGGACGGTTTGAGGCCCATGGTGATAAAGGGAATATCTTCCCCTACAAGCTAGAAAGAAGCAATCTCAGAATTTTCTTTGGGATATACGCACACAGCTAACAGAGTTGAACTTTTCTATTGACATAGCAGTTTTGAAACAGTCTTTCTGTGGAATCTGCAAGTAGATATTTTGATAGCTTGGAGGATTTCGTTGGAAACGGGATTACGTATAAAAATTAGACAGCAGCATCCTCAGAAACTTCTTTGTGAAGTTTCTGCATTCTAGTCACAGAGTTGAACATTCCCTTTCGTACAGCAGTTTTGTATCTGGAAGTGGACATTTGGAGCGCCTTGACACCTACGGTGAAAAGGGAAATATCTTCCCATAAAAACTAGACAGAAGCAATCTCAGAATCTTCTTTGGGATATATGCACGCAGCTAACAGAGTTGAACCTTTCTATTGACAGAGCAGTTTTGAAACAGTCTTTCTGTGGAATCTGCAAGTGGATATTTGGATAGCTTGGAGGATTTCTTTGGAAACGGGATTACGTGTAAAAAGTAGACAGCAGCATCCTCAGAAACATCCTTGTGATGTGTGCATTCAAGTCACAGAGTTGAACATTCCCTATCGTACAGCAGTTTTGAAACACTCTTTCTGTAGTATCTGGAAGTGAACTTTAGGACAGCTTTCAGGTCTATAGTGAGAAAGGATATATCTTCAAATAAAAACTAGACAGAAGCATTCTCATAAACTTGTTTGTGATGTGTGAACTCAGCTAACAGAGGTGGATCTTTCTTTTGATAGAGCAGTTCTGAAAAACACTTCTTGTTGAATCTGCAAGTGGACATTTGGATAGATTTGAAGATTTCATTGGAAACGGGAATATCTTCATATCAAATCTAGACAGAAGCATTCTCAGAAACGTCTTTGTCATGTTTGCATTCAACTCATAGAGTTGAACATTCCCTTTCAGAGAGCAGCTTTGAAACACTCTTTTTGAAGTATGTGCAAGTGGATATTTGGAGCGCTCTGAGGCCTACGCTGAAAAAGCAAATATCTTCCCATAACCACTAGACAGAAACATTCTCAGAAACTCCTTTATGACGTATGGCACTCACCTAACAGAAAAGAACCTTCCTTTTGACAGAGCAGTTTTGATACACTCTTTTTGTAGAATCTGCAAGTGGATATTTGGATAGCTGTGAAGATTTCGTTGGAAACGGGAATATCTTCCTATAAAATCTAGACAGAAGCATTCTCAGAAACTGCTCTGTGATGTCTGCATTCAAGTCACAGAGTTGAACATTGCCTTTCATAGAGCAGGTTTGAAACACTCTTTTTGTAGTATATGGAAGTGGACATTTCGGAAGGTTTGAGGCCCATGGTGATAAAGGGAATATCTTCCCCTACAAGCTAGAAAGAAGCATTCTGTGAAACTTGTTTGTGATGTGTGTACTGAACTAACAGAGTTGAACCTTTCTTTTTACAGAGCAGTTTTGAAACACTCTTTTTGTAGAATCTGCGAGGGGATATTTGGAGAGATTTCAGGATTTCGTTGGAAACGGGAATATCTTCATATAAAATCTCGACAGAAGCATTCTCAGAAACATCTTTGTGATATCTGCATTCAAGTCACAGAGTTGCATATTCCCTTTCACAGAGTAGGTTTTAAACACTCTTTTTGTAGTATCTGGAAGTGGACATTTGGAGTGCCTTGACGTCTACGGTGAAAAGGGAAATATCTTCCCATAAAAACTAGACAGAAGCAATCTCAGAATTTTCTTTGGGATATATGCACACAGCTAACAGAGTTGAACTTTTCTATTGACATAGCAGTTTTGAAACAGTCTTTCTGTGGAATCTGCAAGTGGATATTTGGATAGCTTGGAGGATTTCGTTGGAAACGGGATTACGGTATAAAAAGTAGACAGCAGCATCCTCAGGAACTTCTTTGTGATGTGTGCATTCAAGTCACAGAGTTGAACATTCCCTTCCGTACAGCAGTTTTGAAACACTCTTTCTGTAGTATCTGGAAGTGAACATTAGGACAGCTTTCAGGTCTATGGTGAGAAAGGAAATATCTTCAAATAAAAACTAGACAGAAGCATTCTCATAAACTTGTTTGTGATGTGTGAACTCAGCTAACAGAGGTGGATCTTTCTTTTGATACAGCAGTTCTGAAAAACACTTTTTGTTGAATCTGCAAGTGGACATTAGGATAGATTTGAAGATTTCGTTGGAAACGGGAATATCTTCATATCAAATCTAGACAGAAGCATTCTCAGAAACGTCTTTGTGATGTTTGCATTCAACTCATAGAGTTGAACATTCCGTTTCAGAGAGCAGCTTTGAAGCACTCTTTTTGTAGTATGTGCAAGTGGATATTTGGAGCGCTGTGAGGCCTAAGGTGAAAAAGCAAATATCTTCCCGTAACCACTAGACAGAAACATTCTCAGAAACTCCTTTATGACGTATGCACTCACCTAACAGAGAAGAACCTTCCTTGTGACAGAGCAGTTTTGATACACTTTTTTTGTAGAATCTGCAAGTGGATATTTGGATAGCTGTGAAGATTTCGTTGGAAACGGGAATATCTTCCTATAAAATCTAGACAGAAGCATTCTCAGAAACTGCTCTGTGATGTCTGCATTCAAGTCACAGAGTTGAACATTGCCTTTCCTAGAACAGGTTTGAAACGCTCTTTTTGTAGTATATGGAAGTGGACGTTTCGGACGGTTTGAGGCCCATGCTGATAAAGGGAATATCTTCCCCTACAAGATAGAAAGAAGCATTCTGTGAAACTAGTTTGTGATGTGTGTACTCAACTAACAGAGTTGAACCTTTCTTTTTACAGAGCAGTTTTGAAACACTCTTTTTGTAGAATCTGCGAGGGGATATTTGGATACATTTCAGCATTTCGTTGGAAACGGGAATATCTTCATATAAAATCTCGACAGAAGCATTCTCAGAAACTTCTTTGTGATATCTGCATTCAAGTCACAGAGTTGAATATTCCCTTTCACAGAGTAGGTTTGAAACACTCTTTTTGTAGTATCTGGAAGTGGACATTTGGAGCGCCTTGACGCCTACGGTGAAAAGGGAAATATCTTCCCATTAAAACTAGAGAGAAGCAATCTCAGAATCTTCTTTGGGATATATGCACTCAGCTAACAGAGTTGAACCTTTCTATTGACAGAGCAGTTTTGAAACAGTCTTTCTGTGGAATCTGCAAGTGGATATTTGGATAGCTTGGAGGATTTCGTTGGAAACGGGATTACGTATAAAAAGTAGACAGCAGCATCCTCCGAAACTTCTTTGTGATGTGTGCATTCAAGTCACAGAGTTGAACATTCCTTTTCGTACAGCAGTTTTGAAACACTCTTTCTGTAGTATCTGGAAGTGAACATTAGGACAGCTTTCAGGTCTATGGTGAGAAAGGAAATATCTTCAAATAAAAACTAGACAGAAGCATTCTCATAAACTTGTTTGTGATGTGTGAACTCAGCTAACAGAGGTGGATCTTTCTTTTGATAGAGCAGTTCTGAAAAACACTTTTTGTTGAATCTGCAAGTGGACATTTGGATAGATTTGAAGATTTCGTTGGAAACGGGAATATCTTCATATCAAATCTAGAAAGAAGCATTCTCAGAAACGTCTTTGTGATGTTTGCATTCAACTCATAGAGTTGAACATTCCCTTTCAGAGAGCAGCTTTGAAGCACTCTTTTTGTAGCATGTGTAAGTGGACATTTGGAGCGCCCTGAGGCCTACGGGGAAAAAGGAAATATCTTCCCATAACCACTAGAGAGAAACATTCTCAGAAACTCCTTTATGACGTATGTACTCAACTGACAGAGAAGAACCTTCCTTTTGACAGAGCAGTTTTGATACACTCTTTTTGTAGAATCTGCAAGTGGATATTTGGATAGCTGTGAAGATTTCGTTGGAAACGGGAATATCTTCCTATAAAATCTAGACAGAAGCATTCTCAGAAACTGCTCTGTGATGTCTGCATTCAAGTCACAGAGTTGAACATTGCCTTTCCTAGAGCAGGGTTGAAACGCTCTTTTTGTAGTATATGGAAGTGGACGTTTCGGACGGTTTGAGGCCCATGGTGATAAAGGGAATATCTTCCCCTACAAGCTAGAAAGAAGCATTCTGTGAAACTTGTTTGTGATGTGTGTACTCAACTAACAGAGTTGAACCTTTCTTTTTACAGAGCAGTTTTGAAACACTCTTTTTGTAGAATCTGCGAGGGGATATTTCGATAGATTTCAGGATTTCGTTGGAAACGGTAATATCTTCATATAAAATCTCGACAGAAACATTCTCAGAAACTTCATTGTGATATCTGCATTCAAGTCACAGAGTTGAATATTCCCTTTCAGAGAGTAGGTTTGAAACACTCTTTTTGTAGTATCTGGAAGTGGACATTTGGAGCGCCTTGACACCTACGGTGAAAAGGGAAATATCTTCCCATAAAAACGAGACAGAAGCAATCTCAGAATCTTCTTTGGGATATATGCACGCAGCTAACAGAGTTGAACCTTTCTATTGACAGAGCAGTTTTGTAACAGTCTTTCTGTGGAATCTGCAAGTGGATATTTGGATAGCTTGGAGGATTTCGTTGGAAACGGGATTACCTATAAAAAGTAGACAGCAGCATCCTCAGAAACTTCTTTGTGATGTGTGCATTCAAGTCACAGAGTTAAATATTCCCTTTCGTACAGCAGTTTTGAAAAACTCTTTCTGTAGTATCTGGAAGTGAACATTAGGACAGCATTCAGGTCTATGGTGAGAAAGGAAATATCTTCAAATAAAAACTAGACAGAAGCATTCTCATAAACTTGTTTGTGATGTGTGAACTCAGCTAACAGAGGTGGATCTTTCTTTTGATAGAGCAGTTCTGAAAAACACTTTTTGTTGAATCTGCAAGTGGACATTTGGATAGATTTGAAGATTTCGTTGGAAACGGGAATATCTTCATATCAAATCTAGACAAAAAGCATTCTCAGAAACGTCTTTGTGATGTTTGCATTCAACTCATAGAGTTGAACATTCCCTTCCAGAGAGTAGCTTTGAAGCACTCTTTTTGTAGCATGTGCAAGTGGACATTTGGAGCGCCCTGAGGCCTACGGGGAAAAAGCAAATATCTTCCCATAACCACTAGACAGAAACATTCTCAGAAACTCCTTTATGACGTATGCACTCACCTAACAGAGAAGAACCTTCCTTTTGACAGAGCAGTTTTGATACACTCTTTTTGTAGAATCTGCCAGTGGATATTTGGATAGCTGTGAAGATTTCGTTGGAAACGGGAATATCTTCATATCAAATCTAGACAGAAAGCATTCTCAGAAACTGCTCTGTGATGTCTGCATTCAAGTCACAGAGTTGAACATTGCCTTTCATAGAGCAGGTTTGAAACGCTCTTTTTGTAGTATATGGAAGTGGACTTATCGGACGGTTTGAGGCCCATGGTGATAAAGGGAATATCTTCCCCTACAAGCTAGAAAGAAGCATTCTGTGAAACTTGTTTGTGAAGTGTGTACTCAACTAACAGAGTTGAACCTTTCTTTTTACAGAGCAGTTTTGAAACACTCTTTTTGTAGAATCTGCGAGGGGATATTTGGATAGATTTCAGGATTTCATTGGAAACGGGAATATCTTCATATAAAATCTCGACAGAAGCATTCTCAGAAACTTCTTTGTGATATGTGCATTCAAGTCACAGAGTTGAATATTCCCTTTCACAGAGTAGGTTTGAAACACTCTTTTTGTAGAATCTGGAAGTGGACATTTGGAGCGCCTTGACACCTACGGTGAAAAGGGAAATATCTTCCCATAAAAACTAAACAGAAGCAATCTCAGAATTTTCTTTGGGATATATGCACACAGCTAACAGAGTTGAACTTTTCTATTGACAGAGCAGTTTTGAAACAGTCTTTCTGTGGAATCTGCAAGTGGATATTTGGATAGCTTGGAGGATTTCGTTGGAAACAGGATTACGTATAAAAAGTAGACAGCAGCATCCTCAGAAACTTCTTTGAGATGTGTGCATTCAAGTCACAGAGTTGAACATTCCCTTTCGTACAGCAGTTTTGAAACACTCTTTCTGTAGTATCTGGAAGTGAACATTAGGACAGCTTTCAGCTCTATGGTGAGAAAGGAAATATCTTCAAATAAAAACTAGACAGAAGCATTCTCATAAACTTGTTTGTGATGGGTGAACTCAGCTAACAGAGGTGGATCTTTCTTTTGATAGAGCAGTTCTGAAAAACACTTTTTGTTGAATCTGCAAGTGGACATTTGGATAGATTTGAAGATTTCGTTGGAAACGGGAATACCTTCATATCAAATCTAGACAGAAGCATTCTCAGAAACGTATTTGTGATGTTTGCATTCAACTCACAGAGTTGAACATTCCCTTTCAGAGCGCAGCTTTGAAGCACTCTTTTTGTAGTATGTGCAAGGGGATATTTGGAGCGCTCTGAGGCCTACGGTGAAAAAGCAAATATCTTCCCATAACCACTAGACAGAAACATTCTCAGAAACTCCTTTATGACGTATGTACTCAACTAACAGAGAAGAACCTTCCTTTTGACAGAGCAGTTTTGATACACTCTTTTTGTAGAATCTGCAAGTGGATATTTGGATAGCTGTGAAGGTTTCGTTGGAAACGGGAATATCTTCCTATAAAATCTAGACAGAAGCATTCTCAGAAACTGCTCTGTGATGTCTGCATTCAAGTCACAGAGTTGAACATTGCCTTTCATAGAGCAGGTTTGAAACGCTCTTTTTGTAGTATATGGAAGTGGACTTTTCGGACAGTTTGAGGCCCATGGTGATAAAGGGAATATCTTCCCCTACAAGCTAGAAAGAAGCATTCTGTGAAACTTGTTTGTGATGTGTGTACTCAACTAAGAGAGTTGAACCTTTCTTTTCACAGAGCAGTTTTGAAACACTCCTTTTGTAGAATCTGCGAGGGGATATTAGGATAGATTTCAGGATTTCGTTGGAAACGGGAATATCTTCATACAAAATCTCGACAGAAGCATTCTCAGAAACTTCTTTGTGATATGTGCATTCAAGTCACAGAGTTGAATATTCCCTTTCACAGAGTAGGTTTGAAGCACTCTTTTTGTAGTATCTGGAAGTGGACATTTGGAGCGCCTTGACACCTACGGTGAAAAGGGAAATATCTTCCCATAAAAACTAGACAGAAAGCAATCTCAGAATCTTCTTTGGGATATATGCACGCAGCTAACAGAGTTGAACCTTTCTATTGACAGAGCAGTTTTGAAACAGTCTTTCTGTGGAATCTGTAAGTGGATATTTGGATAGCTTGGAGGATTTCGTTGGTAACGGGATTACGTATAAAAATTAGACAGCAGCATCCTCAGAAACTTCTTTGTGATGTGTGCATTCAAGTCACAGAGTTGAACATTCCCTTTCGTACAGCAGTTTTGAAACACTCTTTCTGTAGTATCTGGAAGTGAACATTAGGACAGCTTTCAGGTCTATCGTGAGAAAGGAAATATCTTCAAATAAAAACTAGACAGAAGCATTCTCATAAACCTGTTTCTGATGTGTGAACTCAGCTAACAGAGGTGGATCTTTCTTTTGATAGAGCAGTTCTGAAAAACACTTTTTGTTGAATCTGCAAGTGGACATTTGGATAGATTTGAAGATTTCGTTGGAAACGGGAATATCTTCATATCAAATCTAGACGGAAGCATTCTCAGAAACGTTTTTGTGATGTTTGCATTCAACTCATAGAGTTGAACATTCCGTTTCAGAGAGCAGCTTTGAAGCACTCTTTTTGTAGTATGTGCAAGTGGATATTTGGAGCGCTCTGAGGCCTACGGTGAAAAAGCAAATATCTTCCCATAACCACTAGACAGAAACATTCTCAGAAACTCCTTTATGACGTGTGCACTCACCTAACAGAGAAGAACCTTCCTTTTGAAAGAGCAGTTTTGATACACTCTTTTTGTAGAATCTGCAAGTGGATATTTGGATAGCTGTGAAGATTTCGTTGGAAACGGGAATATCTTCCTATAAAATCTAGACAGAAGCATTCTCAGAAACTGCTCTGTGATGTCTGCATTCAAGTCACAGAGTTGAACATTGCCTTTCATAGAGCAGGTTTGAAACGCTCTTTTTGTAGTATATGGAAGTGGACTTTTTGGACGGTTTGAGGCCCATGGTGATAAAGGGAATATCTTCCCCTACAAGCTAGAAAGAAGCATTCTGTGAAACTTGTTTGTGATGTGTGTACTCAACTAACAGAGTTGAACCTTTCTTTTTACAGAGCAGTTTTGAAACACTCTTTTTGTAGAATCTGTGAGGGGATATTTGGATAGATTTCAGGATTTCGTTGGAAACGGGAATATCTTCATAGAAAATCTCGACAGAAGCATTCTCAGAAACTTCTTTGTGATATGTGCATTCAAGTCACAGAGTTCAATATTCCCTTTCACAGAGTAGGTTTGAAACACTCTTTTTGTAGTATCTGGAAGTGGACATTTGGAGCGCCTTGACGCCTACGGTGAAAAGGGAAATATCTTCCCATAAAAACTAGACAGAAGCAATCTCAGAATCTTCTTTGGGATATATGCACGCAGCTAACAGAGTTGAACCTTTCTATTGACAGAGCAGTTTTGAAACAGTCTTTCTGTGGAATCTCCAAGTGGATATTTGGATAGCTTGGAGGATTTCGTTGGAAACGGGATTACGTATAAAAAGTAGACAGCAGCATCCTCAGAAACTTCTTTGTGATGTGTGCATTCAAGTCACAGAGTTGAACATTCCCTTTCGTACAGCAGTTTTGAAACACTCTTTCTGTAGTATCTGGAAGTGAACATTAGGACAGCTTTCAGGTCTATGGTGAGGAAGGAAATATCTTCAAATAAAAACTAGGCAGAAGCATTCTCATAAACTTGTTTTGATGTCTGAACTCAGCTAACAGAGGTGGATCTTTCTTTTGATAGAGCAGTTCTGAAAAACACTTTTTGTTGAATCTGCAAGTGGACATTTGGATAGATTTGAAGATTTCGTTGGAAACGGGAATATCTTCATATCAAATCTAGACAGAAGCATTCTCAGAAACGTCTTTGTGATGTTTGCATTCAACTCATAGAGTTGAACATTCCCTTTGAGAGAGCAGCTTTGAAGCACTCTTTTTGTAGCATGTGCAAGTGGACATTTGGAGCGCCCTGAGGCCTACGGGGAAAAAGCAAATATCTTCCCATAACCACTAGACAGAAACATTCTCAGAAACTCCTTTATGACGTATGTACTCAACTAACAGAGAAGAACCTTCCTTTTGACAGAGCAGTTTTGATACACTCTTTTTGTAGAATCTGCAAGTGGATATTTGGATAGCTTTGAAGATTTCGTTGGAAACGGGAATATCTTCCTATAAAATCTAGACAGAAGCATTCTCAGAAACTGCTCTGTGATGTCTGCATTCAAGTCACAGAGTTGAACATTGCTTTTCCTAGAGCAGGTTTGAAACGCTCTTTTTGTAGTATATGGAAGTGGACGTTTCGGACGGTTTGAGGCCCATGGTGATAAAGGGAATATCTTCCCCTACAAGCTAGAAAGAAGCATTCTGTGAAACTTCTTTGTGATGTGTGTAGTCAAGTAACAGAGTTGAACCTTTCTTTTTACAGAGCAGTTTTGAAACACTCTTTTTGTAGAATCTGCGAGGGGATATTTGGATAGATTTCAGGATTTCGTTGGAAACGGGAATATTTTCATATAAAATCTCGACAGAAGCATTCTCAGAAACTTCTTTATGATATCTGCATTCAAGTCACAGAGTTGAATATTCCCTTTCACAGAGTAGGTTTGAAACACTCTTTTTGTAGTATCTGGAAGTGGACATTTGGAGCGCCTTGACCCCTACGGTGAAAAGGGAAATATCTTCCCATAAAAACTAGACAGAAGGAATCTCAGAATCTTCTTTGGGATATATGCACGCAGCTAACAGAGTTGAACCTTTCTATTGACAGAGCAGTTTAGAAACAGTCTTTCTTTGGAATCTGCAAGTGGATATTTGGATAGCTTGGAGGATTTCGTTGGAAACGGGATTACGTATAAAAAGTAGACAGCAGCATCCTCAGAAACTTCTTTGTGATGTGTGCATTCAAGTCACAGAGTTGAACATTCCCTTTCGTACAGCAGTTTTGAAACTCTCTTTCTGTAGTATCTGGAAGTGAACATTAGGACAGCTTTCAGCTCTATGGTGAGAAAGGAAATATCTTCAAATAAAAACTAGACAGAAGCATTCTCATCAACTTCTTTGTGATGTGTGAACTCAGCTAACAGAGGTGGATCTTTCTTTTGATAGAGCAGTTCTGAAAAACACTTTTTGTTGAATCTGCAAGTGGACATTTGTATAGATTTGAAGATTTCGTTGGAAACGGGAATATCTTCATATCAAATCTAGACAGAAGCATTCTCAGAAACGTCTTTGTCATGTTTGCATTCAACTCATAGAGTTGAACATTCCCTTTCAGAGAGCAGCTTTGAAACACTCTTTTTGTAGTATGTGCAAGTGGATATTTGGAGCGCTCTGAGGCCTAAGGTGAAAAAGCAAATATCTTCCCATAACCACTAGACAGAAACATTCTCAGAAACTCCTTTATGACGTATGCACTCACCTAACAGAAAAGAAACTTCCTTTTGACAGAGCAGTTTTGATACACTCTTTTTGTAGAATCTGCAAGTGGATATTTGGATAGCTGTGAAGATTTCGTTGGAAACGGGAATATCTTCCTATAAAATCTAGACAGAAGCATTCTCAGAAACTGCTCTGTGATGTCTGCATTCAAGTCAGAGAGTTGAACATTGCCTTTCACAGAGGAGGTATGAAACGCTCTTTTCGTAATATATGGAAGTGGACGTTTCGGACGGCTTGAGGCCCATGGAGATAAAGGAAATATCTTCCCCTACAAGCTAGAAAGAAGCATTCTGTGAAACTTGTTTGTGTTGTGTGTACTCAACTAACAGAGTTGAACCTTTCTTTTTACGGAGCAGTTTTGAAACACTCTTTTTGTAGAATCTACGAGGGGATATTTGGATAGATTTCAGGATTTCGTTGGAAACGGGAATATCTTCATATAAAATCTCGACAGAAGCATTCTCAGAAACTTCATTGTGATATCTGCATTCAAGTCACAGAGTTGAATATTCCCTTTCAGAGAGTAGGTTTGAAACACTCTTTTTGTAGTATCTGGAAGTGGACATTTGGAGCGCCTTGACACCTACGGTGAAAAGGGAAATATCTTCCCATAAAAACTAGACAGAAGCAATCTCAGAATCTTCTTTGGGATATATGCACGCAGCTAACAGAGTTGAAACTTTCTATTGACAGAGCAGTTTTGAAACAGTCTTTCTGTGGAATCTGCAAGTGGATATTTGGATAGCTTGGAGGATTTCGTTGGAAACGGGATTACGTATAAAAAGTAGACAGCAGCATCCTCAGAAACTTCCTTGTGATGTGTGCATTCAAGTCACAGAGTTGAACATTCCCTTTCGTACAGCAGTTTTGAAACACTCTTTCTGTAGTATCTGGAAGTGAACTTTAGGAGAGCTTTCAGGTCTATAGTGAGAAAGGATATATCTTCAAATAAAAACTAGACAGAAGCATTCTCATAAACTTGTTTGTGATGTGTGAACTCAGCTAACAGAGGTGGATCTTTCTTTTGATAGAGCAGTTCTGAAAAACACTTTTTGTTGAATCTGCAGGTGGACATTTGGATAGATTTGAAGATTTCGTTGGAAACGGGAATATCTTCATATCAAATCTAGACAGAAGCATTCTCAGAAACATCTTTGTGATGTTTGCATTCAACTCATAGAGTTGAACATTCCCTTTCAGAGAGCAGCTTTGAAGCACTCTTTTTGTAGTATGTGCAAGTGGATATTTGGAGCGCTCTGAGGCCTACGGTGAAAAAGCAAATATCTTCCCATAACCACTAGACAGAAACATTCTCAGAAACTCCTTTATGACGTATGTACTCAACTAACAGAGAAGAACCTTCCTTTTGACAGAGCAGTTTTGATACACTCTTTTTGTAGAATCTGCAAGTGGATATTTGGATAGCTGTGTAGATTTCGTTGGAAATGGGAATATCTTCCTATAAAATCTAGACAGAAGCATTCTCAGAAACTGCTGTGTGATGTCTGCATTCAAGACACAGAGTTGAACATTGCCTTTCATAGAGCAGGTTTGAAACGCTCTTTTTGTAGTATATGGAAGTGGACGTTTCGGACGGTTTGAGGCCCATGGTGATACAGCGAATATCTTCCCCTACCAGCTAGAAAGAAGCATTCTGTGAAACTTGTTTGTGATGTGTGTACTCAACTAACAGAGTTGAACCTTTCTTTTTACAGAGCAGTTTTGAAACAGTCTTTTTGTAGAATCTGCGAGGGGATATTTTGATAGATTTCAGGATTTCGTTGGAAACGGGAATATCTTCATATAAAATCTCGACAGAAGCATTCTCAGAAACTTCCTTGTGATATGTGCATTCAAGTCACAGAGTTGAATATTCCCTTTCACAGAGGAGGTTTGAAACACTCTTTTTGTAGTATCTGGAAGTGGACATTTGGAGCGCCTTGACGCCTACGGTGAAAAGGGAAATATCTTCCCATAAAAACTAGACAGAAGCAATCTCAGAATCTTCTTTGGGATATATGCATGCAGCTAACAGAGTTGAACCTTTCTATTGACAGAGCAGTTTTGAAACAGTCTTTCTGTGGAATCTGCAAGTGGATATTTGGATAGCTTGGAGGATTTCGTTGGAAACGGGATTACCGTATAAAAAGTAGACAGCAGCATCCTCAGAAACTTCTTTGTGATGTGTGCATTCAAGTCACAGAGTTGAACATTCCCTTTCGTACAGCAGTTTTGAAACACTCTTTCTGTAGTATCTGGAAGTGAACATTAGGACAGCTTTCAGGTCTATGGTGAGAAAGGAAATATCTTCAAAAAAAACTGGACAGAAACATTCTCATAAACTTGTTTGTGATGTGTGAACTCAGCTAACAGAGGTGGATCTTTCTTTTGATAGAGCAGTTCTGAAAAACACTTTTTGTTGAATCTGCAAGTGGACATTTGGATAGATTTGAAGATTTCGTTGGAAATGGGAATATCTTCATATCAAATCTAGACAGAAGCATTCTCAGAAACGTCTTTGTGATGTTTGCATTCAACTCATAGAGTTGAACATTCCGTTTCAGAGACCAGCTTTGAAGCACTCTTTTTGTAGTATGTGCAAGTGGATATTTGGAGCGCTCTGAGGCCTACGGTGAAAAAGCAAATATCTTCCCATAACCTCTAGACAGAAACATTCTCAGAAACTCCTTTATGACGTATGCACTCACCTAACAGAAAAGAACCTTCCTTTTGACAGAGCAGTTTTGATACACTCTTTTTGTAGAATCTGCAAGTGGATATTTGGATAGCTGTGAAGATTTCGTTGGAAACGGGAATATCTTCCTATAAAATCTAGACAGAAGCATTCTCAGAAACTGCTCTGTGATGTCTGCATTCAAGTCACAGAGTTGAACATTGCCTTTCATAGAGCAGGTTTGAAATGCTCTTTTTGTAGTATATGGAAGTGGACTTTTCGGACGGTTTGAGGCCCATGGTGACAAAGGGAATATCTTCCCCTACAAGCTAGAAAGAAGCATTCTGTGAAACTTGTTTGTGATGTGTGCACTCAACTAACAGAGTTGAACCTTTCTTTTTACAGAGCAGTTTTGAAACACTCTTTTTGTAGAATCTGCGAGGGGATATTTGGATAGATTTCAGGATTTCGTTGGAAACGGGAATATCTTCATAGAAAATCTCGACAGAAGCATTCTCAGAAACTTCTTTGTGATATGTGCATTCAAGTCACAGAGTTGAATATTCCCTTTCACAGAGTAGGTTTGAAACACTCTTTTTGTAATATCTGGAAGTGGACATTTGGAGCGCCTTGACGCCTACGGTGAAAAGGGAAATATCTTCCCATAAAAACTAGACAGAAGCAATCTCAGAAACTTCTTTGGGATATATGCACGCAGCTAACAGAGTTGAACCTTTCTATTGACTGAGCAGATTTGAAACAGTCTTTCTGTGGAATCTGCAAGTGGATATTTGGATAGATTGGAGGATTTCGTTGGAAACGGGATTACGTATAAAAAGTAGACAGCAGCATCCTCAGAAACTTCTTTGTGATGTGTGCATTCAAGTCACAGAGTTGAACATTCCCTTTCGTACAGCAGTTTTGAAACGCTCTTTCTGTAGTATCTGGAAGTGAACATAAGGACAGCTTTCAGGTCTATGGTGAGAAAGGAAATATCTTCAAATAAAAACTAGACAGAAGCATTCTCATAAACTTGTTTGTGATGTGTGAACTCAGCTAACAGAGGTGGATCTTTCTTTTGATAGAGCAGTTCAGAAAAACACTTTTTGTTGAATCTGCAAGTGGACATTTGGATAGATTTGAAGATTTCGTTGGAAACGGGAATATCTTCATATCAAATCTAGACAGAAGCATTCTCAGAAACGTCTTTGTGATGTTTGCATTCAACTCATAGAGTTGAACATTCCGTTTCAGAGAGCAGCTTTGAAGCACTCTTTTTGTAGTATGTGCAAGTGGATATTTGGAGCGCTCTGAGGCCTAAGGTGAAAAAGCAAATATCTTCCCGTAACCACTAGACAGAAAAATTCTCAGAAACTCCTTTATGACGTATGCACTCACCTAACAGAGAAGAACCTTCCTTTTCACAGAGCAGTTTTGATACACTCTTTTTGTAGAATCTGCAAGTGGATATTTGGATAGCTGTGAAGATTTCGTTGGAAACGAGAATATCTTCCTATAAAATCTAGACAGAAGTATTCTCAGAAACTGCTCTGTGATGTCTGCATTCAAGTCACAGAGTTGAACATTGCCTTTCATAGAGGAGGTTTCAAACACTCTTTTTTTAGTATATGGAAGTGGACGTTTCGGACGGTTTGAGGCCCATGGTGATAAAGGAAATATCTTCCCCTACAAGCTAGAAAGAAGCATTCTGTGAAACTTGTTTGTGATGTGTGTACTCAAGTAACAGAGTTGAACCTTTCTTTTTACAGAGCAGTTTTGAAACACTCTTTCTGTAGAATCTGCGAGGGGATATTTGGATAGATTTCAGGATTTCTTTGGAAACGGGAATATCTTCATATAAAATCTCGACAGAAACATTCTCAGAAACTTCTTTGTGATATGTGCATTCAAGTCACAGAGTTGAATATTCCCTTTCACAGAGTAGGTTTGAAACACTCTTTTTGTAGTATCTGGAAGTGGACATTTGGAGCGCCTTGACGCCTACGGTGAAAAGGGAAATATCTTCCCATAAAAACTAGACAGAAGCAATCTCAGAATCTTCTTTGGGATATATGCACGCAGCTAACAGAGCTGAACCTTTCTATTGACAGAACAGTTTTGAAAGAGTCTTTCTGTGGAATCTGCAAGTGGATATTTGGATAGCTTGGAGGATTTCGTTGGAAACGGGATTACGTATAATAAGTAGACAGCAGCATCCTCAGAAACTTCTTTGTGATGTGTGCATTCAAGTCACAGAGTTGAACATTCCCTTTCGTACAGCAGTTTTGAAACACTCTTTCTGTAGTATCTGGAAGTGAACATTAGTACAGCTTTCAGGACTATGGTGAGAAAGGAAATATCTTCAAATAAAAACTTGAGAGAAGCATTCTAATAAACTTGTTTGTGATGTGTGAACTCAGCTAACAGAGGTGGATCTTTCTTTTGATAGAGCAGTTCTGAAAAACACTTTTTGTTGAATCTGCAAGTGGACATTTGGATAGATTTGAAGATTTCGTTGGAAACGGGAATATCTTCATATCAAATCTAGACAGAAGCATTCTCAGAAACGTCTTTGTGATGTTTGCATTCAACCCATAGAGTTGAACATTCTGTTTCAGAGAGCAGCTTTGAAGCGCTCTTTTTGTAGTATGTGCAAGTGGATATTTTGAGCGCTCTGAGGCCTAAGGTGAAAAAGCAAATATCTTCCCATAACCACTAGACAGAAACATTCTCAGAAACTTCTTTATGACGTATGTACTCAACTAGCAGAGAAGAACCTTCCTTTTGAGAGAGCAGTTTTGATACACTCTTTTTGTAGAATCTGCAAGTGGATATTTGGATAGCTGTGAAGATTTCGTTGGAAACGGGAATATCTTCCTATAAAATCTAGACAGAAGCATTCTCAGAAACTGCTCTGTGATGTCTGCATTCAAGTCACAGAGTTGAACATTGCCTTTCATAGAGCAGGTTTGAAACGCTCTTTTCGTAGTATATGGAAGTGGACGTTTCGGACGGTTTGAGGCCCATGGTGATAAAGCGAATATCTTCCCCTACCAGCTAGAAGGAAGCATTCTGTGAAACTTGTTTGTGATGTGTGTACTCAACTAACAGAGTTGAACCTTTCTTTTTACAGAGCAGTTTTGAAACACTCTTTTTGTAGAATCTGCGAGGGGATATTTGGATAGATTTCAGGATTTCGTCGGAAACGGGAATATCTTCATATAAAATCTCGACAGAAGCATCCTCAGAAACTACTTTGTGATGTGTGCATTCAAGTCACAGAGTTGAACATTCCCTTTCGTACAGCAGTTTTGAAACACTCTTTTTGTAGTATCTGGAAGTGGACATTTGGAGCGCCTTGACACCTACGGTGAAAAGGGAAATATCTTCCCATAAAAACTAGACAGAAGCAATCTCAGAATCTTTTTTGGGATATATGCACGCAGTTAACAGAGTTGAACCTTTCTATTGACAGAGCAGTTTTGAAACAGTCTTTCTGTGGAATCTGCAAGTGGATATTTGGATAGCTTGGAGGATTTCGTTGGAAACGGGATTACGTATAAAAAGTAGACAGCAGCATCCTCAGAAACTTCTTTGTGATGTGTACATTCAAGTCACAGAGTTGAACATTCCCTTTCGTACAGCAGTTTTGAAACACTCTTTCTGTAGTATCTGGAAGTGAACATTAGGACAGCTTTCAGGTCTATGGTGAGAAAGGAAATATCTTCAAATAAAAACTAGACAGAAGCATTCTCATAAACTTGTTTGTGATGTGTGAACTAAGCTAACAGAGGTGGATCTTTCTTTTGATAGAGCAGTTCTGAAAAACACTTTTTGTTGAATCTGCAAGTGGATATTTGGATAGATTTGAAGATTTCGTTGGAAACGGGAATATCTTCATATCAAATCTAGACAGAAGCATTCTCAGAAACGTCTTTGTGATGTTTGCATTCAACTCATAGAGTTGAACATTCCCTTTCAGAGAGCAGCTTTGAAGCACTCTTTTTGTAGCATGTGCAAGTGGACATTTGGAGCGCCCAGAGGCCTACGGGGAAAAAGCAAATATCTTCCCATAACCACTAGACAGAAGCATTCTCAGAAACTCCTTTATGACGTATGCACTCACCTAACAGAAAAGAACCTTCCTTTTGACAGAGCAGTTTTGATACACTCTTTTCGTAGAATCTGCAAGTGGATATTTGGATAGCTGTGAAGATTTCGTTGGAAACGGGAATATCTTCCTATAAAATCTAGACAGAAGCATTCTCAGAAACTGCTCTGTGATGTCTGCATTCAAGTCACAGAGTTGAACATTGCCTTTCATAGAGCAGGTTTGAAACGCTCTTTTTGTAGTATATGGAAGTGGACTTATCGGACGATTTGAGGCCCATGGTGATAAAGGGAATATCTTCCCCTACAAGCTAGAAAGAAGCATTCTGTGAAACTTGTTTGTGATGTGTGTACTCAACTAACAGAGTTGAACCTTTCATTTTACAGAGCAGTTTTGAAACACTCTTTTTGTAGAATCTGTGAGGGGATATTTGGATAGATTTCAGGATTTCGTTGGAAACGGGAATATCTTCATATAAAATCTCGACAGAAGCATTCTCAGCAAACTTCTTTGTGATATGTGCATTCAAGTCACAGAGTTGAATATTCCCTTTCACAGAGCAGGTTTGAAACACTCTTTTTGTACTATCTGGAAGTGGACATTTGGAGCGCCTTGACGCCTACGGTGAAAAGGGAAATATCTTCCCATAAAAACTAGACAGAAGCAATCACAGAATCTTCTTTGGGATATATGCACGCAGCTAACAGAGTTGAACCTTTCTATTGACAGAGCAGTTTTGAAACAGTCTTTCTGTGGAATCTGCAAGTGGATATTTGGATAGCTTGGAGGATTTCGTTGGAAACGGGATTACGTATAAAAAGTAGACAGCAGCATCCTCAGAAACTTCTTTGTGATGTGTGCATTCAAGTCACAGAGTTGAACATTCCCTTTCGTACAGCAGTTTTGAAACACTCTTTCTGTAGTATCTGGAAGTGAACATTAGGTCAGCTTTCATGTCTATGGTGAGAAAGGCAATATCTTCAAATAAAAACTAGACAGAAGCATTCTCATAAACTTGTTCGTGATGTGTGAACTCAGCTAACACACGTGGATCTTTCTTTTGATAGAGCAGTGCTGAAAAACAGTTTTTGTTGAATCTGCAAGAGGACATTTGGATGGATTTGAAGATTTCGTTGGAAACGGGAATATCTTCATATCAAATCTAGACAGAAGCATTCTCAGAAACGTCTTTGCGATGTTTGCATTCAACTCATAGAGTTGAACATTCCGTTTCAGAGAGCAGCTTTGAGGCACTCTTTTTGTAGTATGTGCAAGTGGATATTTGGAGCGCTCTGAGGCCTACGGTGGAAAAAGCAAATATCTTCCCATAACCACTAGACAGAAACATTCTCAGAAACTCCTTTATGACGTATGCACTCACCTAACAGAGAAGAACCTTCCTTTTGACAGAGCAGTTTTGATACAATCTTTTTGTAGAATCTGCAAGTGGATATTTGGATAGCTGTGAAGATTTCGTTGGAAACGGGAATATCTTCCTATAAAATCTATACAGAAGCATTCTCAGAAACTGCTCTGTGATGTCTGCATTCAAGTCACAGAGTTGAACATTGCGTTTCATAGAGCAGGTTTGAAACGCTCTTTTTGTAGTATATGGAAGTGGACTTTTCGGACGGTTTGAGGCCCATGGTGATAAAGGGAATATCTTCCCCTACAAGCTAGAAAGAAGCATTCTGTGAAACTTGTTTGTGATGTGTGTACACAACTAACAGAGTTGAACCTTTCTTTTTACAGAGCAGTTTTGAAACACTCTTTTTGTAGAATCTGCGAGGGGATATTTGGATAGATTTCAGGATTTCGTTGGAAACGGGAGTATCTTCATATAAAATCTCGACAGAAGCATTCTCAGAAACTTCTTTGTGATATCTGCCTTCAAGTCACAGAGTTGAATATTCCCTTTCACAGAGTAGGTTTGAAACACTCTTTTTGTAGTATCTGAGAGTGGACATTTGGAGCGCCTTGACGCCTACGGTGAAAAGGGAAATATCTTCCCATAAAAACTAGACAGAAGCAATCTCAGAATCTTCTTTGGGATATATGCACGCAGCTAACAGAGTTGAACCTTTCTATTGACAGAGCAGTTTTGAAACAGTCTTTCTGTGGAATCTGCAAGTGGATATTTGGATAGCTTGGAGGATTTCGTTGGAAACGGGATTACGTATAACAAGTAGACAGCAGCGTCCTCAGGAACTTCTTTGTGATGTGTGCATTCAAGTCACAGAGTTGAACATTCCCTTCCATACAGCAGTTTTGAAACACTCTTTCTGTAGTATCTGGAAGTGAACATTAGGACAGCTTTCAGGTCTATGGTGAGAAAGGAAATATCTTCAAATAAAAACTAGACAGAAGCATTCTAATAAACTTGTTTGTGATGTGTGAACTCAGCTAACAGAGGTGGATCTTTCTTTTGATAGAGCAGTTCTGAAAAACACTTTTTGTTGAATCTGCAAGTGGACATTTGGATAGATTTGAAGATTTCGTTGGAAACGGGAATATCGTCATATCAAATCTAGACAGAAGCATTCTCTGAAACGTCTTTGTGATGTTTGCATTCAACTCATAGAGTTGAACATTTCGTTTCAGAGAGCAGCTTTGAGGCACTCTTTTTGTAGTATGTGCAAGTGGATATTTGGAGCGCTCTGAGGCCTACGGTGAAAAAGCAAATATCTTCCCATAACCACTAGACAGAAAACATTCTCAGTAAACTCCTTTATGACGTATGCACTCACCTAACAGAAAAGAACCTTCCTTTTGACAGAGCAGTTTTGATACACTCTTTTTGTAGAATCTGCAAGTGGATATTTGGATAGCTGTGAAGATTTCGTTGGAAACGGGAATATCTTCCTATAAAATCTAGACAGAAGCATTCTCAGAAACTGCTCTGTGATGTCTGCATTCAAGTCACAGAGTTGAACATTGCCTTTCATAGAGCAGGTTTGAAACGCTCTTTTTGTAGTATATGGAAGTGGACGTTTCGGACGGTTTGAGGCCCATGGTGTTAAAGGGAATATCTTCCCCTACAAGGTAGAAAGAAGCATTCTGTGAAACTTGTTTGTGATGTTTGTACTCAACTAACAGAGTTGAACCTTTCTTTTTGCAGAGCAGTTTTGAAACACTCTTTTTGTAGAATCTGCGAGGGGATATTTGGATAGATTTCAGGATTTCGTTGGAAACGGGAATATCTTCATATAAAATCTCGACAGAAGCATTCTCAGAAACTTCATTGTGATATCTGCATTCAAGTCACAGAGTTGAATATTCCCTTTCACAGAGTAGGTTTGAAACAGTCTTTTTGTAGTATCTGGAAGTGGATATTTGGAGCGCCTTGACACCTACGGTGAAAAGGGAAATATCTTCCCATAAAAACTAGACAGAAGCAATCTCAGAATCTTCTTTGGGATATATGCACGCAGCTAACAGAGTTGAACCTTTCTATTGACAGAGCAGTTTTGAAACAGTCCTTCTGTGGAATCTGCAAGTGGATATTTGGATAGCTTGGAGGATTTCGTTGGAAACGGGATTACGTATAAAAAGTAGACAGCAGCATCCTCAGAAACTTCTTTGTGATGTGTGCATTCAAGTCACAGAGTTGAACCTTCCCTTTCGTACAGCAGTTTTGAAACACTCTTTCTGTAGTATCTGGAAGTGAACATTAGGACAGCTTTCAGGTCTATGGTGAGAAAGGAAATATCTTCAAATAAAAACTAGACAGAAGCATTCTCATAAACTTGTTTGTGATGTGTGAACTCAGCTAGCAGAGGTGGATCTTTCTTTTGATAGAGCAGTTCGGAAAAACACTTTTTGTTGAATCTCCAAGTGGACATTTGGATTGATTTGAAGATTTCGTTGGAAACGGGAATATCTTTATATCAAATCTAGACAGAAACATTGTCAGAAACTCCTTTATGACGTATGCACTCACCTAACAGCAGAAGAACCTTCCTTTTGACAGAGCAGTTTTGATACACTCTTTTTGTAGAATCTGCAAGTGGATATTTGGATAGCTGCGAAGATTTCGTTGGAAACGGGAATATCTTCCTATAAAATCTAGACAGAAGCATTCTCAGAAACTGCTCTGTGATGTCTGCATTCAAGTCACAGAGTTGAACATTGCCTTTCATAGAGCAGGTTTGAAACGCTCTTTTTGTAGTATATGGAAGTGGACGTTTCAGACGGTTTGAGGCCCATGGTGATAAAGGGAATATCTTCCCCTACAAGCTAGAAAGAAGCATTCTGTGAAACTTGTTTGTGATGTGTGTACTCAACTAACAGAGTTGAACCTTTCTTTTTACAGAGCAGTTTTGAAACACTCTTTTTGTAGAATCTGCGAGGGGATATTTGGGATAGATTTCAGGATTTCGTTGGAAAGGGGAATATCTTCATATAAAATCTCGACAGAAGCATTCTCAGAAACTTCTTTGTGATATGTGCATTCAAGTCACAGAGTTGAATATTCCCTTTCACAGAGTAGGTTTGAAACACTGTTTTTGTAGTATCTGGAAGTGGACATTTGGAGCGCCTTGACGCCTACGGTGAAAAGGGAAATATCTTCCCATAAAAACTAGACAGAAGCAATCTCAGAATCTTCTTTGGGATATATGCACGCAGCTAATAGAGTTGAACTTTTCTATTGACAGAGCAGATTTGAAACAGTCTTTCTGTGGAATCTGCAAGTGGATATTTGGATAGCCTGGAGGATTACGTTGGAAACGGGATTACGTATAAAAAGTAAACAGCAGCATCCTCAGAAACATCCTTGTGATGTGTGCATTCAAGTCACAGAGATGAACATTCCCTTTCTTACAGCAGTTTTGAAACACTCTTTCTGTAGTATCTGGAAGTGAACTTTAGGAGAGCTTTCAGGTCTATAGTGAGAAAGGATATATCTTCAAATAAAAACTAGACAGAAGCATTCTGATAAACTTGTTTGTGAAGTGTGAACTCAGCTAACAGAGGTGGATCTTTCTTTTGATAGAGCAGTTCTGAAAAACACTTTTTGTTGAATCTGCAAGTGGACATTTTGATAGATTTGAAGATTTCGTTGGAAACGGGAATATCTTCATATCAAATCTAGACAGAAGCATTCTCGGAAACGTCTTTGTGATGTTTGCATTCAACTCACAAAGTTGAACATTCCGTTTCAGAGAGCAGCTTTGAGGCACTCTTTTTGTAGTATGTGCAAGTGGATATTTGGAGCGCTCTGAGGCCTTCTGTGAAAAAGCAAATATCTTCCCATAACCACTAGACAGAAACATTCTCAGAAACTCCTTTATGACGTATGTACTCAACTAGCAGAGAAGAACTTTCCTTTTGACAGAGCATTTTTGATACATTCTTTTTGTAGTATCTGCAAGTGGATATTTGGATAGCTGTGAAGATTTCGTTGGAAACGGGAATATCTTCCTATAAAGTCTGGACAGAAGCATTCTCAGAAACTGCTACTGTGATGTCTGCATTCAAGTCACAGAGTTGAACATTGCCTTTCATAGAGCAGGTTTCAAACACTCTTTTTTTAGTATATGGAAGTGGACGTTTCGGATGGTTTGAGGCCCATGGTGATAAAGGAAATATCTTCCCCTACAAGCTAGAAAGAAGCATTGTGTGAAACTTGTTTGTGATATGTGTACTCAACTAACAGAGTTGAACCTTTCTTTTTACAGAGCAGTTTTGAAACACTCTTTTTGTAGAATCTGCGAGGGGATATTTGGATAGATTTCAGGATTTCGTTGGAAACGGGAATATCTTCATATAAAATCTCGATAGAAGCATCCTCAGAAACTTCTTTGTGTTGTGTGCATTCAAGTCACAGAGTTGAATATTCCCTTTCACAGAGTTGGTTTGAAACACTCTTTTTGTAGTATCTGGAAGTGGACATTTGGAGCGCCTTGACACCTACGGTGAAAAGGGAAATATCTTCCCATAAAAACTAGACAGAAGCAATCTCAGAATCTTCTTTGGGATATATGTACGCAGCTAATAGAGTTGAACCTTTCTATTGACAGAGCAGTTTTGAAACAGTCTTTCTGTGGAATCTGCAAGTGGATATTTGGATAGCTTGGAGGATTTCGTTGGAAACGGGAATACGTATAAAAAGTAGACAGCAGCATCCTCAGAAAACTTCTTTCTGATGTGTGCATTCAAGTCACAGAGTTGAACATTCCCTTTCGTACAGCAGTTTTGAAACACTCTTTCTGTAGTATCTGGAAGTGAACATTAGGACAGCTTTCAGGTCTATGGTGAGAAAGGAAATATCTTCAAATAAAAACTAGACAGAAGCATTCTGATAAACTTGTTTGTGAAGTGTGAACTCAGCTAACAGAGGTGGATCTTTCTTTTGATAGAGCAGTTCTGATAAACACTTTTTGTTGAATCTGCAAGTGGACATTTGGATAGATTTGAAGATTTCGTTGGAAACGGGAATATCTTCATATCAAATCTAGACAGATAAGCATTCTCGGAAACGTCTTTGTCATGTTTGCATTCAACTCATAGAGTTGAACATTCCGTTTCAGAGAGCAGCTTTGAAGCACTCTTTTTGTAGTATGTGCAAGGGGATATTTGGAGTGCTCTGAGGCCTAAGGTGAAAAAGCAAATATCTTCCCATAACCACTAGACAGAAACATTCTCAGAAACTCCTTTATGACGTATGCACTCACCTAACAGAGAAGAACCTTCCTTTTGACAGAGCAGTTTTGATACACTCTTTTTGTAGAATCTGCAAGTGGATATTTGGATACCTGTGAAGATTTCGATGGAAACGGGAATAACTTCCTATAAAATCTAGACAGAAGCATTCTCAGAAACTGCTCTGTGATGTCTGCATTCAAGTCACAGAGTTGAACATTGCCTTTCCTAGAGCAGGTTTGAAACGCTCTTTTTGTAGTATATGTAAGTGGACGTTTCGGACGGTTTGAGGCCCATGGTGATAAAGGGAATATCTTCCCCTACAAGCTAGAAAGAAAGCATTCTGTGAAACTTGTTTGTGATGTGTGTACTCAACTAACAGAGTTGAACCTTTCTTTTTACAGAGCAGTTTTGAAACACTCTTTTTGTAGAATCTGCGAGGGGATATTTGGATAGATTTCAGGATTTCGTTGGAAAGGGGAATATCTTCATATAAAATCTCGACAGAAGCATTCTCAGAAACTTCTTTGTGATATCTGCATTCAAGTCACAGTGTTCAATATTCCCTTTCACAGAGTAGGTTTGAAACACTCTTTTTGTAGTATCTGGAAGTGGACATTTGGACCGCCTTGACACCTACGGTGAAAAGGGAAATATCTTCCCATAAAAACTAGACAGAAGCAATCTCAGAATCTTCTTTGGGATATATGCACGCAGCTAACAGAGTTGAACCTTTCTATTGACAGAGCAGTTTTGAAACAGTCTTTCTGTGGAATCTGCAAGTGGATATTTGGATAGCTTGGAGGATTTCTTTGGAAACGGGATTAAGTATAAAAAGTAGACAGCAGCATCCTCAGAAACTTCTTTGTGATGTGTGCATTCAAGTCACAGAGTTGAACATTCCCTTTCATACAGCAGTTTTGAAACACTCTTTCTGTAGTGTCTGGAAGTGAACATTAGGAGAGCTTTCAGGTCTATGGTGAGAAAGGAAATATCTTCAAATAAAAACTAGACAGAAGCATTCTCATAAACTTGTTTGTGATGTCTGAACTCAGCTAACAGAGGTGGATCATTCTTTTGATAGAGCAGTTCTGAAAAACACTTTTTGTTGAATCTGCAAGTGGACATTTGGATAGATTTGAAGATTTCGTTGGAAACGGGAATATCTTCATATCAAATCTAGACAGAAGCATTCTCAGAAACGTCTTTGTGATGTTTGCATTCAACTCATAGAGTTGAACATTCCGTTTCAGAGAGCAGCTTTGAGGCACTCTTTTTCTAGTATGTGCAAGTGGATATTTGGAGCGCTCTGAGGCCTACGGTGAAAAAGCAAATATCTTCCCATAACCACTAGACAGAAACATTCTCAGAAACTCCTTTATGACGTATGCACTCACCTAACAGAAAAGAACCTTCCTTTTGACAGAGCAGTTTTGATACACTCTTTTTGTTGAATCTGCAAGTGGATATTTGGATAGCTGTGAAGATTTCGTTGGAAACGGGAATATCTTCCTATAAAATCTAGACAGAAGCATTCTCAGAAACTGCTCTGTGATGTCTGCATTCAAGTCACAGAGTTGAACATTGCCTTTCATAGAGCAGGTTTGAAACGCTCTTTTTGTAGTATATGGAAGTGGACTTATCGGACGGTTTGAGGCCCATGGTGATAAAGGGAATATCTTTCCCTACAAGCTAGAAAGAAGCATTCTGTGAAACTTGTTTGTGATGTGTGTACTCAACTAACAGAGTTGAACCTTTCTTTTTACAGAGCAGTTTTGAAACACTCTTTTTGTAGAATCTGTGAGGGGATATTTGGATAGATTTCAGGATTTCGTTGGAAACGGGAATATCTTAATATAAAATCTCGACAGAAGCATTCTCAGAAACTTCTTTGTGATATGTGCATTCAAGTCACAGAGTTGAATATTCCCTTTCACAGAGTAGGTTTGAAACACTCTTTTTGTAGTATCTGGAAGTGGACATTTGGAGCGCCTTGACGCCTACCGTGAAAAGGGAAATATCTTCCCATAAAAACTAGACAGAAGCAACCTCAGAATCTTCTTTGGGATATATGCACGCAGCTAACAGAGTTGAACCTTTCTATTGACAGAGCAGTTTTGAAAGAGTCTTTCTGTGGAATCTGCAAGTGGATATTTGGATAGCTTGGAGGATTTCGTTGGAAACGGGATTACGTATAATAAGTAGACAGCAGCATCCTCAGAACCTCCTTTTGATGTGTGCATTCAAGTCACAGAGTTGAACATTCCCTTTTGTACAGCAGTATTGAAACACTCTTTCTGTAGTATCTGGAAGTGAACATTAGGACAGCTTTCAGGTCTATGGTGAGAAAGGAAATATCTTCAAATAAAAACTAGACAGAAGCATTCTCATAAACTTGTTTGTGATGTGTGAACTCAGCTAACAGAGGTGGATCGTTCTTTTGATAGAGCAGTTCTGAAAAACACATTTTGTTGAATCTGCAAGTGGACATTTGGATAGATTTGAAGATTTCGTTGGAAACGGGAATATCTTCATATCAAATCTAGACAGAAGCATTCTTGGAAACGTCTTTGTGATGTTTGCATTCAACTCATAGAGTTGAACATTCCGTTTCAGAGAGCAGCTTTGAAGCACTCTTTTTGTAGTATGTGCAAGTGGATATTTGGAGCGCTCTGAGGCCTACGGTGAAAAAGCAAATATCTTCCCATAACCACTAGACAGAAACATTCTCAGAAACTCCTTTATGACGTATGCACTCACCTAACAGAGAAGAACCTTCCTTTTGACAGAGCAGTTTTGATACACTCTTTTTGTAGAATCTGCAAGTGGATATTCGATAGCTGTGAAGTTTTCGTTGGAAACGGGAATATCTTCCTATAAAATCTAGACAGAAGCATTCTCAGAAACTGCTCTGTGATGTCTGCATTCAAGTCACAGAGTTGAACATTGCCTTTCATAGAGCAGGTTTGAAACGCTCTTTTTGTAGTATATGGAAGTGGACGTTTCGGACGGTTTGAGGCCCATGGTGATAAAGGGAATATCTTCACCTACAAGCTAGAAAGAAGCATTGTGTGAAACTTATTTGTGATGTGTGTACTCAACTAACAGAGTTGAACCTTTCTTTTTACAGAGCAGTTTTGAAACACTCTTTTTGTAGAATCTGCGAGGGGATATTTGGATACATTTCAGCATTTCGTTGGAAACGGGAATATCTTCATATAAAATCTCGACAGAAGCATTCTCAGAAACTTCTTTGTGATATCTGCATTCAAGTCACAGAGTTGAATATTCCCTTTCACAGAGTAGGTTTGAAACACTCTTTTTGTAGTATCTGGAAGTGGACATTTGGAGCACCTTGACACCTACGGTGAAAAGGGAAATATCTTCCAATAAAAACTAGACAGAAGCAATCTCAGAATCTTCTTTGGGATATATGCACGCAGCTAACAGAGTTGAACCTTTCTATTGACAGAGCAGTTTTGAAACAGTCTTTCTGTGGAATCTGCAAGTGGATATTTGGATAGCTTGGAGGATTTCGTTTGAAACGGGATTACGTATAAAAAGTAGACAGCAGCCTCCTCTGAAACTTCTTTGTGATGTGTGCATTCAAGTCACAGAGTTGAACATTCCCTTTCGTACAGCAGTTTTGAAACACTCTTTCTGTAGTATCTGGAAGTGAACATTAGGACAGCTTTCAGGTCTATGGTGAGAAAGGCAATATCTTCAAATAAAAACTAGACAGAAGCATTCTCATAAACTTGTTTGTGATGTGTGAACTCAGCTAACAGAGGTGGATCTTTCTTTTGATAGAGCAGTTCTGAAAAACACTTTTTGTTGAATCTGCAAGTGGACATTTGTATAGATTTGAAGATTTCGTTGGAAACGGGAATATCTTCATATCAAATCTAGACAGAAGCATTCTCAGAAACGTCTTTGTGATGTTTGCATTCAACTCATAGAGTTGAACATTCCGTTTCAGAGAGCAGCATTGAAGCACTCTTTTTGTAGTATGTGCAAGTGGATATTTGGAGCGCTCTGAGGCCTACGGTGAGAAAGCAAATATCTCCCCATAACCACTAGACAGAAACATTCTCAGAAACTTCTTTATGACGTATGTACTCAACTAGCAGAGAAGAACTTTCCTTTTGACAGAGAACTTTTGATACACTCTTTTTGTAGTATCTGCAAGTGGATATTTGGATAGCTGTGAAGATTTCGTTGGAATCGGGAATATCTTCCTATAAAGTCTGGACAGAAGCATTCTCAGAAACTGCTCTGTGATGTCTGCATTCAAGTCACAGAGTTGAACATTGCCTTTCATAGAGCAGGTTTGAAATGCTCTTTTTGTAGTATATGGAAGTGGACTTTTCGGACGGTTGGAGGCCCATGGTGATAAAGGGAATATCTTCCCCTACAAGCTAGAAAGAAGCATTCTGTGAAACTTGTTTGTGATGTGTGTACTCAACTAACAGAGTTGAACCTTTCTTTTTACAGAGCAGTTTTGAAACACTCTTTTTGTAGAATCTGCGAGGGGAAATTTGGATAGATTTCAGGATTTCATTGGAAACGGGAATATCTTCATACAAAATCTCGACAGAAGCATTCTCAGAAACTTCTTTGTGATATCTGCATTCAAGTCACAGAGTTGAATATTCCCTTTCACAGAGTAGGTTTGAAACACTCTTTTTGTAGCATCTGGAAGTGGACATTTGGAGCGCATTGACGCCTACGGTGAAAAGGGAAATATCTTCCCATAAAAACTAGACAGAAGCAATCTCAGAATCTTCTTTGGGATATATGCACGCAGCTAACAGAGTTGTACCTTTCTATTGACAGAGCAGTTTTGAAACAGTCTTTCTGTGGAATCTGCAAGTGGATATTTGGATAGCTTGGAGGATTTCGTTGGAAACGGGATTACGCATAAAAAGTAGACAGCAGCATCCTCAGAAACTTCTTTGTGATGTGTGCATTCAAGTCACAGAGTTCAACATTCCCTTTCGTACAGCAGTTTTGAAACACTCTTTCTGTAGTAACTGGAAGTGAACATTAGGACAGCTTTCAGGTCTATGGTGAGAAAGGAAATATCTTCTAATAAAAACTAGACAGAAGCATTCTCATAAACTTGTTTGTGATGTCTGAACTCAGCTAACAGAGGTGGATCTTTCTTTTGATAGAGCAGTTCTGAAAAACACTTTTTGTTGAATCTGCAAGTGGACATTTGGATAGATTTGAAGATTTCGTTGTAAACGGGAATATCTTCATATCAAATCTAGACAGAAGCATTCTCAGAAACGTCTTTGCGATGTTTGCATTCAACTCATAGAGTTGAACATTCCCTTTCAGAGACCAGCTTTGAAGCACTCTTTTTGTAGTATGTGCAAGTGGATATTTGGAGCGCTCTGAGGCCTACGGTGAAAAAGCAAATATCTTCCCATAACCACTACACAGAAACATTCTCAGAAACTCCTTTATGACGTATGCACTCACCTAACACAGTAAGAACCTTCCTTTTGACAGAGCATTTTTGATACACTCTTTTTGTAGCATCTGCAAGTGGATATTTGGATATCTGTGAAGATTTCGTTGGAAACGGGAATATCTTCCTATAAAATCTAGACAGAAGCATTCTCAGAAACTGCTCTGTGATGTCTGCATTCAACTCACAGAGTTGAACATTGCCTTTCATAGAGCAGGTTTGAAACGCTCTTTTTGTAGTATATGGAAGTGGATGTTTCGGACGGTTGGAGGCCCATGGTGATAAAGGGAATATCTTCCCCTACAAGCTAGAAAGAAGCATTCTGTGAAACTTGTTTGTGATGTGTGTACTCAACTAACAGAGTTGAACCTTTCTTTTTACAGAGCAGTTTTGAAACACTCTTTTTGTAGAATCTGCGAGGGGATATTTGGATAGATTTCAGGATTTCGTTGGAAACGGGAATATCTTCATATAAAATCTGGACAGAAGCATTCTCAGAAACTTCTTTGTGATATCTGCATTCAAGTCACAGAGTTGAATATTCCCTTTCACAGAGTAGGTTTGAAACACTCTTTTTGTAGTATCTGGAAGTGGACATTTGGAGCGCCTTGACGCCTACGGTGAAAAGGGAAATATCCTCTCATAAAAAGTAGACAGAAAGCAATCTCAGAATCTTCTTTGGGATATATGTACGCAGCTAATAGAGTTGAACCTTTCTATTGACAGAGCAGTTTTGAAACAGTCTTTCTGTGGAATCTGCAAGTGGATATTTGGATAGCTTGGAGGATTTCGTTGGAAACGGGATTACGTATAAAAAGTAGACAGCAGCATCCTCAGAAACTTCTTTGTGATGTGTGCATTCAAGTCACAGAGTTGAACATTCCCTTTCGTACAGCAGTTTTGAATCACTCTTTCTGTAGTATCTGGAAGTGAACATTAGGACAGCTTTCAGGTCTATGGTGAGAAAGGAAATATCTTCAAATAAAAACTAGACAGAAGCATTCTCATAAACTTGTTTGTGATGTGTGAACTCATCTAACAGAGGTGGATCTTTCTTTTGATAGAGCAGTTCTGAAAAACACTTTTTGTTGAATCTGCAAGTGGACATTTGGAAAGATTTGAAGATTTCGTTGGAAACGGGAATATCTTCATATCAAATCTAGACAGAAGCATTCTCAGAAACGTCTTTGTGATGTTAGCATTCAACTCATAGAGTTGAACATTCCCTTTCAGAGAGCAGCTTTGAAGCACTCTTTTTGTAGTATGTGCAAGTGGACATTTGGAGCGCTTTGAGGCCTACGGGGAAAAAGCAAATATCTTCCCATAACCACTAGACAGAAACATTCTCAGAAACTTCTTTATGACGTATGTACTCAAGTAGCAGAGAAGAACTTTCCTTTTGACAGAGCACTTTGGATACACACTTTTTATAGTATCTGCAAGTGGATATTTGGATAGCTGTGAAGATTTCGTTGGAAACGGGAATATCTTCCTATAAAGTCTGGACAGAAGCATTCTCAGAAACTGCTCTGTGATGTCTGCATTCAAGTCACAGAGTTGAACATTGCCTTTCATAGAGCAGGTTTGAAACGCTTTTTTGTAGTATATGGAAGTGGACGTTTCGAACGGTTTGAGGCCCATGGTGATAAAGGGAATATCTTCCCCTACAAGCTAGAAAGAAGCATTCTGTGAAACTTGTTTGTGATGTGTGTACTCAACTAACAGAGTTGAACCTTTCGTTTTACAGAGCAGTTTTGAACCACTCTTTTTGTAGAATCTGCGAGTGGATATTTGGATAGATTTCAGGATTTCGTTGGAAACGGGAATATCTTCATATAAAATCTCGACAGAAGCATTCTCAGAAACTTCTTTGTGATATGTGCATTCAAGTCACAGAGTTGAATATTCCCTTTCACAGAGTAGATTTGAAACACTCTTTTTGTAGTATCTGGAAGTGGACATTTGGAGCGCCTTGACGCCTACGGTGAAAAGGGAAATATCTTCCCATAAAAACTAGACAGAAGCAATCTCAGAATCTTCTTTGGGATATATGCACGCAGCTAACAGAGTTGAACCTTTCTATTGACAGAGCAGTTTTGAAACAGTCTTTCTGTGGAATCTGCAAGTGGATATTTGGATATCTTGGAGGATTTCGTTGGAAACGGGATTACGTATAAAAAGTAGACAGCAGCATCCTCAGAAACTTCTTTGTGATGTGTGCATTCAAGTCACAGAGTTGAACATTCCCTTTCGTACAGCAGTTTTGAAACACTCTTTCTGTAGCATATGGAAGTGAACATTAGAACAGCTTTCAGGTCTATGGTGAGAAAGGAAATATCTTCAAATAAAAACTAGACAGAAGCATTCTGTGAAACTTGTTTGAGATGTGTGTACTCAACTAACAGTGTTGAACCTTTCTTTTTACAGAGCAGTTTTGAAACACTCTTTTGGTAGAATCTGCGAGGGGATATTTGGATAGATTTCAGGATTTCGTTGGAAACGGGAATATCTTCATATAAAATCTCGACAGAAGCATTCTCAGAAACGTCTTTGTGATGTTAGCATTCAACTCATAGAGTTGAACATTCCCTTTCAGAGAGCAGCTTTGAAGCACTCTTTTTGTAGTATGTGCAAGTGGATATTTGGAGCGCTCTGAGGCCTAAGGTGAAAAAGCAAATATCTTCCCGTAACCACTAGACAGAAACATTCTCAGAAACTCCTTTATGACGTATGCACTCACCTAACAGAGAAGAACTTACCTTTTGACAGAGCAGTTTTGATACACTCTTTTTGTAGAATCTTCAAGTGGATATTTGGATAGCTGTGAAGATTTCGTTGGAAACGGGAATATCTTCCTATAAAATCTAGACAGAAGCATTCTCAGAAACTGCTCTGTGATGTCTGCATTCAAGTCACAGAGTTGAACATTGCCTTTCCTAGAACAGGTTTGAAACGCTCTTTTTGTAGTATATGGAAGTGGACGTTTCGGACGGTTTGAGGCCCATGGTGATAAAGGGAATATCTTGCCCTACAAGCTAGAAAGAAGCATTCTGTGAAACTTGTTTGTGATGTGTGTACTCAACTAACAGAGTTGAACCTTTCTTTTTACAGAGCAGTTTTGAACCACTCTTTTTGTAGAATCTGCGAGGGAATATTTGGATAGAATTCAGGATTTCGTTGGAAACGGGAATATCTTCATATAAAATCTCGACAGAAGCATTCTCAAAAACTTCTTTGTGATATGTGCATTCAAGTCACAGAGTTGAATATTCCCTTTCACAGAGTAGGTTTGAAACACTCTTTTTGTAGTATCTGGAAGTGGACATTTGGAGCGCCTTGACACCTACGGTGAAAAGGGAAATATCTTCCCATAAAAACTAGACAGAAAGCAATCTCAGAATTTTCTTTGGGATATATGCACACAGCTAACAGAGTTGAACTTTTCTATTGACATAGCAGTTTTGAAACAGTCTTTCTGTGGAATCTGCAAGTGGATATTTGGATAGCTTGGAGGATTTCGTTGGAAACGGGATTACGTATAAAAAGTAGACAGCAGCATCCTCAGAAACTTATTTGTGATGTGTGCATTCAAGTCACAGAGTTGAACATTCCATTTCATACAGCAGTTTTGAAACACTCTTTCTGTAGTATCTGGAAGTGAACATTAGGACAGCTTTCAGGTCTATGGTGAGAAAGGAAATATCTTCAAATAAAAACTAGACAGAAGCATTCTCATAAACTTGTTTGTGATGTGTGAACTCAGCTAAAAGAGGTGGATCTTTCTTTTGATAGAGCAGTTCTGAAAAACACTTTTTGTTGAATCTGCAAGTGGACATTTGGATAGATTTGAAGATTTCGTTGGAAACGGGAATATCTTCATATCAAATCTAGACAGAAGCATTCTCAGAAACGTCTTTGTGATGTTTGCATTCAACCCATAGAGTTGAACATTCCCTTTCAGAGAGCAGCTTTGAAGCACTCTTTTTGTAGTATGTGCAAGGGGATATTTGGAGCGCTCTGAGGCCTAAGGTGAAGAAGCAAATATCTTCCCATAACCACTAGACAGAAACATTCTCAGAAACTCCTTTATGACGTATGCACTCACCTAACAGAGAAGAACCTTCCTTTTGACAGAGCAGTTTTGATACACTCTTTTTGTAGAATCTGCAAGTGGATATTTGGATAGCAGTGAAGATTTCGTTGGAAACGGGAATATCTTCCTATAAAATCTAGACAGAAGCATTCTAAGAAACTGCTCTGTGATGTCTGCATTCAAGTCACAGAGTTGAACATTGCCTTTCATAGAGCAGGTTTGAAATGCTCTTTTTGTAGTATATGGAAGTGGACGTTTCAGACGGTTTGAGGCCCATGGTGATAAAGGGAATATCTTCCCCTACAAGCTAGAAAGAAGCATTCTGTGAAACTTGTTTGTGATGTGTGTACTTAACTAACAGAGTTGAACCTTTCTTTTCACAGAGCAGTTTTGAAACACTCTTTTTGTAGAATCTGCGAGCGGATATTTGGATAGATTTCAGGATTTCGTTGGAAACGGGAATATCTTCATATAAAATCTCGACAGAAGCATTCTCAGAAACTTCTTTGTGATATCTGCCTTCAAGTCACAGAGTTGAATATTCCCTTTCACAGAGTAGGTTTGAAACACTCTTTTTGTAGTATCTGGAAGTGGACATTTGCAGCGCCTTGACGCCTACGGTGAAAAGGGAAATATCTTCCCATAAAAACTAGACAGAAGCAATCTCAGAATCTTCTTAGGGATATATGCACGCAGCTAACAGAGTTGAACCTTTCTATTGACAGAGCAGTTTTGAAACAGTCTTTCTGTGGAATCTGCAAGTGGATATTTGGATAGCTTGGAGGATTTCGTTGGAAACGGGATTACGTATAAAAAGTAGACAGCCAGCATCCTCAGAAACTTCTTTGTGATGTGTGCATTCAAGTCACAGTGTTGAACATTCCCTTTCGTACAGCAGTTTTGAAACACTCTTTCTGTAGTATCTGGAAGTGAACATTAGGACAGCTTTCAGGTCTATGGTGAGAAAGGAAATATCTTCAAATAAAAACTAGACAGAGCGTTCTCATAAACTTGTTTGTGATGTGTGAACTCAGCTAACAGAGGTGGATCTTTCTTTTGATAGAGCAGTTCTGAAAAACACTTTTTGTTGAATCTGCAAGTGGACATTTGGATAGATTTGAAGATTTCGTTGGAAACGGGAATATCTTCATATCAAATCTAGACAGAAGCATTCTCAGAAACGTCTTTGTGATGTTTGCATTCAACTCATAGAGTTGAACATTCCGTTTCAGAGAGCAGCTTTGAGGCACTCTTTTTGTAGTATGTGCAAGTGGATATTTGGAGCGCTCTGAGGCCTTCGGTGAAAAAGCAAATATCTTCCCATAACCACTAGACAGAATCATTCTCAGAAACTCCTTTATGACGTATGCACTCACCTAACAGAGAAGAACCTTCCTTTTGACAGAGCAGTTTTGATACACTCTTTTTGTAGAATCTGCAAGTGGATATTTGGATAGCTGTGAAGATTTCGTTGGAAACGGGAATATCTTCCTATAAAATCTAGACAGAAGCATTCTCAGAAACTCCTCTGTGATGTCTGCATTCAAGTCACAGAGTTGAACATTGCCTTTCATAGAGTAGGTTTGAAACGCTCTTTTTGTAGTATATGGAAGTGGACGTTTCGGACGGTTTGAGGCCCATGGTGATAAAGGGAATATCTTCCCCTACAAGCTAGAAAGAAGCATTCTGTGAAACTTGTTTGTGATGTGTGTACTCAACTAACAGAGTTGAACCTTTCTTTTTACAGAGCAGTTTTGAAACACTCTTTTTGTAGAATCTGTGAGGGGATATTTGGATAGATTTCAGGATTTCGTTGGGAACGGGAATATCTTCATATAAAATCTCGACAGAAGCATTCTCAGAAGCTTCTTTGTGATATGTGCATTCAAGTCACAGACTTGAATATTCCCTTTCACAGAGTAGGTTTGAAACACTCTTTTTGTAGTATCTGGAAGTGGACATTTGGAGCACCTTGACGCCTACGGTGAAAAGGGAAATATCTTCTCATAAAAAGTAGACAGAAGCAATCTCAGAATCTTCTTTGGGATATATGCACGCAGCTAACAGAGTTGAACCTTTCTATTGACAGAGCAGTTTTGAAACAGTCTTTCTGTGGAATCTGCAAGTGGATATTCGGATAGCTTGGAGGATTTCGTTGGAAACGGGATTAAGTATAAAAAGTAGACAGCAGCATCCTCAGAAACTTCTTTGTGATGTGTGCATTCAAGTCACAGAGTTGAACATTCCCTTTCGTACAGCAGTTTTGAAACACTCTTTCTGTAGTATCTGGAGGTGAACATTAGGACAGCTTTCAGCTCTATGGTGAGAAAGGAAATATCTTCAAATAAAAACTAGACAGAAGCATTCTCATAAACTTGTTTGTGATGTGTGAACTCAGCTAACACACGTGGATCTTTCTTTTGATAGAGCAGTTCTGAAAAACACTTTTTGTTGAATCTGCAAGTGGACATTTGGATAGATTTGAAGATTTCGTTGGAAACGGGAATATCTTCATATCAAATCTAGACAAAAGCATTCTCAGAAACGTCTTTGCGATGTTTGCATTCAACTCATAGAGTTGAACATTCCGTTTCAGAGAGCAGCTTTGAAGCACTCTTTTTGTAGTATGTGCAAGTGGATATTTGGAGTGCTCTGAGGCCTACGGTGAAAAAGCAAATATCTTCCCATAACCACTAGACAGAAACATTCTCAGAAACTCCTTTCTGACGTATGCACTCAGCCAACAGAGAAGAACCTTCCTTTTGACAGAGCAGTGTTGATACACTCTTTTTGTAGAATCTGCAAGTGGATATTTGGATAGCTGTGAAGATTTCGTTGGAAACGGGAATATCTTCCTATAAAATCTAGACAGAAGCATTCTCAGAAACTGCTCTGTGATGTCTGCATTCAAGTCACAGAGTTGAACATTGCCTTTCCTACAGCAGGTTTGAAACGCTCTTTTTGTAGTATATGGAAGTGGACGTTTCGGACGGTTTGAGGCCCATGGTGATAAAGGGATTATCTTCCCCTACAAGCTAGAAAGAAGCATTCTGTGAAACTTGTTTGTGATGTGTGTACTCAAATAACAGAGTTGAACCTTTCTTTTTACAGAGCAGTTTTGAAACACTCTTTTTGTAGAATCTGCGAGGGGATATTTGGATAGATTTCAGGATTTCGTTGGAAACGGGAATATCTTCATATAAAATCTCGACAGAAGCATTCTCAGAAGCTTCTTTGTGATATGTGCATTCAAGTCACAGAGTTGAATATTCCCTTTCACAGAGTAGGTTTGAAACACTCTTTTTGTAGTAACTGGAAGTGGACATTTTGAGCACCTTGACGCCTACGGTGAAAAGGGA
Source organism: Homo sapiens (assembly GCF_000001405.40). Taxonomy (NCBI): domain Eukaryota; kingdom Metazoa; phylum Chordata; class Mammalia; order Primates; family Hominidae; genus Homo; species Homo sapiens. The sequence continues at coordinate 16,496,034 of NC_000013.11, forward strand.
AATATCTTCTCATAAAAAGTAGACAGAAGCAATCTCAGAATCTTCTTTGGGATATATGCACGCAGCTGACAGAGTTGAACCTTTCTATTGACAGAGCAGTTTTGAAACAGTCTTTCTGTGGAATCTGCAAGTGGATGTTTGGATAGATTGGAGGATTTCGTTGGAAACGGGATTAGGTATAAAAAGTAGACAGCAGCATCCTCAGAAACTTCCTTGTGATGTGTGCATTCAAGTCACAGAGATGAACATTCCCTTTCGTACAGCAGTTTTGAAACACTCTTTCTGTAGTATCTGGAAGTGAACATTAGGAGAGCTTTCATGTCTATAGTGAGAAAGGATATATCTTCAAATAAAAACTAGACAGAAGCATTCTCATAAACTTGTTTGTGATGTGTGAACTCAGCTAACAGAGGTGGATCTTTCTTTTGATAGAGCAGTTCTGAAAAACACTTTTTGTTGAATCTCCAAGTGGACATTTGGATAGATTTGAAGATTTCGTTGGAAACGGGAATATCTTCATATCAAATCTAGACAGAAGCATTCTCAGAAACGTCTTTGTGATGTTTCCATTCAACTCATAGAGTTGAACATTCACTTTCAGAGAGCAGCTTTGAAGCACTCTTTTTGTAGTATGTGCAAGTGGATATTTTGATCGCTCTGTGGCCTACGGTGAAAAAGCAAATATCTTCCCATAACCACTAGACAGAAACATTCTCAGAAACTCCTTTATGACGTATGCACTCACCTAACAGAGAAGAACCTTCCTTTTGACAGAGCAGGTTTGATACACTCTTTTTGTAGAATCTGCAAGTGGATATTTGGATAGCTGTGAAGATTTCGTTGGAAACGGGAATATCTTCCTATAAAATCCTAGACAGAAGCATTCTCAGTAAACTGCTCTGTGATGTCTGCATTCAAGTCACAGAGTTGAACATTGCCTTTCATAGAGCAGGTTTGAAATGCTCTTTTTGTAGTATATGGAAGTGGATGTTTCGGACGGTTGGAGGCCCATGGTGATAAAGGGAATATCTTCCCCTACAAGCTAGAAAGAAGCATTCTGTGAAACTTGTTTGTGATGTGTGTACTCAACTAACAGAGTTGAACCTTTCTTTTTACAGAGCAGTTTTGAAACACTCTTTTTGTAGAATCTGCGAGGGGATATTTGGATAGATTTCAGGATTTCGTTGGAAACTGGAATATCTTCATATAAAATGCTCGACAGAAGCATTCTCAGAAACTTCTTTGTGATACCTGCATTCAAGTCACAGAGTTGAATATTCCCTTTCACAGAGTAGGTTTGAAACACTCTTCTTGTAGTATCTGGAAGTGGACATTTGGAGCACCTTGACGCCTATGGTGAAAAGGGAAATATCTTCCCATAAAAACTAGACAGAAGGAATCTCAGAATCTTCTTTGGGATATATGCACGCAGCTAACAGAGTTGAACCTTTCTATTGACAGAGCAGTTTTGAAACAGTCTTTCTGTGGAATCTGCAAGTGCATATTTGGATAGCTTGGAGGATTTCGTTGTAAACGGGATTACGTATAAAAATTAGACAGCAGCATCCTCAGAAACTTCTTTGTGATGTGTGCATTCAACTCACAGAGTTGAACATTCCCTTTCGTACAGCAGTTTTGAAACACTCTGTAGTATCTGGAAGTGAACATTAGGACAGCTTTCAGCTCTATGGTGAGAAACGAAATATCTTCAAATAAAAACTAGACAGAAGCATTCTGATAAACTTGTTTGTGAAGTGTGATCTCAGCTAACAGAGGTGGATCTTTCTTTTGATAGAGCAGTTCTGAAAAACACTTTGTTGAATCTGCAAGTGGACATTTGGATAGATTTGAAGATTTTGTTGGAAACGGGAATATCTTCATATCAAATCTAGACAGAAGCATTCTCAGAAACGTCTTTGCGATGTTTGCATTCAACTCATAGAGTTGAACATTCCGTTTCAGAGAGCAGCTTTGAGGCGCTCTTTTTGTAGTATGTGCAAGTGGATATTTGGAGCGCTCTGAGGCCTTCGGTGAAAAAGCAAATATCTTCCCATAACCACTAGACGGAAACATTCTCAGAAACTTCTTTATGACGTATGTACTCAACTAACAGAGAAGAACCTTCCTTTTGACAGAGCAGTTTTGATACACTCTTCTTGGAGAATCTGCAAGTAGATATTTGGATATCTGTGAAGAATTCGTTGGAAAAGGGAATATCTTTCTATAAAATCTAAACAAAAGCATTCTCAGAAACTGCTCTGTGATGTCTGCATTCAAGTCACAGAGTTGAACATTGCCTTTCATAGAGCAGGTTTGAAACGCTCTTTTTGTACTATATGGAAGTGGATGTTTCGGACGGTTTGAGGCCCATGGTGATAAAGGGAATATCTTCCCCTACAAGCTAGAAAGAAGCATTCTGTGAAACTTGTTTGTGATGTGTGTACTCAACTAACAGAGTTGAACCTTTCTTTTTACAGAGCAGTTTTGAAACACTCTTTTTGTAGAATCTGCGAGGGGATATTTGGATAGATTTCAGGATTTCGTTGGAAACGGGAATATCTTCCTATAAAATCTCGACAGAAGCATTCTCAGAAGCTTCTTTGTGATATGTGCATTCAAGTCACAGAGTTGAATATTCCCTTTCACAGAGTAGGTTTGAAACATTCTTTTTGTAGTATCTGGAAGTGGACATTTGGAGCACCTTGACACCTACGGTGAAAAGGGAAATATCTTCTCATAAAAAGTAGACAGAAGCAATCTCAGAATTTTCTTTGGGATATACGCACACAGCTAACAGAGTTGAACTTTTCTATTGACATAGCAGTTTTGAAACAGTCTTTCTGTGGAATCTGCAAGTGGATATTTTGATAGCTTGGAGGATTTCGTTGGAAACGGGATTACGTATAAAAATTAGACAGCAGCATCCTCAGAAACTTCTTTGTGATGTGTGCATTCAAGTCACAGAGTTGAAAATTCCCTTTCGTACAGCAGTTTTGAAACACTCTTTCTGTAGTATGTGGAAGTGAACATTAGGACAGCTTTCAGGTCTATGGTGAGAAAGGAAATATCTTCAAATAAAAACTAGACAGAAGCAATCTCATAAACTTGTTTGTGATGTGTGAACTCAGCTAACAGAGGTGGATCTTTCTTTTGATAGAGCAGTTCTGAAAAACACTTTTTGTTGAATCTGCAAGTGGACATTTGGATAGATTTGAAGATTTCGTTGGAAACGGGAATATCTTCATATCAAATCTAGACAGAAGGCATTCTCAGAAACGTCTTTGTGATGTTTGCATTCAACTCATAGAGTTGAACATTCCGTTTCAGAGAGCAGCTTTGAGGCACTCTTTTTGTAGTATGTGCAAGTGGATATTTGGAGCGCTCTGAGGCCTACGGTGAAAAAGCAAATATCTTCCCATAACCACTAGACAGAAACATTCTCAGAAACTCCTTTATGACGTATGCACTCACCTAACAGAGAAGAACCTTCCTTTTGACAGAGCAGTTTTGATACACTCTTTTTGTAGAATCTGCAAGTGGATATTTGGATAGCTGTGAAGATTTCGTTGGAAACGGGAATATCTTCCTATAAAATCTAGACAGGAGCATTGTCAGAAACTGCTCTGTGATGTCTGCATTCAAGTCACAGAGTTGAACATTGCCTTTCATAGAGCAGGTTTGAAACGCTCTTTTTGTAGTATATGGAAGTGGATGTTTCGGACGGTTGGAGGCCCATGGTGATAAAGGGAATATCTTCCCCTACAAGCTAGAAAGAAGCATTCTGTGAAAGTTGTTTGTGATGTGTGTACTCAACTAACAGAGTTGAACCTTTCTTTTTACAGAGCAGTTTTGAAACACTCTTTTTGTAGAATCTGCGAGGGGATATTTGGATAGATTTCAGGATTTCGTTGGAAACGGGAATATCTTCATATAAAATCTCGACAGAAGCATTCTCAGGAAACTTCTTTGTGATATCTGCATTCAAGTCACAGAGTTGAATATTCCCTTTCACAGAGTAGGTTTGAAACACTCTTTTTGTAGTATCTGGAAGTGGACATTTTGAGCGCCTTGACACCTACGGTAAAAAGGGAAATATCTTCCCATAAAAACTAGACAGAAGCAATCTCAGAATCGTCTTTGGGATATATGCACGCAGCTAACAGAGTTGAACCTTTCTATACACAGAGCAGTTTTGAAACAGTCTTTCTGTGGAATCTGCAAGTGGATATTTGGATAGCTTGGAGGATTTCGTTGGAAACGGGATTACGTATAAAAAGTAGACAGCAGCATCCTCAGAAACATCCTTGTGATGTGTGCATTCAAGTCACAGAGTTGAACATTCCCTTTCGTACAGCAGTTTTGAAACACTCTTTCTGTAGTATCTGGAAGTGAACTTTAGGACAGCTTTCAGGTCTATGGTGAGAAAGGATATATCTTCAAATAAAAACTAGACGGAAGCATTCTCATAAACTTGATTGTGATGTGTGAACTCAGCTAACAGAGGTGGATCTTTCTTTTGATAGAGCAGTTCTGAAAAACACTTTTTGTTGAATCTGCAAGTGGACATTTGGATAGATTTGAAGATTTCGTTGGAAACGGGAATATCTTCATATCAAATCTAGACAGAAGCATTCTCAGAAACGTCTTTGTGATGTTTGCATTCAACTCATAGAGTTGAACATTCCGTTTCAGAGACCAGATTTGAAGCACTCTTTTTGTAGTATGTGCAAGTGGATATTTGGAGCGCTCTGAGGCCTACGGTGAAAAAGCAAATATCTTCCCATAACCACTAGACTAGAAACATTCTGAGAAACTCCTTTATGACGTATGCACTCACCTAACAGAGAAGAACCTTCCTTTTGACAGAGCATTTTTGATACACTCTTTTTGTAGAATCTGAAAGTGGATATTTGGATAGCTGTGAAGATTTCGTTGGAAATGGGAATATCTTCCTATAAAATCTAGACAGAAGCATTCTCAGAAACTGCTCTGTGATGTCTGCATTCAAGTCACAGAGTTGAACATTGCCTTTCATAGAGCAGGTTTGAAACGCTCTTTTTGTAGTATATGGAAGTGGACTTTTCGGACGGTTGGAGGCCCATGGTGATAAAGGAAATATCTTCCCCTACAAGCTAGAAAGAAGCATTCTGTGAAACTTGTTTGTGAGGTGTGTACTCAACTAACAGAGTTGAACTTTTCTTTTTACAGAGCAGTTTTGAAACACTCTTTTTGTAGAATCTGCGAGGGGATATTTGGATAGATTTCAGGATTTCGTTGGAAAGGGGAATATCTTCATATAAAATCTCGACAGAAGCATTCTCAGAAACTTCTTTGTGATATGTGCATTCAAGTCACACAGTTGAATATTCCCTTTCACAGAGTAGGTTTGAAACACTCTTTTTGTAGTATCTGGAAGTGGACATTTGGAGCGCCTTGACGCCCACGGTGAAAAGGGAAATATCTTCCCATAAAAACTAGACAGAAGCAATCTCAGAATCTTCTTTGGGATATATGTACGCAGCTAATAGAGTTGAACCTTTCTATTGACAGAGCAGTTTTGAAACAGTCTTTCTGTGGAATCTGCAAGTGGATATTTGGATAGCTTGGAGGATTTTGTTGGAAACGAGATTACGTATAAAAAGTAGACAGCAGCATCCTCAGAAACTTCTTTGTGATGTGTGCATTCAAGTCACAGTGTTGAACATTCCCTTTTGTACAGCAGTTTTGAAACACTCTTTCTGTAGTATCTGGAAGTGAACATTAGGACAGCTTTCAGGTCTATGGTGAGAAAGGAAATATCTTCAAATAAAAACTAGACAGAAGCATTCTCATAAACTTGTTCGTGATGTGTGAACTCAGCTAAGAGCCGTGGATCTTTCTTTTGATAGAGCAGTTCTGAAAAACACTTTTTGTTGAATACGCAAGTGGACATTTGGATAGATTTGAAGATTTCGTTGGAAACGGGAATATCTTCATATCAAATCTAGACAGAAGCATTCTCAGAAACGTCTTTGTGATGTTTGCATTCAACTCATAGAGTTGAACATTCCGTTTCAGAGACCAGCTTTGAGGCACTCTTTTTGTAGTATGTGCAAGTGGATATTTGGAGCGCTCTGAGGCCTACGGTGAAAAAGCAAATATCTTCCCATAACCACTAGACAGAAACATTCTCAGAAACTCCTTTATGACGTATGTACTCAACTAACAGAGAAGAACCTTCCTTTTGACAGAGCAGTTTTGATGCACTCTTTTTGTAGAATCTGCAAGTGGATATTTGGATAGCTGTGAAGATTTCGTTGGAAACGGGAATATCTTCCTATAAAATCTAGAGAGAAGCATTCTCAGAAACTGCTCTGTGATGTCTGCATTACAAGTCACAGAGTTGAACATTGCCTTTCATAGAGCAGGTTTGAAACGCTCTTTTTGTAGTATATGGAAGTAAACGTTTCGGACGGTTTGAGGCCCATGGTGATAAAGGGAATATCTTCCCCTACAAGCTAGAAAGAAGCATTCTGTGAAACTTGTTTGTGATGTGTGTACTCAACTAACAGAGTTGAACCTTTCTTTTTACAGAGCAGTTTTGAAACACTCTTTTTGTAGAATCTGCGAGGGGATATTTGGAGAGATTTCAGGATTTCGTTGGAAACGGGAATATCTTCATATAAAATACTCGACAGAAGCATTCTCAGAAACTTCTTTGTGATATCTGCATTCAAGTCACAGAGTTGAATGTTCCCTTTCACAGAGTAGGTTTGAAACACTCTTTTTGTAGTATCTGGAAGTGGACATTTGGAGCGCCTTGACACCTACGGTGAAAAGGGAAATATCTTCCGATAAAAACTAGACAGAAGCAATCTCAGAATCTTCTTTGGGATATATGCACGCAGCTAACAGAGTTGAACCTTTCTATTGACAGAGCAGTTTTGAAACAGTCTTTCTGTGAAATCTGCAAGTGGATATTTGGATAGCTTGGAGGATTTCGTTGGAAACGGGATTAAGTATAAAAAGTAGACAGCAGCATCCTCAGAATCTTCTTTGTGATGTGTGCATTCAAGTCACAGAGTTGAACATTCCCTTTCGTACAGCAGTTTTGAAACACTCTTTCTGTAGTACCTGGAAGTGAACATTAGGACAGCTTTCAGGTCTATGGTGAGAAAGGAAATATCTTCAAATAAAAACTAGACAGAAGCATTCTCATAAACTTGTTTGTGATGTCTGAACTCAGCTAACAGAGGTGGATCTTTCTTTTGATAGAGCAGTTCTGAAAAACACTTTTTGTTGAATCTGCAAGTGGACATTTGGATAGATTTGAAGATTTCGTTGGAAACGGGAATATCTTCCTATCAAATCTAGACAGAAGCATTCTCAGAAACGTCTTTGTGATGTTTGCATTCAACTCATAGAGTTGAACATTCCCTTTCAGAGAGCAGCTTTGAAGCACTCTTTTTGAAGCATGTGCAAGTGGACATTTGGAGCGCCCTGAGGCCTACGGGGAAAAAGCAAATATCTTCCCATAACCACTAGACAGAAACATTCTCAGAAACTCCTTTATGACGTATGTACTCAACTAACAGAGAAGAACCTTCCTTTTGACAGAGCAGTTTTGATACACTCTTTTTGTAGAATCTGCAAGTGGATATTTGGATAGCTGTGAAGATTTCGTTGGAAACTGGAATATCTTCCTATAAAATCTAGACAGAAGCATTCTCAGAAACTGCTCTGTGATGTCTGCATTCAAGTCACAGAGTTGAACATTGTCTTTCATAGAGCAGATTTGAAGCGCTCTTTTTGTAGTATATGGAAGTGGACGTTTCGGACGGTTTGAGGCCCATGGTGATAAAGGGAATATCTTCCCCTACAAGCTAGAAAGAAGCATTCTGTGAAACTTGTTTGTGATGTGTGTACTCAACTAACGGAGTTGAACCTTTCTTTTTACAGTGCAGTTTTGAAACACTCTTTTTGTAGAATCTGCGAGGGGATATTTGGATAGATTTCAGGATTTCGTTGGAAACGGGAGTATCTTCATATAAAATCTCGACAGAAGCATTCTCAGAAACTTCTTTGTGATATGTGTATTCAAGTCACAGAGTTGAATACTCCCTTTCACAGAGTAGGTTTGAAACACTCTTTTTGTAGTATCTGGATGTGGACATTTGGAGCGCCTTGACGCCTACGGTGAAAAGGGAAATATCTTCCCATAAAAACTAGACAGTAGCAATCTCAGAATCTTCTTTGGGATATATGCACGCAGCTAACAGAGTTGAATCTTTCTATTGACAGAGCAGATTTGAAACAGTCTTTCTGTGGAATCTGCAAGTGGATATTTGGATAGATTGGAGGATTTCGTTGGAAACGGGATTATGTATAAAAAGTAGACAGCAGCATCCTCAGAAACTTCTTTGTGATGTGTGCATTCAAGTCACAGAGTTGAACATTCCCTTTCGTACAGCAGTTTTGAAACACTCTTTCTGTAGTATATGGAAGTGAACATTAGGACAGCTTTCAGGTCTATGGTGAGAAAGGAAATATCTTCAAATAAAAACTAGACAGAAGCATTCTCATAAACTTGTTTGTGATGTGTGAACTCAGCTATCAACGGTGGATCTTTCTTTTGATAGAGCAGTTCTGAAAAACACTTTTTGTTGAATCTGCAAGTGGACATTTGGATAGTTTTGAAGATTTCCTTGGAAACGGGAATATCTTCATATCAAATCTAGACAGAAGCATTCTCGGAAACGTCTTTGTGATGTTTGCATTCAACTCATAAAGTTGAACATTCCGTTTCAGAGAGCAGCTTTGAGGCATTCTTTTTGTAGTATGTGCAAGTGGATATTTGGAGCGCTCTGAGGCCTTCTGTGAAAAAGCAAATATCTTCCCATAACCACTAGACAGAAACATTCTCAGAAACCCCTTTATGACGTATGCACTCACCTAACAGAAAAGAACCTTCCTTTTGACAGAGCAGTTTTGATACACTCTTTTTGTAGAATCTGCAAGTGGATATTTGGATAGCTGTGAAGATTTCGTTGGAAACGGGAATATCTTCCTATAAAATCTAGACAGATGCATTCTCAGAAACAGCTCTGTGATGTCTGCATTCAAGTCACAGAGTTGAACATTGCCTTTCATAGAGCAGGTTTGAAACGCTCTTTTTGTATTATATGGAAGTGGACGTTTCGGACGCTTTGAGACCCATGGTGATAAAGGGAATATATTCCCCTACAAGCTAGAAAGAAGCATTCTGTGAAACTTGTTTGTGATGTGTGTACTCAAGTAACAGAGTTGAACCTTTCTTTTTACAGAGCAGTTTTGAAACACTCTTTCTGTAGAATCTGCGAGGGGATATTTGGATAGACTTCAGGATTTCATTGGAAACGGGAATATCTTCATATAAAATCTCGACAGAAGCATTCTCAGAAACTTCTTTGTGATATGTGCATTCAAGTCACAGAGTTGAATATTCCCTTTCACAGAGTAGGTTTGAAACACTCTTTTTGTTGTATCTGGAAGTGGACATTTGGAGCGCCTTGACGCCTACGGTGAAAAGGGAAATATCTTCCCATAAAAACTAGACAGAAGCAATCTCAGAATCTTGTTTGGGATATATGCACGCAGCTAACACAGTTGAACCTTTCTATTGACAGAGCAGTTTTGAAACATTCTTTCTGTGGAATCTGCAAGTGGATATTTGGATAGCTTGGAGGATTTCGTTGGAAACGGGATTACGTATCAAAAGTAGACAGCGGCATCCTCAGAAACTTCTTTGTGATGTGTGCATTCAAGTCACAGAGTTGAACATTCCCTTTCGTACAGCAGTTTTGAAACACTCTTTCTGTAGTATCTGGAAGTGAACATTAGGACAGCTTTCAGGTCTATGGTGAGAAAGGAAATACCTTCAAATAAAAACTAGACAGAAGCATTCTCATATACTTGTTTGTGATGTGTGAACTCAGCTAACAGAGGTGGATCTTTCTTTTGATAGAGCAGTTCTGAAAAACACTTTTTGTTGAATCTGCAAGTGGACATTTCGATAGATTTGAAGATTTCGTTGGAAACGGGAATATCTTCATATCAAATCTAGACAGAAGCATTCTCAGACACGTCTTTGCGATGTTTGCATTCAACTCATAGAGTTGAACATTCCGTTTCAGAGAGCAGCTTTGAGGCACTCTTTTTGTAGTATGTGCAAGTGGATATTTGGAGCGCTCTGAGGCCTACGGTGAAAAAGCAAATATCTTCCCATAACCACTAGACAGAAACATTCTCAGAAACTCATTTATGACGTATGCACTCACCTAACAGAAAAGAACCTTCCTTTTGACAGAGCAGTTTTGATACACTCTTTTTGTAGAATCTGCAAGTGGATATTTGGATAGCTGTGAAGATTTCGTTGGAAACGGGAATATCTTCCTATAAAATCTAGACAGAAGCATTCTCAGAAACTGCTCTGTGATGTCTGCATTCAAGTCACAGAGTTGAACATTGCCTTTCATAGAGCAGGTTTGAAACGCTCTTTTTGTAGTATATGGAAGTGGATGTTTCGGACGGTTGGAGGCCCAAGGTGATAAAGGGAATATCTTCCCCTACAAGCTAGAAAGAAGCATTCTGTGAAACTTGTTTGTGATGTGTGTACTCAACTAACAGAGTTGAACCTTTCTTTTTACAGAGCAGTTTTGAAACACTCTTTTTGTAGAACCTGCGAGGGGATATTTGGATAGATTTCAGGATTTCGTTGGAAACGGGAATATCTTCATATAAAATCTCGACAGAAGCATTCTCAGAAACTTCTTTGTGATATCTGCATTCAAGTCACAGAGTTGAATATTCCTTTTCACAGAGTAGGATTGAAACACTCTTTTTGTAGTATCAGGAAGTGGACATTTGGAGCGCCTTGACGCCTACGGTGAAAAGGGAAATATCTTCCCATAAAAACTAGACAGAAGCAATCTCAGAATCTTCTTTGGGATATATGCACGCAGCTAACAGAGTTGAACCTTTCTATTGACAGAGCAGTTTTGAAACAGTCTTTCTGTGGAATCTGCAAGTGGATATTTGTATAGCTTGGAGGATTTCGTTGGAAACGGGATTACGTATAAAAAGTAGACAGCAGCATCCTCAGAAAACTTCTTTGTGATGTGTGCATTCAAGTCACAGAGTTGTACATTCCCTTTCGTACAGCAGTTTTGAAACACTCTTTCTGTAGTATCTGGAAGTGAACATTAGGACAGCTTTCAGGTCTATGGTGAGAAAGGAAATATCTTCAAATAAAAACTAGACGGAAGCATTCTCATAAACTTGTTTGTGATGTGTGAACTCAGCTAACAGAGGTGGATCTTTCTTTTGATACAGCAGTTTTGAAAAACACATTTTGTTGAATCTGCAAGTGGACATTTGGATAGATTTGAAGATTTCGTTGGAAACGGGAATATCTTCATATCAAATCTAGACAGAAGAATTCTCAGAAACGTCTTTGTGATGTTTGCATTCAACTCATAGAGTTGAACATTCCCTTTCAGAGAACAGCTTTGAAGCACTCTTTTTGTAGTATGTGCAAGGGGATATTTGGAGCGCTCTGAGGCCTAAGGTGAAAAAGCAAATATCTTCCCATAACCACTAGACAGAAACATTCTCAGAAACTGCTTTATGACGTATGCACTCACCTAACAGAGAAGAACCTTCCTTTTGACAGAGCAGTTTTGATACACTCTTTTTGTAGAATCTGCAAGTGGATATTTGGATAGCTGTGAAGATTTCGTTGGAAACGAGAATATCTTCCTATAAAATCTAGACAGAAGCATTCTCAGAAACTGCTCTGTGATATCTGTATTCAAGTCACAGAGTTGAACATTGCCTTTCATAGAGCAGGTTTGAAACGCTCTTTTTGTAGTATATGTAAGTGGATGTTTCGGACGGTTGGAGGCCCATGGTGATAAAGGGAATATCTTCTCCTACAAGCTAGAAAGAAAGCATTCTGTGAAACTTGTTTGTGATGTGTGTACTCAACTAACAGCAGTTGAACCTTTCTTTTTACAGAGCAGTTTTGAAACACTCTTTTTGTAGAATCTGCGAGGGGATATTTGGATAGATTTCAGGATTTCGTTGGAAAGGGGAATATCTTCATATAAAATCTCGACAGAAGCATTTTCAGAAACTTCTTTGTGATATCTGCATTCAAGTCACAGAGTTCAATATTCCCTTCCACAGAGAAGGTTTGAAACACTCTTTTTGTAGTATCTGGAAGTGGATATTTGGAGCGCCTTGACACCTACGGTGAAAAGGGAAATATCTTCCCATAAAAACTAGACAGAAGCAATCTCAGAATCTTCCTTGGGATATATGCACACAGCTAACTGAGTTGAACTTTTCTATTGACATAGCAGTTTTGAAACAGTCTTTCTGTGGAATCTGCAAGTGGATATTTGGATAGCTTGGAGGATTTCGTTGGAAATGGGATTACGTATAAAAAGTAGACAGCAGCATCCTCAGAAACTTCTTTGTGATGTGTGCATTCAAGTCACAGAGTTGAACATTCCCTTTCGTACAGCAGTTTTGAAACACTCTTTCTGTAGTATCTGGAAGTGAAAATTAGGACAGCTTTCAGGTCTATGGTGAGAAAGGAAATATCTTCAAATAAAAACTAGACAGAAGCATTCTCATAAACTTGATTGTGATGTCTGAACTCAGCTAACAGAGGTGGATCTTTCTTTTGATAGAGCAGTTCTGAAAAACACTTTTTGTTGAATCTGCAAGTGGACATTTGGATAGATTTGAAGATTTCGTTGGAAACGGGAATATCTTCATATCAAATCTAGACAGAAGCATTCTCAGAAACGTCTTTGTGATGTTTGCATTCAACTCATAGAGTTGAACATTCCATTTCAGAGAGCAGCTTTGAAGCACTCTTTTTGTAGTATGTGCAAGTGGATATTTGGAGCGCTCTGAGGCCTACGGTGAAAAAGCAAATATCTTCCCATAACCACTATACAGAAACATTCTCAGAAACTCCTTTATGACGTATGCACTCAACTAACAGAGAAAAACCTTCCTTTTGACAGAGCAGTTTTGATACACTCTTTTTGTAGAATCTGCAAGTGGATATTTGGATAGCTGTGAAGATTTCGTTGGAAACGGGAATATCTTCCTATAAAATCTAGACAGGAGCATTCTCAGAAACTGCTCTGTGATGTCTGCATTCAAGTCACAGAGTTGAACATTGCCTTTCATAGAGCAGGTTTGAAACGCTCTTTTTGTAGTATATGGAACTGGATGTTTCGGACGGTTTGAGGCCCATGGTGATAAAGGGAATATCTTCCCCTACAAGCTAGAAAGAAGCATTCTGTGAAACTTGTTTGTGATGTGTGTACTCAACTAACAGAGTTGAACCTTTCGTTTTACAGAGCAGTTTTGAACCACTCTTTTTGTAGAATCTGCGAGGGGATATTTGGATAGATTTCAGGATTTCGTTGGAAACGGGAATATCTTCATATAAAATCTCGACAGAAGCATTCTCAGTAAACTTCTTTGTGATATGTGCATTCAAGTCACAGAGTTGAATATTCCCTTTCACAGAGTAGGTTTGAAACACTCTTTTTGTAGTATCTGGAAGTGGACATTTGGAGCGCCTTGAGGCCTACGGTGAAAAGGGAAATATCTTCTCATAAAAAGTAGACAGAAGCAATCTCAGAATCTTCTTTGGGATATATGCATGCAGCTAACAGAGTTGAACCTTTCTATTGACAGAGCAGTTTTGAAACAGTCTTTCTCTGGAATCTGCAAGTGGATATTTGGATAGCTTGGAGGATTTCGTTGGAAACGGGATTACGTATAAAAAGTAGACAGCAGCATCCTCAGAAACTTCTTTGTGATGTGTGCATTCAAGTCACAGAGTTGAACATTCCCTTTCGTACAGCAGTTTTGAAACACTCTTTCTGTAGTATCTGGAAGTGAACATTAGGACAGCTTTCAGCTCTATGGAGAGAAAGGAAATATCTTCAAATAAAAACTAGACAGAAGCATCTTATAAACTTGTTTGTGATGTGTGAACTCAGCTAACAGAGGTGGATCTTTCTTTTGATAGAGCAGTTCTGAAAAACACTTTTTGTTGAATCTGCAAGTGGACATTTGGATAGATTTGAAGATTTCGTTGGAAACGGGAATATCTTCATATCAAATCTAGACAGAAGCATTCTCAGAAACGTCTTTGTGATGTTTGCATTCAACTCATAGAGTTGAACATTCCCTTCCAGAGAGTAGCTTTGAAGCACTCTTTTTGTAGCATGTGCAAGTGGACATTTGGAGCGCCCTGAGGCCTACGGGGAAAAGCAAATATCTTCCCATAACCACTAGACAGAAACATTCTCAGAAACTCCTTTATGACAGTATGCACTCACCTAACAGAAAAGAACCTTCCTTTTGACAGAGCAGTTTTGATACACTCTTTTTGTGGAATCTGCAAGTGGATATTTGGATAGCTGTGAAGATTTCGTTGAAAACGGGAATATATTCCTATAAAATCTAGACAGAAGCATTCTCAGAAACTGCTCTGTGGTGTCTGCATTCAAGTCACAGAGTTGAACATTGCCTTTCATAGAGCAGGTTTGAAACACTCTTTTTGTAGTATATGGAAGTGGACGTTTCGGACGGTTTGAGGCCCATGGTGATTTAGGGAATATCTTCCCCTACAAGCTAGAAAGAAGCATTCTGTGAAACTTGTTTGTGATGTGTGTACTCAACTAACAGAGTTGAACGTTTCTTTTTACAGAGCAGTTTTGAAACACTCCTTTTGTAGAATCTGCGAGGGGATATTTGGATAGATTTCAGGATTTCGTTGGAAACGGGAATATCTTCATATAAAATCTCGACAGAAGCATTCTCAGAAACTTCTTTGTGATATCTGCATTCAAGTCACAGAGTTGAATATTCCCTTTCACAGAGTAGGTTTGAAACACTCTTTTTGTAGTATCTGGAAGTGGACATTTTGAGCGCCTTGACACCTACGGTAAAAAGGGAAATATCTTCCCATAAAAACTACACAGAAGGCAATCTCAGAATCTTCTTTGGGATATATGCACGCAGCTAACAGAGTTGAATCTTTCTGTTGACAGAGCAGATTTGAAACAGTCTTTCTGTGGAATCTGCAAGTGGATATTTGGATAGATTGGAGGATTTCGTTGGAAACGGGATTACGTATAAAAAGTAGACAGCAGCATCCTCAGAAACATCCTTGTGATGTGTGCATTCATGTCACAGAGTTGAACATTCCCTTTCGTACAGCAGTTTTGAAACACTCTTTCTGTAGTATCTGTTAGTGAACTTTAGGACAGCTTTCAGGTCTATAGTGAGAAAGGATATATCTTCAAATAAAAACTAGACAGAAGCATTCTCATAAACTTGTTTGTGATGTGTGAACTCAGCTAACAGAGGTGGATCTTTCTTTTGATAGAGAAGTTTTGAAAAACACTTTCTGTTGAATCTGCAAGTGGACATTTGGATAGATATGAAGATTTCGTTGGAAACGGGAATATCTTCATATCAAATCTAGACAGAAGGATTCTCGGAAACGTCTTTGTGATGTTTGCATTCAACTCATAGAGTTGAACATTCCGTTTCAGAGAGCAGCTTTGAAGCACTCTTTTTGTAGTATGTGCAAGTGGATATTTGGAGCGCTCTGAGGCCTACGGTGAAAAAGCAAATATCTTCCCATAACCACTATACAGAAACATTCTCAGAAACTCCTTTATGACGTATGTACTCAACTAACAGAGAAGAACATTCTTTCTTTTGATACAGCAGTTTTGATACACTCTTTTTGTAGAATCTGCAAGTGCATATTTGGATAGCTGTGAAGATTTCGTTGGAAACGGGAATATCTTCCTATAAAATCTAGACAGAAGCATTCTCAGAAACTGCTCTGTGATGTCTGCATTCAAGTCACAGAGTTGAACATTGCCTTTCATAGAGCAGGTTTGAAACGCTCTTTTTGTAGTATAGGGAAGTGGATGTTTCGGACGGTTGGAGGCCCATGGTGATAAAGGGAATATCTTCCCCTACAAGCTATAAAGAAGCATTCTGTGAAACTTGTTTGTGATGTGTGTACTCAACTAACAGAGCCTTTCTTTTTACAGAGCAGTTTTGAAAAACTCTTTTTGTAGAATCTGCGAGGGGATATTTGGATAGATTTCAGGATTTCGTTGGAAACGGGAATATCTTCATATAAAATCTCGACAGAAGCATTCTCAGAAACTTCTTTGTGATATGTGCATTCAAGTCACAGAGTTGAATATTCCCTTTCACAGAGTAGGTTGGAAACACTCTTTTTGTAGTATCTGGAAGTGGACATTTGGAGCGCCTTGACACCTACGGTGAAAAGGGAAATATCTTCCCATTAAAAACTAAACAAAAGCAATCTCAGAATCTTCTTTGGGATATATGCACGCAGCTAACAGAGATGAACCTTTCTATTGACAGAGCAGTTTTGAAACAGTCTTTCTGTGGAATCTGCAAGTGGATATTTGGATAGATTGGAGGATTTCGTTGGAAACGGGATTACGTATAAAAAGTAGACAGCAGCATCCTCAGAAACTTCTTTGTGATGTGTGCATTCAAGTCACAGAGTTGAACATTCCCTTTCGTACAGCAGTTTTGAAACACTCTTTCTGTAGTATCTGGAAGTGAACATTAGGACAGCCTTCAGGTCTATGTTGAGAAAGGAAATATCTTCAAATAAAAACTAGACAGAAGCATTCTCATAAACTTGTTTGTGATGTGTGAACTCAGCTAACACAGGTGGATCTTTCTTTTGATTGAGCAGTTCTGAAAAACACTTTTTGTTGAATCTGCAAGTGGACATTTGGATAGATTTGAAGATTTCGTTGGAAACGGGAATATCTTCATATCAAATCTAGACAGAAGCATTCTCAGAAACGTCTTTGCGATGTTTGCATTCAACTCATAGAGTTGAACATTCCGTTTCAGAGAGCAGCTTTGAGGCACTCTTTTTGTAGTATGTCCAAGTGGATATTTGGAGCGCTCTGAGGCCTACGGTGAAAAAGCAAATATCTTCCCATAACCACTAGACAGAAACATTCTCAGAAACTCCTTTATAACGTATGCACTCACCTAACAGAGAAGAACCTTCCTTTTGACAGAGCAGTTTTGATACACTCTTTTTGTAGAATCTGCAAGTGGATATTTGGATATCTGTGAAGATTTCGTTGGAAACGGGAATATCTTCCTATAAAATCTAGACAGAAGCATTCTCAGAAACTGCTCTGTGATGTCTGCATTCAAGTCACAGAGCTGAACATTGCCTTTCATAGAGCAGGTTTGAAACGCTCTTTTTGTAGTATATGGAAGTGGACGTTTCTGACAGTTTGAGGCCCATGGTGATAAAGGGAATATCTTCCCCTACAAGCTAGAAAGAAGCATTCTGTGAAACTTGGTTGTGATGTGTGTACTCAACTAACAGAGTTGAACCTTTCTTTTTACAGAGCAGTTTTGAAACACTCTTTTTGTAGAATCTGCGAGGGGATATTTGGATAGATTTCAGGATTTCGTTGGAAACGGGAATATCTTCATATAAAATCTCGACAGAAGCATTCTCAGAAACTTCTTTGTGATATCTGCCTTTAAGTCACAGAGTTGAATATTCCCTTTCACAGAGTAGGTTTGAAACACTCTTTTTGTAGTATCTGGAAGTGGACATTTGGAGCGCCTTGACGCCTACAGTGAAAAGGGAAATATCTTCCCATAAAAACTAGACAGAAGCAATCTCAGAATCTTCTTTGGGATATATGTACGCAGCTAATAGAGTTGAACCTTTCTATTGACAGAGCAGTTTTGAAACAGTCTTTCTGTGGAATCTGCAAGTGGATATTTGGATAGCTTGGAGGATTTTGTTGGAAACGGGATTACGTATAAAAAGTAGACAGCAGCATCCTCAGAATCTTCTTTGTGATGTGTGCATTCAAGTCATAGAGTTGAACATTCCCTTTCGTACAGCAGTTTTGAAACACTCTTTCTGTAGTATCTGGGAGTGAACATTAGGACAGCTTTCAGGTCTATGGTGAGAAAGGAAATATCTTCAAATAAAAAGTAGACAGATAAGCATTCTCATAAACTTGTTTGTGATGTGTGAACTCAGCTAACAGAGGTGGATCTTTCTTTTGATAGAGCAGTTCTGAAAAACACTTTTTGTTGAATCTGCAAGTGGACCTTTGGATAGATTTGAAGATTTCGTTGGAAACGGGAATATCTTCATATCAAATCTAGACAGAAGCATTCTCAGAAACGTCTTTGTGATGTTTGCATTCAACTCGTAGAGTTGAACATTCCGTTTCAGAGAGCAGCTTTGAAGCACTCTTTTTGTAGTATGTGCAAGTGGATATTTGGAGCGCTCTGAGGCCTACGGTGAAAAAGCAAATATCTTCCCATAACCACTAGACAGAAACATTCTCAGAAACTCCTTTATGACGTATGCACTCACCTAACAGAGAAGAACCTTCCTTTTGACAGAGCAGTTTTGATACACTCTTTTTGTAGAATCTGCAAGTGGATATTTGGATAGCTGTGAATATTTCGTTGGAAACGGGAATATCTTCCTATAAAATCTAGACAGAAGCATTCTCAGAAACTGCTCTGTGATGTCTGCATTCAAGTCACAGAGTTGAACATTGCCTTTCATAGAGCAGGTTTGAAACGCTCTTTTTGTAGTATATGGAAGAGGACGTTTCGGACGGTTTGAGGCCCATGGTGATAAAGGGAATATCTTCCCCTACAAGCTAGAAAGAAGCATTCTGTGAAACTTGTTTGTGATGTGTGTACTCAACTAACAGAGTTGAACCTTTCTTTTTACAGAGCAGTTTTGAAACACTCTTTTTGTAGAATCTGCGAGGGGATATTTGGATAGATTTCAGGATTTCGTTGGAAACGGGAACATCTTCATAGAAAATCTCGACAGAAGCATTCTCAGAAACTTCTTTGTGATATCTTCCTTCAAGTCACAGAGTTGAATATTCCCTTTCACAGAGTAGGTTTGAAACACTCTTTTTGTAGTATCTGGAAGTGGACATTTGGAGCGCCTTGACGCCTACGGTGAAAAGGGAAATATCTTCCCATAAAAACTAGACAGAAGCAATCTCAGAATCTTCTTTGGGATATATGCACGCAGCTAACAGAGTTGAACCTTTCTATTGACAGAGCAGTTTTGAAACAGTCTTTCTGTGGAATCTGCAAGTGGATATTTGGATAGCTTGGAGGATTTCGTTGGAAACGGGATTACGTATAAAAGGTAGACAGCAGCATCCTCAGAAACTTCTTTGTGATGTGTGCATTCAAGTCACAGAGTTGAACATTCCCTTTCGTACAGCAGTTTTGAAACACTCTTTCTGTAGTATCTGGAAGTGAACATTAGGACCGCTTTCAGGTCTATGGTGAGAAAGGAAATATCTTCAAATAAAAATTAGACAGAAGCATTCTCATAAACCTGTTAGTGATGTGTGAACTCAGCTAACAGAGGTGGATCTTTCTTTTGATAGAGCAGTTCTGAAAAACACTTTTTGTTGAATCTGCAAGTGGACATTTGGATAGATTTGAAGATTTCGTTGGAAACGGGAATATCTTCATATCAAATCTAGACAGAAGCATTCTCAGAAACGTCTTTGTGATGTTCGCATTCAACTCATAGAGTTGAACATTCCCTTTCAGAGAGCAGCTTTGAAGCACTCTTTTTGTAGTATGTGCAAGTGGATATTTGGAGCGCTCTGAGGCCTACGGTGAAAAAGCAAATATCTTCCCATAACCACTAGACAGAAACATTCTCAGAAACTCCTTTATGACGTATGCACTCACCTAACAGAAAAGAACCTTCCTTTTGACAGAGCAGTTTTGATACACTCTTTTTGTAGAATCTGCAAGTGGATATTTGGATAGCTGTGAAGATTTCGTTGGAAACGGGAATAACTTCCTATAAAATCTAGACAGAAGCATTCTCAGAAACTGCTCTGTGATGTCTGCATTCAAGTCACAGAGTTGAACATTGCCTTTCATAGAGCAGGTTTGAAACGCTCTTTTTGTAGTATATGAAAGTGGATGTTTCGGACGGTTGGAGGCCCATGGTGATAAAGGGCATATCTTCCCCTACAAGCTAGAAAGAAGCATTGTGTGAAACTTGTTTGTGATGTGTGTACTCAACTAACAGAGTTGAACCTCTCTTTTTACAGAGCAGTTTTGAAACACTCTTTTTGTAGAATCTGCGAGGGGATATTTGGATACATTTCAGCATTTCGTTGGAAACGGGAATATCTTCATATAAAATCTCGACAGAAGCATTCTCAGAAACTTCTTTGTGATATCTGCACTCAAGTCACAGAGTTGAATATTCCCTTTCACAGAGTAGGTTTGAAACACTCTTTTTGTAGTATCTGGAAGTGGACATTTGGAGCGCCTTGACGCCTACGGTGAAAAGGGAAATATCTTCCCATAAAAACTAGACAGAAGCAATCTCAGAATCTTCTTTGGGATATATGCACGCAGCTAACAGAGTTGAACCTTTCTATTGACAGAGCAGTTTTGAAACAGTCTTTCTGTGGAATCTGCAAGTGGATATTTGGATAGCTTGGAGGATTTCGTTGGAAACGGGATTACGTATAAAAAGTATACAGCAGCATCCTCAGAATCTTCCTTGTGATGTGTGCTTTCAAGTCACAGAGTTGAACATTCCCTTTCGTACAGCAGTTTTGAAAAACTCTTTCTGTAGTATCTGGAAGTGAACTTTAGGAGAGCTTTCACGTCTATAGTGAGAAAGGATATATCTTCAAATAAAAACTAGACAGAAGCATTCTCATAAACTTGTTTGTGATGTGTGAACTCAGCTAACAGAGGTGGATCTTTCTTTTGATAGAGCAGTTCTGAAAAACACTTTTTGTTGAATCTGCAAGTGGACATTTGGATAGATTTGAAGATTTCGTTGGAAACCGGAATATCTTCATGTCAAATCTAGACAGAAGCATTCTCAGAAACGTCGTTGCGATGTTTGCATTCAACTCATAGAGTTGAACATTCCGTTTCAGAGAGCAGCTTTGAGGCACTCTTTTTGTAGTATGTGCAAGTGGATATTTGGAGCGCTCTGAGGCCTTCGGTGAAAAAGCAAATATCTTCCCATAACCACTAGATGGAAACATTCTCAGAAACTCCTTTATGACGTATGCACTCACCTAACAGAGAAGAACCTTCCTTTTGACAGAGCAGTTTTGATACACTCTTTTTGTAGAATCTGCAAGTGGATATTTGGATAGCTGTGAAGATTTCGTCGGAAACGGGAATATCTTCCCATAAAATCTAGAGAGAAGCATTCTCAGAAACTGCTCTGTGATGTCTGCATTCAAGTCACAGAGTTGAACATTCCCTTTCCTAGAGCAGGTTTGAAACGCTCTTTTTGTAGTATATTGAAGTGGACATTTCGGATGGTTTGAGGCCCATGGTGATAAAGGGAATATCTTCCCCTACAAGCTAGAAAGAAGCATTCTGTGAAACTTGTTTGTGATGTGTGTACTCAACTAACAGAGTTGAACCTTTCTTTTTACAGAACAGTGTTGAAACACTCTTTTTGTAGAATCTGCGAGGGGATATTTGGATAGATTTCAGGATTTCGTTGGAAACGGGAATATCTTCATATAAAATCTCGACGGAAGCATTCTCAGAAACTTCTTTGTGATATGTGCATTCAGGTCACAGAGTTGAATATTCCCTTTCACAGAGTAGGTTTGAAACACTCTTTTTGTAGTATCTGGAAGTGGACATTTGGAGCGCCTTGACGCCTACGGTGAAAAGGGAAATATCTTCCCATAAAAACTAGACAGAAGCAATCTCAGAATCTTCTTTGGGATATATGCACGCAGCTCACAGAGTTGAACCTTTCTATTGACAGAGCAGTTTAGAAACAGTCCTTCTGTGGAATCTGCAAGTGGATATTTGGATAGCTTGGAGGATTTCTTTGGAAACGGGATTACGTATAAAAAGTAGACAGCAGCATCCTCAGAAACTTCTTTGTGATGATTGAATTCAAGTCACAGAGTTGAACATTCCCTTTCGTACAGCAGTTTTGAAACACTCTTTCTGTAGTATCTGGAAGTGAACATTAGGACAGCTTTCAGGTCTATGGTGAGAAAGGAAATATCTTCAAATAAAAACTAGACAGAAGCATTCTCATAAACTTGTGTGTGATGTGTGAACTCAGCTAACAGAGGTGGATCTTTCTTTTGATAGAGCAGTTCTGAAAAACACTTTTTGATGAATCTGCAAGTGGACATTTGGATAGATTTGAAGATTTCTTTGGAAACGGGAATATCTTCATATCAAATCTAGACAGAAGCATTCCCAGAAACGTCTTTGTGATGTTTGCATTCAACTCATAGAGTTGAACATTCTCTTTCAGAGAGCAGCTTTGAAGCACTCTTTTTGTAGTATGTGCAAGGGGATATTTGGAGCGCTCTGAGGCCTAAGGTGAAAAAGCAAATATCTTCCCATAACCACTAGACAGAAAACATTCTCAGAAACTCCTTTATGACGTATGCACTCACCTAACAGAAAAGAACCTTCCTTTTGACAGAGCAGTTTTGATACACTCTTTTTGTAGAATCTGCAAGTGGATATTTGGATAGCTGTGAAGATTTCGTTGGAAACGGGAATATCTTCCTATAAAATCTAGACAGAAGCATTCTCAGAAACTGCTCTGTGATGTCTGCATTCAAGTCACAGAGTTGAACATTGCCTTTCCTAGAACAGGTTTGAAACGCTCTTTCTGTAGTATATGGAAGTGGACGTTTCGGACGGTTTGAGGCCCATGGTGATAAAGGGAATATCTTCCCCTACAAGCTAGAAAGAAGCATTCTGTGAAACTTGTTTGTGATGTGTGTACTCAACTAACAGAGTTGCACCTTTCTTTTTACAGAGCAGTTTTGAAACACTCTTTTTGTAGAATCTGCGAGGGGATATTTGGATAGATTTCAGGATTTCGTTGGAAACGGGAATATCTTCATATAAAATCTCAACAGAAGCCTTCTCAGAAACTTCTTTGTGATATCTGCATTGAAGTCACAGAGTTGAATATTCCCTTTCACATAGTAGGTTTGAAACACTCTTTTTGTAGTATCTGGAAGTGGACATTTGGAGCGCCTTCACGCCTACGGTGAAAAGGGAAATATCTTCCCATAAAAACTAGACAGAAGCAATCTCAGAATCTTCTTTGGGATATATGCACGTAGCTAGCAGAGTTGAACCTTTCTATTGACAGAGCAGTTTTGAAACAGTCTTTCTGTGGAATCTGCAAGTGGATATTTGGATAGCTTGGAGGATTTCGTTGGAAACGCGATTACGTATAAAAAGTAGACAGCAGCATCCTCAGAAACTTCTTTGTGATGTGTGCATTCAAGTCACAGAGTTGAACATTCCCTTTCGTACAGCAGTTTTGAAACACTCTTTCTGTAGTATCTGCAAGTGAACATTAGGACAGCTTTCAGGTCTGTGGTGAGAAAGGAAATATCTTCAAATAAAAACTAGACAGAAGCAGTCTGATAAACTTGTTTGTGAAGTGTGAACTCAGCTAACAGAGGTGGATCTTTCTTTTGATACAGCAGTTTTGAAAAACACTTTGTTGAATCTGCAAGTGGACATTTGTATAGATTTGAAAATTTCGTTGGAAACGGGAATATCTTCATATAAAATCTCGACAGAAGCATTCTCAGAAACGTCTTTGTGATGTTTGCATTCAACTCATAGAGTTGAACATTCCGTTTCAGAGAGCAGCTTTGAAGCACTCTTTTTGTAGTATGTGCAAGTGGATATTTGGAGCGCTCTGAGGCCTACGGGGAAAAAGCAAATATCTTCCCATAACCACTAGACTGAAACATTCTCAGAAACTCCTTTATGACGTATGTACTCAACTAACAGAGAAGAACCTTCCTTTTGACAGAGCAGTTTTGATACACTCTTTTTGTAGAATCTGCAAGTGGATATTTGGATAGCTGTGAAGATTTCGTTGGAATCGGGAATATCTTCCTATAAAATCTAGACAGAAGCATTCTCAGAAACTGCTCTGTGATGTCTGCATTCAAGTCACAGAGTTGAACATTGCCGTTCATAGAGCAGGTTTGAAACACTCTTTTTGTACTATATGGAAGTGGACGTTTCGGACGGTTTGAGGCCCATGGTGATAAAGGGAATATCTTCCCCTACAAGCTAGAAAGAAGCATTCTGTGAAACTTGTTTGTGATGTGTGTACTCAACTAACAGGGTTGAACCTTTCTTTTTACAGAGCAGTTTTGCAACACTCTTTTTGTAGAATCTGCGAGGGGATATTTGGATAGATTTCAGGATTTCGTTGGAAACGGGAATATCTTCATATAAAATCTCGACAGAAGCATTCTCAGAAACTTCTTTGTGATATCTGCATTCAAGTCACAGAGTTGAATATTCCCTTTCACAGAGTAGGTTTGAAACACTCTTTTTGTAGTATCTGGAAGTGGACATTTGGAGCGCCTTGACACCTACGGTGAAAAGGTAAATATCTTCCCATAAAAACGAGACAGAAGCAATCTCCGAATCTTCTTTGGGATATATGCACGCAGCTAACAGAGTTGAACCTTTCTATTGACAGAGCAGTTTTGAAACAGTCTTTCTGTGGAATCTGCAAGTGGATATTTGGATAGCTTGGAGGATTTCGTTGGAAAAGGGATTATGTATAAAAATTAGACAGCAGCATCCTCAGAAACTTCTTTGTGATGTGTGCATTCAAGTCACAGAGTTGAACATTCCCTTTCGTACAGCAGTTTTGAAAAACTCTTTCTGTAGTATCTGGAAGTGAACATTAGGACAGCTTTCAGGTCTATGGTGAGAAAGGCAATATCTTCAAATAAAAACTAGACAGAAGCATTCTCATAAACTTGTTTGTGATGTGTGAACTCAGCTAACAGGCGTGGATCTTTCTTTTGATACAGCAGTTTTGAAAAACACTTTTTGTTGAATCTGCAAGTGGACATTTGGATAGATTTGAAGATTTCGTTGGAAACGGGAATATCTTCATATCAAATCTAGACAGAAGCATTCTCAGAAACGTCTTTGTGATGTTTGCATTCAACTCATAGAGTTGAACATTCCGTTTCAGAGAGCAGCTTTGAAGCACTCTTTTTGTAGTATGTGCAAGTGGATATTTGGAGCGATCTGAGGCCTACGGTGAAAAAGCAAATATCTTCCAATAACCACTAGACAGAAACATTCTCAGAAACTCCTTTATGACGTATGCACTCACCTAACAGAAAAGAACCTTCCTTTTGACAGAGCAGTTTTGATACACTCTTTTTGTAGAATCTGCAAGTGGATATTTGGATAGCTGTGAAGATTTCGTTGGAAACGGGAATATACTTCCTATAAAATCTAGACAGAAGCATTCTCAGAAACTGCTCTGTGATGTCTGCATTCAAGTCACAGAGTTGAACATTGCCGTTCATAGAGCAGGTTTGAAACACTCTTTTTGTAGTATATGGAAGTGGACGTTTCGGACGGTTTGAGGCCCATGGTGATAAAGGGAATATCTTCCCCAACAAGCTAGAAAGAAGCATTCTGTGAAACTTCTTTGTGATGTGTGTACTCAACTAACAGAGTTGAACCTTTCTTTTTACAGAGCAGTTTTGAAACACTCTTTTTGTAGAATCTGCGAGGGGACATTTGGATAGATTTCAGGATTTCGTTGGAAACGGGAATATCTTCATATAAAATCTCGACAGAAGCATTCTCAGAAACTTCTTTGTGATATGTGCATTCAAGTCACAGAGTTGAATATTCCCTTTCACAGAGTAGGTTTGAAACACTCTTTTTGTAGTATCTGGAAGTGGACATTTGGAGCGCCTTGACGCCTAAGGTGAAAAGGGAAATATCTTCCCATAAAAACTAGACAGAAGCAATCTCAGAATCTTCTTTGGGATATATGCACGCAGCTAACAGAGTTGAAACTTTCTATTGACAGAGCAGTTTTGAAACAGTCTTTCTGTGGAATCTGCAAATGGATATTTGGATAGCTTGGAGGATTTCGTTGGAAACGGGATTACGTATAAAAAGTAGACAGCAGCATCCTCAGAAACTTCTTTGTGATGTGTGCATTCAAGTCACAGAGTTGAACATTCCCTTTCGTACAGCAGTTTTGAAACACTCTTTCTGTAGTATCTCGAAGTGAACATTAGGACAGCTTTCAGGTCTATGGTGAGAAAGGAAATATCTTCAAATAAAAACTAGACAGAAGCATTCTCATAAACTTGTTTGTGATGTGTGAACTCAGCTAACAGAGGTGGATCTTTCTTTTGATAGAGCAGTTCTGAAAAACACGTTTTGTTGAATCTGCAAGTGGACATTTGGATAGATTTGAAGATTTCGTTGTAAACGGGAATATCGTCATATCAAATCTAGACAGAAGCATTCTCGGAAACGTCTTTGTGATGTTTGCATTCAACCCATAGAGTTGAACATTCCGTTTCAGAGAGCAGCTTTGAAGCACTCTTTTTGTAGTATGTGCAAGGGGATATTTTGAGCGCTCTGAGGCCTAAGGTGAAAAAGCAAATATCTTCCCATAACCACTAGACAGAAACATTCTCAGAAACTCCTTTATGACGTATGCACTCACCTGACAGAAAAGAACCTTCCTTTTGACAGAGCAGTTTTGATACACTCTTTTTGTAGAATCTGCAAGTGGATATTTGGATAGCTGTGAAGATTTCGTTGGAAACGGGAATATCTTCCTATAAAATCTAGACAGAAGCATTCTCAGAAACTGCTGTGTGATGTCTGCATTCAAGTCACAGAGTTGAACATTGCCTTTCACAGAGCAGGTTTGAAATGCTCTTTTTGTAGTATATGGAAGTGGACGTTTCAGACGGTTTGAGGCCCATGGTGATAAAGGGAATATCTTCCCCTACAAGCTAGAAAGAAGCATTCTGTGAAACTTGTTTGTGATGTGTGTACTCAACTAACAGAGATGAACCTTTCTTTTCACAGAGCAGTTTTGAAACACTCTTTTTGTAGAATCTGCGAGGGGATATTTGGATAGATTTCAGCATTTCGTTGGAAACGGGAATATCTTCATATAAAATCTCGGCAGAAGCATTCTCAGAAACTTCTTTGTGATATGTGCATTGAAGTCACAGAGTTGAATATTCCCTTTCACAGAGTAGGTTTGAAACACTCTTTTTGTAGTATCTGGAAGTGGACATTTGGAGCGCCTTGACACCTACGGTGAAAAGGGAAATATCTTCCCCTAAAAACTAGACAGAAGCAATCTCAGAATCTTCTTTGGGATATATGCACGCAGCTAACAGAGTTGAACCTTTCTATTGACAGAGCAGTTTTGAAACAGCCTTTCTGTGGAATCTGCAAGTGGATATTTGGATAGCTTGGAGGACTTCGTTGGAAACGGGATTAAGTATAAAAAGTAGACAGCAGCATCCTCAGAAACTTCTTTGTGATGTGTGCATTCAAGTGACAGAGTTGAACATTCCCTTTCGTACAGCAGTTTTGAAACACTCTTTCTGTAGTATCTGGAAGTGAACATTAGGACAGCTTTCAGCTCTATGGTGAGAAAGGAAATATCTTCAAACAAAAACTAGACAGAAGCATTCTCATAAACTTGTTTGTGATGTGTGAACTCAGCTAACAGAGGTGGATCTTTCTCTTGATAGAGCAGTTCTGAAAAACACTTTTTGTAGAATCTGCAAGTGGACATTTGGATAGATTTGAAGATTTCGTTGGAAACGGGAATATCTTCATATCAAATCTAGACAGAAGCATTCGCGGAAACGTCTTTGTGACGTTTGCATTCAACTCACAGAGTTGAACATTCCGTTTCAGAGAGCAGCTTTGAAGCACTCTTTTTGTCGTATGTGCAAGTGGATATTTGGAGCGCTCTGAGGCCTACGGTGAAAAAGCAAATATCTTCCCATAACCACTAGACAGAAACATTCTCAGAAACTCCTTTATGACGTATGCACTCACCTAACAGAAAAGAACCTTCCTTTTGCCAGAGCAGTTTTGATACACTCTTTTTGTAGAATCTGCAAGTGGATATTTGGATAGCTGTGAAGATTTCGTTGGAAACGGGAATATCTTCCTATAAAATCTAGACAGAAGCCTTCTCAGAAAGTGCTCTGTGATGTCTGCATTCAAGTCACAGAGTTGAACATTGCCTTTCATAGAGCAGGTTTGAAACGCTCTTTTTGTAGTATATGGAAGTGGACGTTTCGGACGGTTTGAGGCCCATGGTGATAAAGGGAATATCTTCCCCTACAAGCTAGAAAGAATCATTCTGTGAAATTTGTTTGTGATGTGTGTACTCAACTAACAGAGTTGAACCTTTCTTTTTACACAGCAGTTTTGAAACACTCTTTTTGTAGAATCTGCGAGGGGATATTTGGATAGATTTCAGGATTTCGTTGGAAACGGGAATATCTTCATATAAAATCTCGACAGAAGCATTCTCAGAAACTTCTTTGTGATATCTGCATTCAAGTCACAGAGTTGAATATTCCCTTTCACAGAGTAGGTTTGAAACACTCTTTTTGTAGTATCTGGAAGTGGACATTTGGAGCGCCTTGACACCTAAAGTGAAAAGGTAAATATCTTCCCATAAAAACTAGACAGAAGCAATCTCAGAATCTCCTTTGGGATATATGCACGCAGCTAACAGAGTTGAACCTTTCTATTGACAGAGCAGTTTTGAAACAGTCTTTCTGTGGAATCTGCAAGTGGATATTTGGATAGCTTGGAGGATTTCGTTGGAAACGGGATTACGTGTAAAAAGTAGACAGCAGCATCCTCAGAAACTTCTTTGTGATGTTTGCATTGAAGTCACAGAGTTGAACATTCCCTTTCGTACAGCAGTTTTGAAACACTCTTTCTGTAGTATCTGGAAGTGAACATTAGGACAGCTTTCAGGTCTACGGTGAGAAAGGAAATATCTTCAAATAAAAACTAGACAGAAAGCATTCTCATAAACTTGTTTGTGATGTGTGAACTCAGCTAACAGAGGTGGATCTTTCTTTTGATAGAGCAGTTCTGAAAAACACTTTTTGTTGAATCTGCAAGTGGACATTTGGATAGATTTGAAGATTTCGTTGGAAACGGGAATATCTTCATATCAAATCTAGACCGAAGCATTCTCAGAAACGTCTTTGTGATGTTTGCATTCAACTCATAGAGTTGAACATTCCGTTTCAGAGAGCAGCTGTGAAGCACTCTTTTTGTAGTATGTGCAAGGGGATATTTGGAGCGCTCTGAGGCCTAAGGTGAAAAAGCAAATATCTTCCCATAACCACTAGACAGAAACATTCTCAGAAACTCCTTTATGACGTATGTACTCACCTAAGAGAGAAGAACCTTCCTTTTGACAGAGCAGTTTTGATACACACATTTTGTAGAATCTGCAAGTGGATATTTGGATAGCTGTGAAGATTTCGTTGGAAACGGGAATATCTTCCTATAAAATCTAGACAGAAGCATTCTCAGAAAGTGCTCTGTGATGTCTGCATTCAAGTCACAGAGTTGAACATTGCCTTTCATAGAGCAGGTTTGAAACACTCTTTTTGTAGTATTTGGAAGTGGACGTTTCGGACGGTTTGAGGCCCATGGTGATAAAGGGAATATCTTCCCCTACAAGCTAGAAAGAAGCATTGTGTGAAACTTGTTTGTGATGTGTGTACTCAACTAACAGAGTTGAACCTTTCTTTTTACAGAGCAGTTTTGAAACACTCTTTTTGTAGAATCTGCGAGGGGATATTTGGATAGATTTCAGCATTTCGTTGGAAACGGGAATATCTTCATATAAAATCTCGACAGAAGCATTCTCAGAAACTTCCCTTGTGATATGTGCATTCAAGTCACAGAGTTGAATATTCCCTTTCACAGAGTAGGTTTGAAACACTCTTTTTGTAGTATCTGGAAGTGGACATTTGGAGCGCCTGGACGCCTACGGTGAAAAGGGAAATATCTTCCCATAAAAACTAGACAGAAGCAATCTCAGAATCTTCTTTGGGATATATGCACGCAGCTAACAGAGTTGAACCTTTCTATTGACAGAGCAGTTTTGAAACAGTCTTTCTGTGGAATCTGGAAGTGGATATTCGGATAGCTTGGAGGATTTCGTTGGAAACGGGATTAAGTATAAAAAGTAGACAGCAGCATCCTCAGAAACTTCTTTGTGATGTGTGCATTCAAGTCACAGAGTTGAACATTCCCTTTTGTACAGCAGTTTTGAAACACTCTTTCTGTAGTATCTGGAAGTGAACTTTAGGAGAGCTTTCAGGTCTATAGTGAGAAAGGTTATATCTTCAAATAAAAACTAGACAGAAGCATTCTCATAAACTTGTTTGTGATGTGTGAACTCAGCTAACAGAGGTGGATCTTTCTTTTGATAGAGCAGTTCTGAAAAACACGTTTTGTTGAATCTGCAAGTGGACATTTGGATAGATTTGAAGATTTCGTTGGAAACGGGAATATCTTCATATCAAATCTAGACAGAGCATTCTCAGAAACGTCTTTGTGATGTTTGCATTCAACTCATAGAGTTGAACATTCCGTTTCAGAGACCAGCTTTGAAGCACTCTTTTTGTAGTATGTGCAAGTGGATATTTGGAGCGCTCTGAGGCCTACGGTGAAAAAGCAAATATCTTCCCATAACCACTAGACAGAAACATTCTCAGAAACTTCTTTATGATGTATGTACACAACTAACAGAGTTGAACCTTCCTTTTGACACAACAGTTTTGATACACTCTTTTTGTAGAATCTGCAATTGGATATTTGGATATCTTTGAAGATTTCATTGGAAATGGGAATATCTTCATATAAAATCTAGACAGAAGCATTCTCAGAAACTGCTCTGTGATGTCTGCATTCAAGTCACAGAGTTGAACATTGCCTTTCATAGAGCAGGTTTGAAACGCTCTTTTTGTAGTGTATGGAAGTGGACGTTTCGGACGGTTTGAGGCCCATGGTGATAAAGGGAATATCTTCCCCTACAAGCTAGAAAGAAGCATTCTGTGAAACTTGTTTGTGCTGTGTGTACTCAACTAACAGAGTTGAACCTTTCTTTTTACAGAGCAGTTTTGAAACACTCTTTTTGTAGAATCTGCGAGGGGATATTTGGATAGATTTCAGGATTTCGTTGGAAACGGGAATATCTTCATATAAAATCTCGACAGAAGACCGAAGCATTCGCAGAAACTTCTTCGTGATATGTGCATTCAAGTCACAGAGTTGAATATTCCCTTTCACAGAGTAGGTTTGAAACACTCTTTTTGTAGTATCTGGAAGTGGACATTTGGAGCGCCTTGACGCCTATGGTGAAAAGGGAAATATCTTCCCATAAAAACTAGACAGAAGCAATCTCAGAATCTTCTTTGGGATATATGTACGCAGCTAACAGAGTTGAACCTTTCTATTGACAGAGCAGTTTTGAAAGAGTCTTTCTGTGGAATCTGCAAGTGGATATTTGGATAGCTTGGAGGATTTCGTTGGAAACGGGATTACGTATAAAAAGTAGACAGCAGCATCCTCCGAAACTTCTTTGTGATGTGTGCATTCAAGTCACAGAGTTGAACATTCCCTTTCATACAGCAGTTTTGAAACACTCTTTCTGTAGTATCTGGAAGTGAACATTAGGACAGCTTTCAGCTCTATGGTGAGAAAGGAAATATCTTCAAATAAAAACTAGACAGAAAGCATTCTCAAAAACTTGTTTGTGATGTGTGAACTCAGCTAACAGAGGTGGATCTTTCTTTTGATAGAGCAGTTCTGAAAAACACTTTTTGTTGAATCTGCAAGTGGACATTTGGATAGATTTGAAGATTTCGTTGGAAACGGGAATACCTTCATATCAAATCTAGACAGAAGCATTCTCAGAAACGTCTTTGCGATGTTTGCATTCAACTCATAGAGTTGAACATTCCTTTTCAGAGAGCAGCTTTGAGGCACTCTTTTTGTAGTATGTGCAAGTGGATATTTGGAGCGCTCTGAGGCCTACGGTGAAAAAGCAAATATCTTCCCATAACCACTAGACAGAAACATTCTCAGAAACTCCTTTATGACGTATGCACTCAACTAACAGGGAAGAACCTTCCTTTTGACAGAGCAGTTTTGATACACTCTTTTTGTAGAATCTGCAAGTGGATATTTGGATAGCTGTGAAGATTTCTTTGGAAACGGGAATATCTTCCTATAAAGTCTGGACAGAAGCATTCTCAGAAACTGCTCTGTGATGTCTGCATTCAAGTCACAGAGTTGAACATTGCCTTTCATAGAGCAGGTTTGAAACGCTCTTTTTGTAGTATATGGAAGTGGACTTATCGGACGTTTTGAGGCCCATGGTGATAAAGGGAATATCTTCCCCTACAAGCTAGAAAGAAGCATTGTGTGAAACCTGTTTGTGATGTGTGTACTCAACTAACAGAGTTGAACCTTTCTTTTTACAGAGCAGTTTTGAAACACTCTTTTTGTAGAATCTGCAAGGGGATATTTGGATAGATTTCAGGATTTCGTTGGAAACGGGAATATCTTCATATAAAATCTCGACAGAAGCATTCTCAGAAACTTCTTTGTGATACGTGCATTCTAGTCACACAGTTGAATATTCCCTTTCACAGAGTAGGTTTGAAACACTCTTTTTGTAGTATCTGGAAGTGGCCATTTGGAGCGCCTTGACACCTACGGTGAAAAGGGAAATATCTTCCCATAAAAACTAGACAGAAGCAATCTCAGAATCTTCTTTGGGATATATGCACGCAGCTAACAGAGTTGAACCTTTCTATTGACAGAGCAGTTTTGAAACAGTCTTTCTGTGGAATCTGCAAGTGGATATTTGGATAGATTGGAGGATTTCGCTGGAAACGGGATTACGTATAAAAAGTAGACAGCAGCATCCTCAGAAACTTCTTTGTGATGTGTGCATTCAAGTCACAGAGTTGAACATTCCCTTTCGTACAGCAGTTTTGAAACACTCTTTCTGTAGTATCTGGAAGTGAACATTAGGACAGCTTTCAGGTCTATGGTGCGAAAGGAAATATCTTCAAATAAAAACTAGACAGAAGCATTCTCATAAACTTGTTTGTGATGTGTGAACTCAGCTAACAGACGTGGATCTTTCTTTTGATACAGAAGTTTTGAAAAACACTTTTTGTTGAATCTGCAAGTGGACATTTGGATAGATATGAAGATTTCGTTGGAAACGGGAATATCTTCATATCAAATCTAGACAGAAGCATTCTCAGAAACGTCTTTGCGATGTTTGCATTCAACTCATAGAGTTGAACATTCCGTTTCAGAGAACAGCTTTGAAGCACTCTTTTTGTAGTATGTGCAAGTGGATATTTGGAGCGCTCTGAGGCCTACGGTGAGAAAGCAAATATCTTCCCATAACCACTAGACGGAAACATTCTCAGAAACTCCTTTATGACGTATGCACTCACCTAACAGAGAAGAACCTTCCTTTTGACAGAGCAGTTTTGATACACTCTTTTTGTAGAATCTGCAAGTGGATATTTGGATACCTGTGAAGATTTCGATTGGAAACGGGAATATCTTCCTATAAAATCTAGACAGAAGCATTCTCAGAAACTGCTCTGTGATGTCTGCATTCAAGTCACAGAGTTGAACATTGCCTTTCCTAGAGCAGGTTTGAAATGCTCTTTTTGTAGTATATGGAAGTAGACGTTTCGGACGGTTTGAGGCCCATGGTGATAAAGGGAATATCTTCCCCTACAAGCTAGAAAGAAGCATTCTGTGAAACTTGTTTGTGATGTGTGTACTCAACTAACAGAGTTGAAACTTTCTTTTTACAGAGCAGTTTTGAAACACTCTTTTTGTAGAATCTACGAGGGGATATTTGGATAGATTTCAGGATTTCATTGGAAACGGGAATATCTTCATATAAAATCTCGACAGAAGCATTCTCAGAAACATCTTTGTGATATCTGCATTCCAGTCACAGAGTTGAATATTCCCTTTCACAGAGTAGGTTTGAAACACTCTTTTTATAGTATCTGGAATTGGACATTTGGAGCGCCTTGACGCCTACGGTGAAAAGGGAAATATCTTCCGATAAAAACTAGACAGAAGCAATCTCAGAATCTTCTTTGGGATATATGCCACGCAGCTAACAGAGTTGAACCTTTCTATTGACAGAGCAGTTTTGAAACAGTCTTTCTGTGGAATCTGCAAGTGGATATTTGGATAGCTTGGAGGATTTCGTTGGAAACGGGATTACGTATAAAAAGTAGACAGCAGCATCCTCAGGAAACTTCTTTGTGATGTGTGCATTCAAGTCACAGAGTTGAACATTCCCTTTCGTACAGCAGTTTTGAAACACTCTTTCTGTAGTATCTGGAAGTGAACATTAGGACAGCTTTCAGGTCTATGGTGAGAAAGGAAATATCTTCAAATAAAAACTAGACGGAAGCATTCTCATAAACTTGTTTGTGATGTGTGAACTCAGCTAACAGAGGTGGATCTTTCTTTTGATAGAGCAGTTCTGAAAAACACTTTTTGTTGAATCTGCTAGTGGACATTTGGATAGATTTGAAGATTTCGTTGGAAACGGGAATATCTTCATATCAAATCTAGACAGAAGCATTCTCAGTAAACGTCTTTGCGATGTTTGCATTCAACTCATAGAGTTGAACATTCCCTTTGAGAGAGCAGCTTTGAAGCACTCTTTTTGTAGCATGTGCAAGTGGACATTTGGAGCGCCCTGAGGCCTACGGGGAAAAAGCAAATATCTTCCCATAACCACTAGACAGAAACATTCTCAGAAACTCCTTTATGACGTATGTACTCACCTAACAGAGAAGAACCTTCCTTTTGACAGAGCAGTTTTGATACACTCTTTTTGTAGAATCTGCAAGTGGATATTTGGATAGCTGTGAAGATTTCCCTGGAAACGGGAATATCTTCCTATAAAATCTAGACAGAAGCATTCTCAGAAACTGCTCTGTGATGTCTGCATTCAAGTCACAGAGTTGAACATTGCCTTTCATAGAGCAGGTTTGAAACGCTCTTTTTGTAGTATATGGAAGTGGATGTTTCCGACGGTTTGAGGCCCATGGTGATAAAGGGAATATCTTCCCCTACAAGCTAGAAAGAAGCATTGTGTGAAACTTGTTTGTGATGTGTGTACTCAACTAACAGAGTTGAACCTTTCTTTTTACAGAGCAGTTTTGAAACACTCTTTTTGTAGAATCTGTGAGGGGATATTTGGATAGATTTCAGGATTTCGTTGGAAACGAGAATATCTTCATATAAAATCTCGACAGAAGCATTCTCAGAAACTTCTTTGTGATATCTGCATTCAAGTCACAGAGTTGAATATTGCCTTTCACAGAGTAGGTTTGAAACACTCTTCTTGTAGTATCTGGAAGTGGACATTTTGAGCGCCTTGACACCTACGGTGAAAAGGGAAATATCTTCCCATAAAAACTAGACAGAAGCAATCTCAGAATCTTCTTTGGGATATATGCACGCAGCTAACAGAGTTGAACCTTTCTATTGACAGAGCAGTTTTGAAACAGTCTTTCTGTGGAATCTGCAAGTGGATATTTGGATAGCTTGGAGGATTTCGTTGGAAACGGGATACGTATAAAAAGTAGACAGCAGCATCCTCAGAAACTTCTTTGTGATGTGTGCATTCAAGTCACAGAGTTGAACATTCCCTTTCGTACAGCAGTTTTGAAACACTCTTTCTGTAGTATCTGGAAGTGAACACTAGGAGAGCTTTCAGGTCTATGGTGAGAAAGGAAATATCTTCAAATAAAAACTAGACAGAAGCATTCTCATAAACTTGTTTGTGATGTGTGAACTCAGCTTACAGAGGTGGATCTTTCTTTTGATAGAGCAGTTCTGAAAAACACATTTTGTTGAATCTGCAAGTGGACATTTGGATAGATTTTAAGATTTCGTTGGAAACGGGAATATCTTCATATCAAATCTAGACAGAAGCATTCTCAGAAACGTCTTTGTGATGTTTGCATTCAACTCATAGAGTTGAACATTCCGTTTCAGAGAGCAGCTTTGAAGCACTCTTTTTGTAGCATGTGCAAGTGGATATTTGGAGCGCTCTGAGGCCTACGGTGAAAAAGCAAATATCTTCCCATAACCACTAGACAGAAACATTCTCAGAAACTCCTTTATGACGTATGCACTCACCTAACAGAGAAGAACCTTCCTTTTGACAGAGCAGTTTTGATACACTCTTTTTGTAGAATCGGCAAGTGGATATTTGGATAGCTGTGAAGATTTCGTTGGAAACGGGAATATCTTCCTATAAAATCTAGACAGAAGCATTCTCAGAAACAGCTCTGTGATGTCTGCATTCAAGTCACAGAGTTGAACATTGCCTTTCATAGAGCAGGTTTGAAACGCTCTTTTTGTAGTATATGGAAGTGGACGTTTCGGACGGTTTGAGACCCATGGTGATAAAGGGAATATATTCCCCTACAAGCTAGAAAGAAGCATTCTGTGAAACCTGTTTGTGATGTGTGTACTCAACTAACAGAGTTGAACCTTTCTTTTTACAGAGCAGTTTTGAAACACTCTTTTTGTAGAATCTGCGAGGGGATATTTGGATAGATTTCAGGATTTCGTTCGAAACGGGAATATCTTCATATAAAATCTCGACAGAAGCATTCTCAGAAACTTCTTTGTGATATGTGCATTCAAGTCACAGAGTTGAATATTCCCTTTCACAGAGTAGGTTAGAAACACTCTTTTTGTAGTATCTGGAAGTGGACATTTGGAGCGCCTTGACACCTACGGTGAAAAGGGAAATATCTTCCCATAAAAAGTAGACAGAAGCAATCTCAGAATCTTCTTTGGGATATATGCACGCAGCTAACAGAGTTGAACCTTTCTATTGACAGAGCAGTTTTGAAACAGTCTTTCTGTGGAATCTGCAAGTGGATATTTGGATAGCTTAGAGGATTTCGTTGGAAACGGGATTACGCATAAAAAGTAGACAGCAGCATCCTCAGAAACTTCTTTGTGATGTGTGCATTCAAGTCACAGAGTTGAACATTCCCTTTCGTACAGCAGTTTTGAAACACTCTTTCTGTAGTATCTGGAAGTGAACACTAGGACAGCTTTCAGGTCTATGGTGAGAAAGGAAGTATCTTCAAATAAAAACTAGACAGAAGCATTCTCATAAACTTGCTTGTGATGTGTGAACTCAGCTAACAGAGGTGAATCTTTCTTTTGATAGAGCAGTTCTGAAAAACACTTTTTGTTGAATCTGCAAGTGGACATTTGGATAGATTTGAAGATTTCGTTGGAAACGGGAATATCTTCATATCAAATCTAGACAGAAGCATTCTCAGAAACGTCTTTGTGATGATTGCATTCAACTCATAGAGTTGAACATTCCCTTTCAGAGAGCAGCTTTGAAGCACTCTTTTTGTAGTATGTGCAAGTGGATATTTGGAGCGCTCTGGGGCCTACGGTGAAAAAGCAAATATCTTCCCATAACCACTAGACAGAAACATTCTCAGAAACTCCTTTATGAAGTATGCACTCACCTAAGAGAGAAGAACCTTCCTTTTGACAGAGCAGTTTTGATACACTCTTTTTGTAGAATCTGCAAGTGGATATTTTGATAGCTGTGAAGATTTCGTTGGAAACGGGAATATCTTCCTATAAAATCTAGACAGAAGCATTCTCAGAAACTGCTGTGTGATGTCTGCATTCAAGACACAGAGTTGAACATTGCCTTTCATAGAGCAGGTTTGAAACGCTCTTTTTGTAGTATATGGAAGTGGACGTTTCGGACGTTTTGAGGCCCATGGTGATACAGCGAATATCTTCCCCTACCAGCTAGAAAGAAGCATTCTGTGAAACTTGTTTGTGATGTGTGTACTCAACTAACAGAGTTGAACCTTTCTTTTTACAGAGCAGTTTTGAAACACTCTTTTTGTAGAATCTGCGAGGGGATATTTG
Source organism: Homo sapiens (assembly GCF_000001405.40). Classification (NCBI taxonomy): domain Eukaryota; kingdom Metazoa; phylum Chordata; class Mammalia; order Primates; family Hominidae; genus Homo; species Homo sapiens. The sequence continues at coordinate 16,534,044 of NC_000013.11, forward strand.
GATAGATTTCAGGATTTCGTTGGAAACAGGAATATCTTCATATAAAATCTCGACAGAAGCATTCTCAGAAGCTTCTTTGTGATATGTGCATTCAAGTCACAGAGTTGAATATTCCCTTTCACAGAGTAGGTTTGAAACACTCTTTTTGTAGTATCTGGAAGTGGACATTTGGAGCGCCTTGACGCCTGCGGTGAAAAGGGAAATATCTTCTCATAAAAAGTAGACAGAAGCAATCTCAGAATCTTCTTTGGGATATATGCACGCAGCTAACAGAGTTGAACCTTTCTATTGACAGAGCAGTTTTGAAACAGTCTTTCTGTGGAATCTGCAAGTGGATATTTGGATAGCTTGGAGGATTTCGTTGGAAACGGGATTACGTATATAAAGTAGACCGCAGCATCCTCAGAAACTTCTTTGTGATGTGTGCATTCAAGTCACAGAGTTGAACATTCCCTTTCGTACAGCAGTTTTGAAACACTCTTTCTGTAGTATCTGGAAGTGAACATTAGGACAGCTTTCAGGTCTATGGTTAGAAAGGAAATATCTTCAAATAAAAACTAGACAGAAGCATTCTCATAAACTTGTTTGTGATGTGTGAACTCAGCTAACAGAGGTGGATCTTTCTTTTGATAGAGCAGTTCTGAAAAACACTTTTTGTTGAATCTGCAAGTGGACATTTGGATAGATTTGAAGATTTCGTTGAAAACGGGAATATCTTCATATCAAATCTAGACAGAAGCATTCTCAGAAACGTCTTTGTGATGTTTGCATTCAACTCATAGAGTTGAACATTCCGTTTCAGAGAGCAGCTTTGAAGCACTCTTCTTGTAGTATGTGCAAGTGGATATTTGGAGCGCTCTGAGGCCTACGGTGAAAAAGCAAATATCTTCCCATAACCACTAGACAGAAACATTCTCAGAAACTCCTTTATGACGTATGCACTCACCTAACAGGGAAGAACCTTCCTTTTGACAGAGCAGTTTTGATACACTCTTTTTGTAGAATCTGCAAGTGGATATTTGGATAGCTGTGAAGATTTCGTTGGAAACGGGAATATCTTCCTATAAAATCTAGACAGAAGCATTCTCAGAAACTGCTCTGTGATGTCTGCATTCAAGTCACAGAGTTGAACATTGCCTTTCATAGAGCAGGTTTGAAAGGCTCTTTTTGTACTATATGGAACAGGACGTTTCGACGGTTTGAGGACCATGGTGATAAAGGGAATATCTTCCCCTACAAGCTAGAAAGAAAGCATTGTGTGAAACTTGTTTGTGATGTGTGTACTCAACTAACAGAGTTGAACCTTTCTTTTTACAGAGCAGTTTTGAAACACTCTTTTTGTAGAATCTGCAAGGGGATATTTGGATAGATTTCAGGATTTCGTTGGAAACGGGAATATCTTCATATAAAATCTCGACAGAAGCATTCTCAGAAACTTCTTTGTGATATCTGCCTTTAAGTCACAGAGTTGAATATTCCCTTTCACAGAGTAGGTTTGAAACACTCTTTTTGTAGTATCTGGAAGTGGACATTTGGAGCGCCTTGAGGCCTACGGTGAAAAGGGAAATATCTTCTCATAAAAACTAGACAGAAGCAATCTCAGAATCTTCTTTGGGATATATGCATGCAGCTAACAGAGTTGAACCTTTCTATTGACAGAGCAGATTTGAAACAGTCTTTCTGTGGAATCTGCAAGTGGATATTTGGATAGCTTGGAGGATTTCGTTGGAAACGGGATTACGTATAAAAAGTAGACAGCAGCATCCTCAGAAACATCCTTGTGATGTGTGCATTCAAGTCACAGAGTTGAACATTCCCTTTCGTACAGCAGTTTTGAAACACACTTTCTGTAGTATCTGGAAGTGAACTTTAGGACAGCTTTCAGGTCTATAGTGAGAAAGGATATATCTTCAAATAAAAACTAGACGGAAGCATTCTGATAAACTTGTTTGTGAAGTTTGATCTCAGCTAACAGAGGTGGATCTTTCTTTTGATAGAGCAGTTCTGAAAAACACTTTGTTGAATCTGCAAGTGGACATTTGGATAGATTTGAAGATTTCGTTGGAAACGGGAATATCTTCATATCAAATCTAGACAGAAGCATTCTCAGAAACGTCTTTGTGATGTTTGCATTCAACTCATAGAGTTGAACATTCCGTTTCAGAGAGCAGCTTTGAAGCACTCTTTTTGTAGTATGTGCAAGTGGATATTTGGAGCGCTCTGAGGCCTACGGTGAAAAAGCAAATATCTTCCCATAACCACTAGACGGAAACATTCTCAGAAACTCCTTTATGACGTATGCACTCACCTAACAGAGAAGAACCTTCCTTTTGACAGAGCACTTTTGATACACTCTTTTTGTAGAATCTGCAAGTGGATATTTAGATAGCTGTGAAGATTTCTTTGGAAACGGGAATATCTTCCTATAAAATCTAGACAGAAGTATACTCAGAAACTGCTCTGTGATGTCTGCATTCAAGTCACAGAGTTGAACATTGCCTTTCATAGAGCAGGTTTGAAACGCTCTTTTTGTAGTATATGGAAGTGGACGTTTCGGACAGTTTGAGGCCCATGGTGATAAAGGAAATATCTTCCCCTACAAGCTAGAAAGAAGCATTCTGTGAAACTTGTTTGTGATGTGTGTACTCAACTAACAGGGTTGAACCTTTCCTTTTACAGAGCAGTTTTGCAACACTCTTTTTGTAGAATCTGCGAGGGGATATTTGGATAGCTGTGAAGATTTCGTTGGAAACGGGAATATCTTCCTATAAAATCTAGACAGAAGCATTCTCAGAAACTTCTTTGTGATATGTGCATCCAAGTCACAGAGTTGAATATTCCCTTTCACAGAGTAGGTTTGAAACACCCTTTTTGTAGTATCTGGAAGTGGACATTTGGAGCGCCTTGACACCTACGGTGAAAAGGGAAATATCTTCCCATAAAAACTAGACAGAAGCAATCTCAGAATCTTCTTTGTGATATATGCACGCAGCTAACAGAGTTGAACCTTTCTATTGACAGAGCAGTTTTGAAACAGTCTTTCTGTGGAATCTGCAAGTGGATATTTGGATAGCTTGGAGGACTTCGTTGGAAACGGGATTACGTATAAAAAGTAGACAGCAGCATTCTCAGAAACTTCTTTGTGATGTGTGCATTCAAGTCAAAGAGTTGAACATTCCCTTTCGTACAGCAGGTTTGAAAAACTCTTTCTCTAGTACCTGGAAGTGAACGTTTCGAGACCTTTCAGGTCTATGGTGAGAAAGGAAATATCTTCAAATAAAAACTAGACAGAAGCATTCTCATAAACCTGTTTGTGATGTGTGAACTCAGCTAACCGAGGTGGATCTTTCTTTTGATAGAGCAGTTCTGAAAAACACTTTTTGTTGAATCTGCAAGGGGACATTTGGATAGATTTGAAGATTTCGTTGGAAACGGGAATATCTTCATATCAAATCTAGACAGAAGCATTCTCAGAAACGTCTTTGTGATGTTTGCATTCAACTCCTAGAGTTGAACATTCCGTTTCAGAGAGCAGCTTTGAGGCACTCTTTTTGTAGTATGTGCAAGTGGATATTTGGAGCGCACTGAGGCCTACGGTGAAAAAGCAAATATCTTCCCATAACCACTAGACAGAAACATTCTCAGAAACTTCTTTATGACGTATGTACTCAACTAGCAGAGAAGAACTTTCCTTTTGACAGAGCATTTCTGATACACTCTTGTTGTACTATCTGCAAGTGGATATTTGGATAGCTGTGAAGATTTCGTTGGAAACGGGAATATCTTCCTATAAAGTCTGGACAGAAGCATTCTCAGAAAGTGCTCTGTGATGTCTGCATTCAAGTCACAGAGTTGAACATTGCCTTTCATAGAGCAGGTTTGAAACGCTCTTTTTGTAGTATATGGAAGTGGACGTTTCGGACGGTTTGAGGCCCATGGTGATAAAGGGAATATCTTCCCCTACAAGCTAGAAAGAAGCATTCTGTGAAACTTGTTTGTGATATGTGTACTCAACTAACAGAGTTGAACCTTTCTTTTTACAGAGCAGTTTTGAAACACTCTTTTTGTAGAATCTGCGAGGGGATATTTGGATACATTTCAGCATTTCGTTGGAAACGGGAATATCTTCATATAAAATCTCGACAGAAGCATTCTCAGAAACTTCTTTGTGGTATGTGCATTCAAGTCACAGAGTTGAATATTCCCTTTCACAGAGTATGTTTGAAACACTCTTTTTGTAGTATCTGGAAGTGTACATTTGGAGCGCCTTGACGCCTACGGTGAAAAGCGAAATATCTTCCCATAAAAACTAGACAGAAGCAATCTCAGAATCTTCTTTGGGATATATGCACGCAGCTAAGAGAGTTGAATCTTTCTATTGACAGAGCAGATTTGAAACAGTCTTTCTGTGGAATCTGCAAGTGGATATTTGGATAGATTGGAGGATTTCGTTGGAAACGGGATTACGTATAAAAAGTAGACAGCAGCATCCTCAGAAACTTCTTTGTGATGTGTGCATTCAAGTCACAGAGTTGAACATTCCCTTTCGTACAGCAGTTTTGAAACCCTCTTTCTGTAGTATCTGGAAGTGAACATTAGGACAGCTTTCAGCTCTATGGTGAGAAAGGAAATATCTTCAAATAAAAACTAGACAGAAGCATTCTCATAAACTTGTTTGTGATGTGTGAACTCAGCTAACAGAGGTGGATCTATCTTTTGATAGAGCAGTTCTGAAAAACACTTTTTGTAGAATCTGCAAGTGGACATTTGGATAGATTTGAAGATGTCGTTGGAAACGGGAATATCTTCATATCAAGTCTAGACAGAAGCATTCTCAGAAACGTCTTTGTGATGTTTGCATTCAACTCATAGAGTTGAACATTCCGTTTCAGAGAGCAGCTTTGAAGCACTCTTTTTGTAGTATGTGCCAGTGGATATTTGGAGCGCTCTGAGGCCTACGGTGAAAAAGCAAATATCTTCCCATAACCACTAGACAGAAACATTCTCAGAAACTCCTTTATGACGTATGCACTCACGTAACAGAGAAGAACCTTCCTTTTGACTGAGCAGTTTTGATACACTCTTTTTGTAGAATCTGCAAGTGGATATTTGGATAGCTGTGAAGATTTCGTTGGAAACGGGAATATCTTCCTATAAAATCTAGACAGAAGCATTCTCAGAAACTGCTCTGTGATGTCTGCATTCAAGTCACAGAGTTGAACATTGCCTTTCATAGAGCAGGTTTGAAACGCTCTTTTTGTACTATATGGAAGAGGACGTTTCGAACGGTTTGAGGCCCATGGTGATAAAGGGTATATCTTCCCCTACAAGCTAGAAAGAAGCATTCTGTGAAACTTGTTTGTGATGTGTGTACTCAAGTAACAGAGTTGAACCTTTCTTTTTACAGAGCAGTTTTGAAACACTCTTTCTGTAGAATCTGCGAGGGGATATTTGGATAGATTTCAGGGTTTCGTTGGAAACGGGAACATCTTCATATAAAATCTCGACAGAAGCATTCTCAGAAACTTCTTTGTGATATCTGCCTTCAAGTCACAGAGTTGAATATTCCCTTTCACAGAGTAGGTTTGAAACACTCTTTTTGTAGTATCTTGAAGTGGACATTTGGAGCGCCTTGACGCCTACGGTGAAAAGGGAAATATCTTCCCATAAAAACTAGACAGAATCAATCTCAGAATCTTCTTTGGGATATATGCACGCAGCTAACAGAGTTGAACCTTTCTATTGACAGAGCAGTTTTGAAACAGTCTTTCTGTGGAATCTGCAAGTGGATATTTGGATAGCTTGGAGGATTTCGTTGGAAACGGGATTACGTATAAAAAGTAGACAGCAGCATCCTCAGAAACTTCTTTGTGATGTGTGCATTCAAGTCACAGAGTTGAACATTCCCTTTCGTACAGCAGTTTTGAAACACTCTTTCTGTAATATCTGGAAGTGAACATTAGGACAGCTTTCAGGTCTATGGTGAGAAAGGAAATATCTTCAAATAAAAACTAGACAGAAGCATTCTCATAAACTTGTTTGTGATGTGTGAACTCAGCTAACAGAGGTGGATCTTTCTTTTGATAGAGCAGTTCTGAAAAACACTTTTTGTTGAATCTGCAAGTGGACATTTGGATAGATTTGAATATTTCGTTGGAAACGGGAATATCGTCATATCAAATCTAGACAGAAGCATTCTCAGAAACGTCTTTGTGATGTTTGCATTCAACTCGTAGAGTTGAACATTCCGTTTCAGAGAGCAGCTTTGAGGCACTCTTTTTGTAGTATGTGCAAGTGGATATTTGGAGCGCTCTGAGGCCTACGGTGAAAAAGCAAATATCTTCCCATAACCACTAGACAGAAACATTCTCAGAAACTGCTTTATGACGTATGCACTCACCTAACAGAGAAGAACCTTCCTTTTGACAGAGCAGTTTTGACACACTCTTTTTGTAGAAACTGCAAGTGGATATTGGGATAGCTGTGAAGATTTCGTTGGAAACGGGAATATCTTCCTATAAAATCTAGACAGAAGCATTCTCAGAAACTGCTCTGTGATGTCTGCATTCAAGTCACAGAGTTGAACATTGCCTTTCATAGAGCAGGTTTGAAAAGCTCTTTTTGTAGTATATGGAAGTGGACGTTTCACACGGTTTGAGGCCGATGGTGATAAAGGGAATATCTTCCCCTACAAGCTAGAAAGAAGCATTCTGTGAAACTTCTTTGTGATGTGTGTACTCAACTAACAGAGTTGAACCTTTCTTTTTACAGAGCAGTTTTGAAACACTCTTTTTGTAGAATCTGCGAGGGGATATTTGGATACATTTCAGGATTTCGTTGGAAACAGGAATATCTTCATATAAAATCTCGACAGAAGCATTCTCAGAAACTTCTTTGTGATATGTGCATTCAAGTCACAGAGTTGAATATTCCCTTTCACAGAGTAGGTTTGCAACACTCTTTTTGTAGTATCTGGAAGTGGACATTTGGAGCGCCTTGACACCTACGGTGAAAAGGGAAATATCTTCCCATAAAAACTAGACAGAAGCAATCTCAGAATCTTCTTTGGGATATATGCACGCAGCTAACAGAGTTGAACCTTTCTATTGACAGAGTAGTTTTGAAACAGTCTTTTTGTGGAATCTCCAAGTGGATATTTGGATAGCTTGGAGGATTTCGTTGGAAACGGGATTACGTATAAAAAGTAGACAGCAGCATCCTCAGAAACCTTCTTTGTGATGTGTGCATTCAAGACACAGAGTTGAACATTCCCTTTCGTACAGCAGTTTTGAAACGCTCTTTCTGTAGTATCTGGAAGTGAACATTAGGACAGCTTTCAGGTCTATCGTGAGTAAGGAAATATCTTCAAATAAAAACTAGACAGAAGCATTCTCATAAACTTGTTTGTGATGTGTGAACTCAGCTAACAGAGGTGGATCTTTCTTTTGATAGAGCAGTTCTGAAAAACACTTTTTGTTGAATCTGCAAGTGGACATTTGGATAGATTTGAAGATTTCATTGGAAACGGGAATATCTTCATATCAAATCTAGACAGAAGCATTCTCAGAAACGTCTTTGTGATGTTAGCATTCAACTCATAGAGTTGAACATTCCCTTTCAGAGAGCAGCTTTGAAGCACTCTTTTTGTAGTATGTGCAAGTGGACATTTGGAGCGCTTTGAGGCCTACGGTGAAAAAGCAAATATCTTCCCATAACCACTAGACAGAAACATTCTCAGAAACTCCTTTATGACGTATGTACTCAACTAACAGAGAAGAACCTTCCTTTTGACAGAGCAGTTTTGATACACTCTTTTTGTAGAATCTGGAAGTGGATATTTGGATAGCTGTGAAGATTTCGTTGGATACGGGAATATCTTCCTATAAAATCTAGACAGAAGCATTCTCAGAAACTGCTCTGTGATGTCTGCATTCAAGTCACAGAGTTGAACATTGCCTTTCATAGAGCAGGTTTGAAACACTCTTTTTTTAGTATATGGAAGTGGACGTTTCGGACGGTTTGAGGCCCATGGTATTAAAGGGAATATCTTCCCCTACAAGCTAGAAAGAAGCATTCTGTGAAACTTGTTTGTGATGTGTGTACTCAATTAACAGAGTTGAACCTTTCTTTTTACAGAGCAGTTTTGAAACACTCTTTTTGTAGAATCTGCGAGGGGATATTTGGATAGATTTCAGGATTTCGTTGGAAACGGGAATATCTTCATATAAAATCTCGACAGAAGCATTCTCAGAAACTTCTTTGTGATATCTGCATTCAAGTCACAGAGTTCAATATTCCCTTTCACAGAGTAGGTTTGAAACACTCTTTTTGTAGTATCTGGAAGTGGACATTTGGAGCGCCTTGACACCTACGGTGAAAAGGGAAATATCTTCCCATAAAAACTAGACAGAAGCAATCTCAGAATCCTCTTTGGGATATATGCACGCAGCTAACAGAGTTGAACCTTTCTATTGACAGAGCAGTTTTGAAACAGTCTTTCTGTGGTATCTGCAAGTGGATATTTGGATAGCTTGGAGGATTTCGTTGGAAACGGGATTACGTATAAAAAGTAGACAGCAGCATCCTCAGAAACTTCCTTGTGATGTGTGCATTCAAGTCACAGAGTTGAACATTCCCTTTCGTACAGCAGTTCTGAAACACTCTTTCTGTAGTATCTGGAAGTAAACAGCACAGCTTTCAGGTCTATGGTGAGAAAGGAAATATCTTCAAATAAAAACTAGACAGAAGCATTCTCATAAACTTGTTTGTGATGTGTGAACTCAGCTAATAGAGGTGGATCTTTCTTTTGATAGAGCAGTTCTGAAAAACACTTTTTGTTGAATCTGCAAGTGGACATTTGGATAGATTTGAAGATTTCGTTGGAAACGGGAATATCTTCATATCAAATCTAGACAGAAGCATTCTCAGAAACGTCTTTGTCATGTTTGCATTCAACTCATAGAGTTGAACATTCCGTTTCAGAGAGCAGCTTTGAAGCACTCTTTTTGTAGTATATGCAAGTGGATATTTGGAGCGCTCTGAGGCCTACGGTGAAAAAGCAAATATCTTCCCATAACCACTAGACAGAAACATTCTCAGAAACTCCTTTATGACGTATGCACTCACCTAACAGAAAAGAACCTTCCTTTTGACAGAGCAGTTTTGATACACTCTTTTTGTAGAATCTGCAAGTGGATATTTGGATAGCTGTGAAGATTTCGTTGGAAACGGGAATATCTTCATATCAAATCTAGACAGAAGCATTCTCAGAAACTGCTCTGTGATGTCTGGATTCAAGTCACAGAGTTGAACATTGCCTTTCATAGAGCAGGTTTGAAACGCTCTTTTTGTAGTATATGGAAGTGGACGTTTCGGACGGTTTGAGGCCCATGGTGATAAAGGGAATATCTTCCCCTACAAGCTAGAAAGAAGCATTCTGTGAAACTTGTTTGTGATGTGTGTACTCAACTAACAGAGTTGAACCTTTCTTTTTACAGAGCAGTTTTGAAACACTCTTTTTGTAGAATCTGCGAGGGAATATTTGGATAGATTTCAGGATTTCGTTGGAAACGGGAATATCTTCATATAAAATCTCGACAGAAGCATTCTCAGAAACTTCATTGTGATATCTGCATTCAAGTCACAGAGTTGAATATTCCCTTTCACAGAGTAGGTTTGAAACACTCTTTTTGTAGTATCTGGAAGTGGACATTTGGAGCGCCTTGACACCTACGGTGAAAAGGGAAATATCTTCCCCTAAAAACTAGACAGAAGCAATCTCAGCAATCTTGTTTGGGATATATGCACGCAGCTAACACAGTTGAACCTTTCTATTGACAGAGCAGTTTTGAAACATTCTTTCTGTGGAATCTGCAAGTGGATATTTGGATAGCTTGGAGGATTTCGTTGGAAACGGGATTACGTATCAAAAGTAGACAGCAGCATCCTCAGAAACTACTTTGTGATGTGTGCATTCAAGTCACAGAGTTGAAAATTCCCTTTCCTACAGCAGTTTTGAAACACTCTTTCTGTAGTATCTGGAAGTGAACATTAGGACAGCTTTCAGGTCTATAGTGAGAAAGGATATATCTTCAAATAAAAACTAGACAGAAGCTTTCTCATAAACTTGTTTGTGATGTGTGAACTCAGCTAACAGAGGTGGATCTTTCTTTTGATACAGCAGTTTTGAAAAACACTTTTTGTTGAATCTGCAAGTGGACATTTGGATAGATATGAAGATTTCGTTGGAAACGGGAATATCTTCATATCAAATCTAGACAGAAGCATTCTCAGAAACGTCTTTGTGATGTCTGCATTCAACTCATAGAGTTGAACATTCCCTTTCAGAGAGCAGCTTTGAAGCACTCTTTTTGTAGCATGTGCAAGTGGACATTTGGAGCGCCCTGAGGCCTACGGGGAAAAAGCAAATATCTTCCCATAACCACTAGAGAGAAACATTCTCAGAAACTCCTTTATGAGGTATGCACTCACCTAACAGAGAAGAACCTTCCTTTTGACAGAGCAGTTTTGATACACTCTTTTTGTAGAATCTGCAAGTGGATATTTGGATACCTGTGAAGATTTCGTTGGAAACGGGAATATCTTCCTATAAAATCTAGACAGAAGCATTCTCAGAAACTGCTCTGTGATGTCTGTATTCAAGTCACAGAGTTGAACATTGCCTTTGATAGAGCAGGTTTGAAACGCTCTTTTTGTAGTATATGGAAGTGGATGTTTCGGACGGTTGGAGGCCCATGGTGATAAAGGGAATATCTTCCCCTACAAGCTAGAAAGAAGCATTCTGTGAAACTTGTTTGTGATGTGTGTACTCAACTAACAGAGTTGAACCTTTCTTTTTACAGAGCAGTTTTGAAACACTCTTTTTGTAGAATCTGCCAGGGGATATTTGGATACATTTCAGGATTTCGTTGGAAACGGGAATATCTTCATATAAAATCTCGACAGAAGCATTCTCAGAAACTTCTTTGTGTTATCTGCATTCAAGTCACAGAGTTGAATATTCCCTTTCACAGAGTAGGTTTGAAACACTCTTTTTGTAGTGTCTGAAAGTGGACATTTGGAGCACATTGACACCTACGGTGAAAAGGGAAATATCTTCCCATAATAACTAGACAGAAGCAATCTCAGAATCTTCTTTGGGATATATCCACGCAGCTAACAGAGTTGAACCTTTCTATTGACAGAGCAGTTTTGAAACAGTCTTTCTGTGGAATCTGCAAGTGGATATTTGGATAGCTTGGAGGATTTCGTTGGAAACGGGATTACGTATAAAAAGTAGACAGCAGCATCCTCAGAAACTTCTTTGTGATGTGTGCATTCAAGTCACAGAGTTGAACATTCCCTTTCGTACAGCAGTTTTGAAACGCTCTTTCTGTAGTATATGGAAGTGAACATTAGGACAGCTTTCAGGTCTATGGTGAGAAAGGAAATATCTTCAAATAAAAACTAGACAGAAGCATTCTGATAAACTTGTTTGTGAAGTGTGAACTCAGCTAACAGAGGTGGATCTTTCTTTCGACACAGCAGTTTTGAAAAACACTTTTTGTTGAATCTGCAAGTAGACATTTGGATAGATTTGAAGATTTCGTTGAAAACGAGAATATGTTCATTTCAAATCTAGACAGAAGCATTCTCAGAAACGTCTTTGTGATGTTTGCATTCAACTCATAGTGTTGAACATTCCCTTTCAGAGAGCAGCTTTGAAGCACTGTTTTTGTAGTATGTGCAAGTGGACATTTGGAGCGCTTTGAGCCCTACGGGGAAAAAGCAAATATCTTCCCGTAACCACTAGACAGAAACATTCTCAGAAACCCCTTTATGACGTATGCACTCACCTAACAGGAGAAGAACCTTCCTTTTGACTGAGCAGTTTTGATACACTCTTTTTGTAGAATCTGCAAGTGGATATTTGGATAGCTGTGAAGATTTCGTTGGAAACGGGAATATCTTCCTATAAAATCTAGACAGAAGCATTCTCAGAAACTGGTCTGTGATGTCTGCATTCAAGTCACAGAGTTGAACATTGCCTTTCCTAGAGCAGGTTTGAAATGCTCTTTTTGTAGTATATGGAAGTGGACGTTTCGGACGGTTTGAGGCCCATGGTGATAAAGGGAATATCTTCCCCTACAAGCTAGAAAGAAGCATTTTGTGAAACTTGTTTGTGATGTGTGTACTCAACTAACAGAGTTGAACCTTTCTTTTTACAGAGCAGTTTTGAAACACTCTTTTTGTAGAATCTGCGAGGGGATATTTGGATAGATTTCAGGATTTCGTTGGAAACGGGAATATCTTCATATAAAATCTCGACAGAAGCATTCTCAGAAGCTTCTTTGTGATATGTGCATTCAAGTCACAGAGTTGAATATTCCCTTTCACAGAGTAGGTTTGAAACACTCTTTTTGTAGTATCTGGAAGTGGACATTTGGAGCGCCTTGACGCCTACGGTGAAAAGGGAAATATCTTCTCATAAAAACTAGACAGAAGCAATCTCAGAATCTTCTTTGGGATATATGCACGCAGCTAGCAGAGTTGAACCTTTCTATTGACAGAGCAGTTTTGAAACAGTCTTTCTGTGGAATCTGCAAGTGGATATTTGGATAGCTTGGAGGATTTCGTTGGAAACGGGATTACGTATAATAAGTAGACAGCAGCATCCTCAGAAACTTCTTTGTGATGTGTGCATTCAAGTCACAGTGTTGAACATTCCCTTTCGTACAGCAGTTTTGAAACACTCTTTCTGTAGTATCTGGAAGTGAACATTAGGACTGCTTTCAGGTCTATGGTGAGAAAGGAAATATCTTCAAATAAAAACTAGACAGAAGCATTCTCATAAACTTGTTTGTGATGTGTGAACTCAGCTAACAGACGTGGATCTTTCTTTTGATACAGCAGTTTTGAAAAACACTTTTTGTAGAATCTGCAAGTGGACATTTGGATAGATTTGAAGATTTCGTTGGAAACGGGAATATCTTCATATCAAATCTAGACAAAAGCATTCTCAGAAACGTCTTTGTGATGTTTGCATTCAACTCATAGAGTTGAACATTCCGTTTCAGAGACCAGCTTTGAAGCACTCTTTTTGTAGTATGCGCAAGTGGATATTTGGAGCGCTCTGAGGCCTACGGTGAAAAAGCAAATATCTTCCCATAACCACTAGACAGAAACATTCTCAGAAACTCCTTTATGACGTATGCACTCACCTAACAGAGAAGAACCTTACTTTTGACAGAGCAGTTTTGATACACTCTTTTTGTAGAATCTGCAAGTGGATATTTGGATAGCTGTGAAGATTTCGTTGGAAACGGGAATATCTTCCTATAAAATCTAGACAGAAGCATTCTCAGAAACTGCTCTGTGATGTCTGCATTCAAGTCACAGAGTTGAACATTGCCTTTCTTAGAACAGGTTTCAAACGCTCTTTTTGTAGTATATGGAAGTGGACGTTTCAGACGGTTTGAGGCCCATGGTGATAAAGGGAATATCTTCCCCTACAAGCTAGAAAGAAGCATTCTGTGAAACTTGTTTGTGAGGTGTGTACTCAACTAACAGAGTTGAACCTTTCTTTTCACAGAGCAGTTTTGAAACACTCTTTTTGCAGAATCTGCGAGGGGATATTTGGATAGATTTCAGGATTTCGTTGGAAACGGGAATATCTTCATATAAAATCTCGACAGAAGCATTCTCAGAAACTTCTTTGTGATATGTGCATTCAAGTCACAGAGTTGAATATTCCCTTTCACCAAGTAGGTTTGAAACACTCTTTTTGTAGTATCTGGAAGTGGACATTTGGAGCGCCTTGACGCCTACGGTGAAAAGGGAAATATCTTCCCATAAAAACTAGACAGAAGCAATCTCAGAATCTTCTTTGGGATATATGCACGCAGCTAACAGAGTTGAACCTTTCTATTGACAGAGCAGTTTTGAAACAGTCTTTCTGTGGAATCTGCAAGTGGATGTTTGGATAGCTTGGAGGATTTCGTTGGAAACGGGATTACGTATAAAAAGTAGACAGCGGCATCCTCAGAAACTTCTTTGTGATGTGTGCATTCAAGTCAGAGAGTTGAACATTCCCTTTCGTACAGCAGTTTTGAAACACTCTTTCTGTAGTATCTGGAAGTGAACATTAGGACAGCTTTCAGGTCTATGGTGAGAAAGGAAATACCTTCAAATAAAAACTAGACAGAAGCATTCTCATAAACTTGTTTGTGATGTGTGAACTCAGCTAACAGAGGTGGATCTTTCTTTTGATAGAGCAGTTCTGAAAAACACTTTTTGTTGAATCTGCAAGTGGACATTCGGATAGATTTCAAGATTTCGTTGGAAACGGGAATATCTTCATATCAAATCTAGACAGAAGCATTCTCAGAAACGTCTTTGTGATGTTGGCATTCAACTCATAGAGTTGAACATTCCGTTTCAGAGAGCAGCTTTGAGGCACTCTTTTTGTAGTATGTGCAAGTGGATATTTGGAGCGCTCTGAGGCCTACGGTGAAAAAGCAAATATCTTCCCATAAACACTAGACAGAAACATTCTCAGAAACTCCTTTATGACGTAATGCACTCACCTAACAGAGAAGAACCTTCCTTTTGACAGAGCAGTTTTGATACACTCTTTTTGTAGAGTCTGCAAGTGGATATTTGGATAGCTGTGAAGATTTCGTTGGAAACGGGAATATCTTCCTATAAAATCTAGACAGATAAGCATTCTCAGAAACTGCTCTGTGATGTCTGCATTCAAGTCACAGAGTTGAACATTGCCTTTCATAGAGCAGGTTTGAAACGCTCTTTTTGTAGTATATGGAAGTGGACGTTTCGGACGGTTTGAGGCCCATGGTGATAAAGGGAATATCTTCCCCTACAAGCTAGAAAGAAGCATTCTGTGAAACTTGTTTGTGATGTGTGTACTCAACTAACAGAGTTGAACCTTTCTTTTCACAGAGCAGTTTTGAAACACTCTTTTTGTAGAATCTGCGAGGGGATATTTGGATAGATTTCAGCATTTCGTTGGAAACGGGAATATCTTCAAATAAAATCTCGACAGAAGCATTCTCAGAAACGTCTTTGTGATATCTGCATTCAAGTCACAGAGTTGAATATTCCCTTTCACAGAGTAGGTTTGAAACACTCTTTTTGTAGTATCTGGAAGTGGACATTTGGAGCGCCTTGACGCCTACGATGAAAAGGGAAATATCTTCCCATAAAAACTAGACAGACAAGCAATCTCCGAATCTTCTTTGGGATATATGCACGCAGCTAACAGAGTTGAACCTTTCTATTGACAGAGCAGTTTTGAAACAGTCTTTCTGTGGAATCTGCAAGTGGATATTTGGATAGCTTGGAGGATTTCGTTGGAAAAGGGATTATGTATAAAAAGTAGACAGCAGCATCCTCAGAAACTTCCTTGTGATGTGTGCATTCAAGACACACAGTTGAACATTCCCTTTCGTACAGCAGTTTTGAAACACTCTTTCTGTAGTATCTGGAAGTGAACATTAGGAGAGCTTTGAGGTCTATAGTGAGAAAAGGTATATCTTCAAATAAAAACTAGACAGAAGCATTCTCATAAACTTGTTTGTGATGTGTGAACTCAGCTAACAGAGTTGGATCTTTCTTTTGATAGAGCAGTTCTGAAAAACACTTTTTGTTGAATCTGCAAGTGGACATTTGTATAGATTTGAAGATTTCGTTGGAAACGGGAATATCTTCATATCAAATCTAGACAGAAGCATTCTCAGAAACGTCTTTGTGATGTTTGCATTCAACTCATAGAGTTGAACATTCCCTTTCAGAGAGCAGCTTTGAAGCACTCTTTTTGTAGTATGTGCAAGTGGATACTTGGAGCGCTCTGAGGCCTACGGTGAAAAAGCAAATATCTTCCCATAACCACTAGACAGAAACATTCTCAGAAACTCCTTTATGACGTATGTACTCAACTAACAGAGAAGAACCTTCCTTTTGACAGAGCAGTTTTGATACACTCTTTTTGTAGAATCTACAAGTGGATATTTGGATAGCTGTGAAGATTTCGTTGGAAACGGGAATATCTTCCTATAAAATCTAGACAGAAGCATTCTCAGAAACTGCTCTGTGATGTCTGCATTCAAGTCACAGAGTTGAACATTGCCTTTCCTAGAGCAGGTTTGAAACGCTCTTTTTGTAGTATATAGAAGTGGACGTTTCGGACGGTTTGAGGCCCATGGTGATAAAGGGAATATCTTCCCCTACAAGCTAGAAAGAAGCATTCTGTGAAACTTGTTTGTGATGTGTGTACTCAACTAACAGAGTTGAACCTTTCTTTTTACAGAGCAGTTTTGAAACACTCTTTTTGTAGAATCTGCGAGGGGATATTTGGATAGATTTCAGGATTTTGTTGGAAACCGGAATATCTTTATATAAAATCTCGACAGAAGCATTCTCAGAAGCTTCTTTGTGATATGTGCATTCAAGTCACAGAGTTGAATATTCCCTTTCACAGAGTAGGTTTGAAACACTCTTTTTCTAGTATCTGGAAGTGGACATTTGGAGCGCCTTGACACCTACGGTGAAAAGGGAAATATCTTCTCATAAAAAGTAGACAGAAGCAATCTGAGAATCTTCTTTGGGATATATGCACGCAGCTAACAGAGTTGAACCTTTCTATTGACAGAGCAGTTTTGAAACAGTCTTTCTGTGGAATCTGCAAGTGGATATTTGGATAGCTTGGAGGATTTCGTTGGAAACGGGATTACCTATACAAAGTAGCCAGCAGCATCCTCAGAAACTTCTTTGTGATGTGTGCATTCAAGTCACAGAGTTGAACATTCCCTTTCGTACAGCAGTTTTGAAACACTCTTTCTGTAGTATCTGGAAGTGAATATTAGGACAGCTTT
Source organism: Homo sapiens (assembly GCF_000001405.40). Classification (NCBI taxonomy): domain Eukaryota; kingdom Metazoa; phylum Chordata; class Mammalia; order Primates; family Hominidae; genus Homo; species Homo sapiens. The sequence continues at coordinate 16,550,933 of NC_000013.11, forward strand.
CAGGTCTATGGTGATAAAGGAAATATCTTCAAATAAAAACTAGACAGAAGCATTCTCATAAACTTGTTTGTGATGTGTGAACTCAGCTAACAGACGTGGATCTTTCTTTTGATACAGCAGTTTTGAAAAACACTTTTTGTTGAATCTGCAAGTGGACATTGGATAGATATGAAGATTTCATTGGAAACGGGAATATCTTCATATCAAATCTATACAGAAGCATTCTCAGAAACGTCTTTGCGATGTTTGCATTCAACTCATAGAGTTGAACATTCCGTTTCAGAGAGCAGCTTTCAGGCACTCTTTTTGTAGTATGTGCAAGTGGATATTTGGAGCGCTCTGAGGCCTACGGTGAAAAAGCAAATATCTTCCCATAACCACTAGACAGAAACATTCTCAGAAACTTCTTTCTGACGTATGTACTCAACTAACAGAGAAGAACCTACCTTTTGACAGAGCATTTTTGATACACTCTTTTTGTAGAATCTGCAAGTGGATATTTGGATAGCTCTGAAGATTTCTTTGGAAACGGGAATATCTTCATATCAAATCTAGACAGAAGCATTCTCAGAAACTGCTCTGTGATGTCTGCATTCAAGTCACAGAGTTGAAGATTGCCTTTCATAGAGCAGGTTTGAAATGCTCTTTTTGTAGTATATGGAAGTGGACGTTTCAGACGGTTTGAGGCCCATGGTGATAAAGGGAATATCTTCCCCTACAAGCTAGAAAGAAGCATTCTGTGAAACTTGTTTTTGATGTGTGTACTCAACTAACAGAGTTGAACCTTTCTTTTTACAGAGCAGTTTTGAAACACTCTTTTTGTAGAATCTGCGAGGGGATATTTGGATAGATTTCAGGATTTCGTTGGAAACGGGAATATCTTAATATAAAATCTCGACAGAAGCATTCTCAGAAACTTCTTTGTGATATGTGCATTCAAGTCACAGAGTTGAATATTCCCTTTCACAGAGTAGGTTTGAAACACTCTCTTTGTAGTATCTGGAAGTGGACATTTGGAGCGCCTTGACACCTACGGTGAAAAGGGAAATATCTTCCCATAAAAACTAGACAGAAGCAATCTCAGAATCTTCTTTGGGATATATGCACGCAGCTAACAGAGTTCAACCTTCCTATTGACAGAGCAGTTTTGAAACAGTCTTTCTGTGGAATCTGCAAGTGGATATTTGGATGGATTGGAGGATTTCGTTGGAAACGGGATTACGTATAAAAAGTAGACAGCAGCATCCTCAGAAACTTCTTTGTGATGTCTGCATTCAAGTCACAGAGTTGAACATTCCCTTTCGTACAGCAGTTTTGAAACACTCTTTCTGTAGTATCTGGAAGTGAACATTAGGACAGCTTTCAGGTCTATGGTGAGAAAGGAAATATCTTCAAATAAAAACTAGACAGAAGCATTCTCATAAACTTGTTCGTGATGTGTGAACTCAGCTAACACACGGTGGATCTTTCTTTTGATAGAGCAGTTCTGAAAAACACTTTTTGTTGAATCTGCAAGAGGACAGTTGGATAGATTTGAAGGTTTCGTTGGAAACGGGAATATCTTCATATCAAATCTAGACAGAAGCATTCTCAGAAACGTCTTTGTGATGTTTGCATTCAACTCATAGAGTTGAACATTCCCTTCCAGAGAGCAGCTTTGAAGCACTCTTTTTGTAGCATGTGCAAGTGGACATTTGGAGCGCCCTGAGGCCTACGGGGAAAAAGCAAATATCTTCCCATAACCACTAGACAGAAACATTCTCAGAAACTCCTTTATGACGTATGCACTCACCTAACAGAGAAGAACCTTCCTTTTGACAGAGCAGTTTTGATACACTCTTTTTGTAGAATCTGCAAGTGGATATTTGGATAGCTGTGAAGATTTCGTTGGAAACGGGAATAGCTTCCTATAAAATCTAGACAGAAGCATTCTCAGAAACTGCTCTGTGATGTCTGCATTCAAGTCACAGAGTTGAACATTGCCTTTCATAGAGCAGTTTTGAAACGCTCTTTTTGTAGTATATGGAAGTGGACGTTTCGGACGGTTTGAGGCCCATGGTGATAAAGGGAATATCTTCCCCTACAAGCTAGAAAGAAGCATTCTGTGAAACTTGTTTGTGATGTGTGTACTCAACTAACAGAGTTGAACCTTTCTTTTTACAGAGCAGTTTTGAAACATTCTTTTTGTAGAATCTGCGAGGGTATATTTGGATTGATTTCAGGATTTCGTTGGAAACGGGAATATCTTCATATAAAATCTCGACAGAAGCATTCTCAGAAACTTCTTTGTGATATGTGCATTCAAGTCACAGGGTTGAATATTCCCTTTCACAGAGTAGGTTTGAAACACTCTTTTTGTAGTATCTGGAAGTGGACATTTGGAGCGCCTTGACACCTATGGTGAAAAGGGAAATATCTTCCCATAAAAACTAGACAGAAGCAATCTCAGAATCTTCTTTGGGATATATGCACGCAGCTAACAGAGTTGAACCTATCTATTGACAGAGCAGTTTTGAAACAGTCTTTCTGTGGAATCTGCAAGTGGATATTTGGATAGCTTGGAGGATTTCGTTGGAAACGGGATTAAGTATAAAAAGTAGACAGCAGCATCCTCAGAAACTTCTTTGTGATGTGTGCATTCAAGTCACAGAGTTGAACATTCCCTTTCGTACAGCAGTTTTGAAACACTCTTTCTGTAGTAACTGGAAATGAACATTAGGACAGCTTTCAGGTCTATGGTGAGAAAGGAAATATCTTCAAATAAAAACTAGACAGAAGCATTCTCATAAACTTGTTTGTGATGTGTGAACTCAGCTTACAGAGGTGGATCTTTCTTTTGATAGAGCAGTTCTGAAAAACACTTTTTGTTGAATCTGCAAGTGGACATTTGGATAGATTTGAAGATTTCGTTGGAAACGGGAATATCTTCATATTAAATCTAGACAGAAGCATTCTCAGAAACGTCTTTGTGATGTTTGCATTCAACTCATAGAGTTGAACATTCCCTTTCAGAGAGCAGATTTGAAGCACTCTTTTTGTAGCATGTGCAAGTGGACATTTGGAGCGCCCTGAGGCCTACGGGGAAAAAGCAAATATCTTCCCATAACCACTAGACAGAAACATTCTCAGAAACTCCTTTATGACGTATGCACTCACCTAACAGAGAAGAACCTTCCTTTTGACAGAGCAGTTTTGATACACTCCTTTTGTAGAATCTGCAAGTGGATATTTTGATAGCTGTGAAGATTTCGTTGGAAACGGGAATATCTTCCTATAAAACCTAGACAGAAGCATTCTCAGCAAACTGCTCTGTGATGTCTGCATTCAAGTCACAGAGTTGAACATTGCCTTTCATAGAGCAGGTTTGAAACGCTCTTTTTGTACTATATGGAAGAGGACGTTTCGGACGGTTTGAGGCCCATGGTGATAAAGGGAATATCTTCCCCTACAAGCTAGAAAGAAGCATTGTGTGAAACTTGTTTGTGATGTTTGTACTCAACTAACAGAGTTGAACCTTTCTTTTTACAGAGCAGTTTTGAAACACTCTTTTTGTAGAATCTGCGAGGGGATATTTGGATACATTTCAGGATTTCGTTGGAAACGGGAATATCTTCATATAAAATCTCGACAGAAGCATTCTCAGAAACTTCTTTGTGATATCTGCCTTTAAGTCACAGAGTTGAATATTCCCTTTCACAGAGTAGGTTTGAAACACTCTTTTTGTAGTATCTGGAAGTGGGCATTTGGAGCGCCTTGACACCTACGGTGAAAAGGGAAATATCTTCCCATAAAAACTAGACAGAAGCAATCTCAGAATCTTCTTTGGGATATATGCAGGCAGCTAACAGAGTTGAACCTTTCTATTGACAGAGCAGTTTTGAAACAGTCTTTCTGTGGAATCTGCAAGTGGATATTTGGATAGCTTGGAGGATTTCGTTGGAAACGGGATTACGTATAAAAAGTAGACACCAGCATCCTCAGTAAACTTCTTTGTGATGTGTGCATTCAAGTCACAGAGTTGAACATTCCCTTTCGTACAGCAGTTTTGAAACACTCTTTCTATAGTATCTGGAAGTGAACATTAGGACAGCTTTCAGCTCTATGGTGAGAAAGGAAATATCTTCAAATAAAAACTAGACAGAAGCATTCTCATAAACTTGTTTGTGATGTGTGAACTCAGCTAACAGACGTGGATCTTTCTTTTGATAGAGCAGTTCTGAAAAACACGTTTTGTTGAATCTGCAAGTGGACATTTGGATAGATTTGAAGATTTCGTTGGAAACGGGAATATCGTCATATCAAATCTAGACAGAAGCATTCTCAGAAACGTCTTTGTGATGTTTGCATTCAACTCATAGAGTTGAACATTCCGTTTCAGAGAGCAGCTTTGAAGCACTCTTTTTGTAGTATGTGCAAGGGGATATTTGGAGCGCTCTGAGGCCTACGGTGAAAAAGCAAATATCTTCCCATAACCACTAGACAGAAACATTCTCAGAAACTCCTTTATGACGTATGCACTCACCTAACAGAGAAGAACCTTCCTTTTGACAGAGCACTTTTGATACACTCTTTTTGTAGAATCTGAAAGTGGATATTTGGATAGCTGTGAAGATTTCTTTGGAAACGGGAATATCTTCCTATAAAATCTAGACAGAAGCATTCTCAGAAACTGCTCTGTGATGTCTGCATTCAAGTCACAGAGTTGAACATTGCCGTTCATAGAGCAGGTTTGAAACACTCTTTTTGTAGTATATGGAAGTGGACGTTTCGGACGGTTTGAGGCCCATGGTCATAAAGGGAATATCTTCCCCTACAAGCTAGAAAGAAGCATTCTCTGAAACTTGTTTGTGATGTGTGTACTCAAGTAACAGAGTTGAACCTTTCTTTTTACAGAGCAGTTTTGAAACACTCTTTTTGTAGAATCTGCGAGGGGATATTTGGATAGATTTCAGCATTTCGTTGGAAACGGGAATATCTTCATATAAAATCTCGACAGAAGCATTCTCAGAAACTTCTTTGTGATATCTGCCTTCAAGTCACAGAGTTGAATATTCCCTTTCACAGAGTAGGTTTGAAACACTCTTTTTGTAGTATCTGGAAGTGGACATTTGGAGCGCCTTTACGCCTACGGTGAAAAGGGAAATATCTTCCCATAAAAACTAGACAAAAGCAATCTCAGAATCTTCTTTGGGATATATGCACGCAGCTAACAGAGTTGAACCTTTCTATTGACAGAGCAGTTTTGAAACAGTCTTTCTGTGGAATCTGCAAGTGGATATTTGGATAGATTGGAGGATTTCGTTGGAAACGGGATTACCGTATAAAAAGTAGACAGCAGCATCCTCAGAAAACTTCTTTGTGATGTGTGCATTCAAGTCACAGAGTTGAACATTCCCTTTCGTACAGCAGTTTTGAAACACTCTTTCTGTAGTATCTGGAAGTGAACATTAGGACAGCTTTCAGGTCTATGGTGAGAAAGGAAACATCTTCAAATAAAAACTAGACAGAAGCATTCTCATAAACTTGTTTGTGATGTGTGAACTCAGCTAACAGAGGTGGATCTTTCTTTTGATAGAGCAGTTCTGAAAAACAATTTTTGTTGAATCTGCAAGTGGACATTTGGATAGATTTGAAGATTTCGTTGGAAACGGGAATATCTTCATATCAAATCTAGACAGAAGCATTCTCATAAACGTCTTTGTGATGTTTGCATTCAACTCCTAGAGTTGAACATTCCGTTTCAGAGAGCAGCTTTGAAGCACTCTTTTTGTAGTATGTGCAAGTGGATATTTGGAGCGCTCTGAGGCCTACGGTGAAAAAGCAAATATCTTCCCATAACCACTAGACAGAAACATTCTCAGAAACTCCTTTATGACGTATGCATTCACCTAACAGAGAAGAACCTTCCTTTTGACTGAGCACTTTTGATACACTCTTTTTGCAGAATCTGCAAGTGGATATTTGGATAGCTGTGAAGATTTCGTTGGAAACGGGAATATCTTCCTATAAAATCTAGACAGAAGCATTCTCAGAAACTGCTCTGTGATGTCTGCATTCAAGTCACAGAGTTGAACATTGCCTTTCATAGAGCAGGTTTGAAACGCTCTTTTTGTAGTATATGGAAATAGACGTTTCGGACGGTTTGAGGCCCATGGTGATAAAGGGAATATCTTCCCCTACAAGCTAGAAAGAAGCATTCTGTGAAACTTGTTTGTGATGTGTGTACTCAACTAAGAGAGTTGAACCTTTCTTTTTACAGAGCAGTTTTGAAACACTCTTTTTGTAGAATCTGCGAGGGGATATTTGGATAGATTTCAGGATTTCGTTGGAAACGGGAATATCTTCATATAAAATCTCGACAGAAGCATTCTCAGAAACTTCTTTGTGATATCTGCATTCAAGTCACAGAGTTGAATATTCCCTTTCACAGAGTAGGTTTGAAACACTCTTTTTGTAGTATCTGTAAGTGGACATTTGGAGCGCCTTGACGCCTATGGTGAAAAGGGAAATATCTTCTCATAAAAAGTAGACACAAGCAATCTCAGAATCTTCTTTGGGATATATGCAGGCAGCTAACAGAGTTGAACCTTTCTATTGACAGAGCAGTTTTGAAACAGTCTTTCTGTGGAATCTGCAAGTGGATATTTGGATAGCTTGGAGGATTTCGTTGGAAACGGGATTACGTATAAAAAGTAGACAGCAGCATCCTCAGAAACTTCTTTGTGATGTGTCCATTCAAGTCACAGAGTTGAACATTCCCTTTCGTACAGCAGTTTTGAAACACTCTTTCTGTAGTATCTGGAAGTGAACATTAGGACAGCTTTCAGCTCTATGGTGAGAAAGGAAATATCTTCAAATAAAAACTAGACAGAAAGCATTCTCATAAACTTGTTTGTGATGTGTGAACTCCGCTAACATAGGTGGATCTTTCTTTTGATAGAGCAGTTCTGAAAAACACTTTTTGTTGAATCTGCAAGTGGACATTTGGATAGATTTGAAGATTTCGTTGGAAACGGGAATATCTTCATATCAAATCTAGACAGAAGCATTCTCAGAAACGTCTTTGTGATGTTTGCATTCAACTCATAGAGTTGAACATACCCTTTCAGAGAGCAGCTTTGAAGCACTCTTTTTGTAGTATGTGCAAGTGGATATTTGGAGCGCTCTGAGGCCTACGGTGAAAAAGCAAATATCTTCCCATAACCACTAGACAGAAACATTCTCAGAAACTCCTTTATGACGTATGCACTCACCTAACAGAGAAGAACCTTCCTTTTGACAGAGCAGTTTTGATACACTCTTTTTGTAGAATCTGCAAGTGGATATTTGAATAGCTGTGAAGATTTCGTTGGAAACGGGAATATCTTCCTATAAAATCTAGACAGAAGCATTCTCAGAAACTGCTCTGTGATGTCTGCATTCAAGGTCACAGAGTTGAACATTGCCGTTCATAGAGCAGGTTTGAAACACTCTTTTTGTAGTATATGGAAGTGGACGTTTCGGACGGTTTGAGGCCCATGGTGATAAAGGGAATATCTTCCCCTACAAGCTAGAAAGAAGCATTCTGTGAAACTTGTTTGTGATGTGTGTACTCAACTAACAGAGTTGAACCTTTCTTTTTACAGAGCAGTTTTGAAACACTCTTTTTGTAGAATCTACGAGGGGATATTTGGATAGATTTCAGGATTTCGTTGGAAACGGGAATATCTTCATATAAAATCTCGACAGAAGCATTCTCAGAAACTTCCTTGTGATATGTGCATTCAAGTCACAGCGTTGAATATTCCCTTTCACAGAGTAGGTTTGAAACACTCTTTTTGTAGTATCTGGAAGTGGACATTTGGAGCGCCTTGACGCCCACGGTGAAAAGGGAAATATCTTCCCATAAAAACTAGACAGAAGGAATCTCAGAATCTTCTTTGGGATATATGCACGCAGCTAACAGATTTGAACCTTTCTATTGACAGAGCAGTTTTGAAACAGTCTTTCTGTGGAATCTGCAAGTGGATATTTGGATAGCTTGGAGGATTTCGTTGGAAACGGGATTACGTATAAAAAGTAGACAGCAGCATCCTCAGAAACTTCTTTGTGATGTGTGCATTCAAGTCACAGAGTTGAACATTCCCTTTCGTACAGCAGTTTTGAAACACTCTTTCTGTAGTATCTGGAAGTGAACATTAGGACAGCTTTCAGCTCTATGGTGAGAAAGGAAATATCTTCAAATGAAAACTAGACAGAAGAATTCTCATAAACTTGTTTGTGATGTGTGAACTCAGCTAAGAGAGGTGGATCTTTCTTTTGATAGAGCAGTTCTGAAAAACACTTTTTGTTGAATCTGCAAGTGGACATTTGGATAGATTTGAAGATTTCGTTGGAAACGGGAATATCTTCATATCAAATCTAGACAGAAGCATTCTCAGAAACGTCTTTGTGATGTTTGCATTCAACTCATAGAGTTGAACATTCCCTTTCAGAGAGCAGCTTTGAAGCACTCTTTTTGTAGTATGTGCAAGGGGGTATTTGGAGAGCTCTGAGGCCTAAGGTGAAAAAGCAAATATCTTCCCATAACCACTAGACAGAAACATTCTCAGAAACTCCTTTATGACGTATGCACTCACCTAACAGAGAAGAACCTTCCTTTTGACAGAGCAGTTTTGATACACTCTTTTTGTAGAATCTGAAAGTGGATATTTGGATAGCTGTGAAGATTTCGTTGGAAACGGGAATATCCTCCTATAAAATCTAGACAGAAGCATTCTCAGAAACTGCTCTGTGATGTCTGCATTCAAGTCACAGAGTTGAACATTGCTTTTCGTAGAGCAGGTTTGAAACGCTCTTTTTGTAGTATATGGAAGTAGACGTTTCGGACGGTTTGAGGCCCATGGTGATAAAGGGAATATCTTCCCCTACAAGCTAGAAAGAAGCATTCTGTGAAACTTGTTTGTGATGTGTGTACTCAACTAACAGTGTTGAACCTTTCTTTATACAGAGCAGTTTTGAAACACTCTTTTTGTAGAATCTGCGAGGGGATATTTGGATAGATTTCAGGATTTCGTTGGAAACTGGAATATCTTCATATAAAATCTCGACAGAAGCATTTTCAGAAACTTCTTTGTGATATGTGCATTCAAGTCACAGAGTTGAATATTCCCTTTCACAGAGTAGGTTTGAAACACTCTTTTTGTAGTATCTGGAAGTGGACATTTGGAGCGCCTTGACGCCTATGGTGAAAAGGGAAATATCTTCCCATAAAAACTAGACAGAAGCAATCTCAGAATCTTCTTTGGGATATATGTACGCAGCTAATAGAGTTGAACCTTTCTATTGACAGAGCAGTTTTGAAACAGTCTTTCTGTGGAATCTGCTAGTGGATATTTGGATAGCTTGGAGGATTTCGTTGGAAACGGGATTACGTATAAAAAGTAGACAGCAGCATCCTCAGAAACTTCTTTGTGATGTGTGCATTCAAGTCACAGAGTTGAACATTCCCTTTCCTACAGCAGTTTTGAAACACTCTTTCTGTAGTATCTGGAAGTGAACATTAGGACAGCTTTCAGGTCTATGGTGAGAAAGGAAATATCTTCAAATAAAAACTAGACAGAAGCATTCTCATAAACTTCTTTGTGATGTGTGAACTCAGCTAACAGACGTGGATCTTTCTTTTGATACAGCAGTTTTGAAAAACACTTTTTGTTGAATCTGCAAGTGGACATTTGGATAGATTTGAAGATTTCGTTGGAAACGGGAATATCTTCATATCAAATCTAGACAGAAGCATTCTCAGAAACGTCTTTGTGATGTTTGCATTCAACTCATAGAGTTGAACATTCCCTTCCAGAGAGTAGCTTTGAAGCACTCTTTTTGTAGCATGTGCAAGTGGACATTTGGAGCGCCCTGAGGCCTACGGGGAAAAAGCAAATATCTTCCCATAACCACTTGACAGAAACATTCTCAGAAACTCCTTTATGACGTATGTGCTCAACTAACAGAGAAGAACCTTCCTTTTGACAGAGCAGTTTTGATACACTCTTTTTGTAGAATCTGCAAGTGGATATTTGGATAGCTGTGAAGATTTCGTTGGAAACGGGAATATCTTCCTATAAAATCTAGACAGAAGCATTCTCAGAAACTGCTCTGTGATGTCTGCATTCAAGTCACAGAGTTGAACATTGCCTTTCCTAGAACAGGTTTGAAAAGCTCTTTTTGTAGTACATGGAAGTGGACGTTTCGGACGGTTTGAGGCCCATGGTGATAAAGGGAATATCTTCCCCTACAAGCTAGAAAGAAGCATTCTGTGAAACTTGTTTGTGATGTGTGTACTCAACTAACAGAGTTGAACCTTTCTTTTTACAGAGCAGTTTTGAAACACTCTTTTTGTAGAATCTGCGAGGGGATATTTGGATAGATTTCAGGATTTCGTTGGAAACGGGAATATCTTCATATAAAATCTCGACAGCAGCATTCTCAGAAACTTCTTTGTGATATGTGCATTCAAGTTACAGAGTTGAATATTCCCTTTCACAGAGTAAGTTTGAAACCCTCTTTTAGTAGTATCTGGAAGTGGACATTTGGAGCGCCTTGACGCCTACGGTGAAAAGGGAAATATCTTCCCATAAAAACTAGACAGAAGCAATCTCAGAATCTTCTTTGGGATATATGCACGCAGCTAACAGAGTTGAACCTTTCTATTGACAGAGCAGTTTTGAAACAGTCTTTCTGTGGAATCTGCAAGTGGATATTTGATTAGCTTGGAGGATTTCGTTGGAAACGGGATTAAGTATAAAAAGTAGACAGCAGCATCCTCAGAAACTTCTTTGTGATGTGTGCATTCAAGTCACAGAGTTGAATATTCCCTTTCGTACAGCAGTTTTGAAACACTCTTTCTGTAGTATCTGGAAGTGAAAACTAGGACAGCTTTCAGGTCTATGGTGAGAAAGGAAATATCTTCAAATAAAAACTAGACAGAAAGCATTCTCATAAACTTGTTTCTGATGTGTGAACTCAGCTAACAGACGTGGATCTTTCTTTTGATACAGCAGTTTTGAAAAACACTTTTTGTTGAATCTGCAAGTGGACATTTGGATAGATTTGAAGATTTCGTTGGAAACGGGAATATCTTCATATCAAATCTAGACAGAAGCATTCTCAGAAACGTCTTTGTGATGTTTGCATTCAACCCATAGAGTTGAACATTCCGTTTCAGAGAGCAGCTTTGAGGCACTCTTTTTGTAGTATGTGCAAGTGGATATTTGGTGCGCTGTGAGGCCTACGGTGAAAAAGAAAATATCTTCCCAAAACCACTAGACAAAAACATTCTCAGAAACTCCTTTATGACGTATGCACTCACCTAACAGAGAAGAACCTTCCTTTTGACAGAGCAGTTTTGATACACTCTTTTTGTAGAATCTGCAAGTGGATATTTGGATAGCTGTGAAGATTTCGTTGGAAACGGGAATATCTTCCTATAAAATCTAGACGGAAGCATTCTCAGAAACTGCTCTGTGATGTCTGCATTCAAGTCACAGAGTTGAACATTGCCTTTCATAGAGCAGGTTTGAAACGCTCTTTTTGTAGTATATGGAAGTGGACGTTTCGGACGGTTGGAGGCCCACGGTGATAAAGGGAATATCTTCCCCTACAAGCTAGAAAGAAGCATTGTGTGAAACTTGTTTGTGATGTGTGTTCTCAACTAACAGAGTTGAACCTTTCTTTTTACAGAGCAGTTTTGAAACACTCTTTTTGTAGAATCTGCGAGGGGATATTTGGATACATTTCAGGATTTCGTTGGAAACGGGAATATCTTCATATAAAATCTCGACAGAAGCATTCTCAGAAACTTCCCTTGTGATATGTGCATTCAAGTCACAGAGTTGAATATTCCCTTTCACAGAGTAGGTTTGAAACACTCTTTTTGTAGTATCTGGAAGTGGACATTTGGAGCGCCTTGACACCTACGGTGAAAAGGGAAAAATCTTCCCATAAAAACTAGACAGAAGCAATCTCACAATCTTCTTTGGGATATATGCACGCAGCTAACAGAGTTGAACCTTTCTATTGACAGAGCAGTTTTGAAACAGTCTTTCTGTGGAATCTGCAAGTGGATATTTGGATAGCTTGGAGGATTTCGTTGGAAACGGGATTACGTATAAAAATTAGACAGCAGCATCCTCAGAAACTTCTTTGAGATGTGTGCATTCAAGTCACAGAGTTGAACATTCCCTTTCGTACAGCAGTTTTAAAACACTCTTTCTGTAGTAACTGGAAGTGAACATTAGGACAGCTTTCAGGTCTATGGTGAGAAAGGAAATATCTTCAAATAAAAACTAGACAGAAGCATTCTCATAAACTTGTTTGTGATGTGTGAACTCAGCTAACAGAGGTGGATCTTTCTTTTGATAGAGCACTTCTGAAAAACACTTTTTGTTGAATCTGCAAGTGGACATTTGGATAGATTTGAAGATTTCGTTGGAAACGGGAATATCTTCATATCAAGTCTAGACAGAAGCATTCTCAGAAACGTCTTTGTGATGTTTGCATTCAACTCATAGAGTTGAACATTCCCTTCCAGAGAGCAGCTTTGAAGCACTCTTTTTGTAGCATGTGCAAGTGGACATTTGGAGTGCCCTGAGGCCTACGGGGAAAAAGCAAATATCTTCCCGTAACCACTAGACAGAAACATTCTCAGAAACTCCTTTATGACGTATGCACTCACCTAACAGAAAAGAACCTTCCTTTTGACAGAGCAGTTTTGATACACTCTTTTTGTAGAATCTGCAAGTGGATATTTGGATAGCTGTGAAGATTTCGTTGGAAACGGGAATATCTTCCTATAAAGTCTAGACAGAAGCATTCTCAGAAACTGCTCTGTGATGTCTGCATTCAAGTCACAGAGTTGAACATTGCCTTTCATAGAGCAGGTTTGAAACGCTCTTTTTGTAGTATATGGAAGTGGACGTTTCGGACGGTTTGAGGACCATGGTGATAAAGGGAATATCTTCCCCTACAAGCTAGAAAGAAGCATTCTGTGAAACTTGTTTGTGATGTGTGTGCTCAACTAACAGAGTTGAACCTTTCTTTTTACAGAGCAGTTTTGAAACACTCTTTCTGTAGAATCTGCGAGGGGATATTTGGATAGATTTCAGGATTTCGTTGGAAACGGGAATATCTTCATATAAAATCTCGACAGAAGCATTCTAAGAAGCTTCTTTGTGATATGTGCATTCAAGTCACAGAGTTGAATATTCCCTTTCACAGAGTAGGTTTGAAACACTCTTTTTGTAGTATCTGGAAGTGGACATTTGGAGCGCCTTGACGCCTACGGTGAAAAGGGAAATATCTTCTCATAAAAAGTAGACAGAAGCAATCTCAGAATCTTCTTTGGGATATATGCACGCAGCTAACAGAGTTGAACCTTTCTATTGACAGAGCAGTTTTGAAACAGTCTTTCTGTGGAATCTGCAAGTGGATATTTGGATAGCTTGGAGCATTTCATTGGAAACGGGATTACGTATAAAAAGTAGACAGCAGCATCCTCAGAAACTTCTTTGTGATGTGTGCATTCAAGTCACAGAGTTGAACACTCCCTTTCGTACAGCAGTTTTGAAACACTCTTTCTGTAGTATCTGGAAGTGAACATTAGGACAGCTTTCAGCTCTATGGTGAGAAAGGAAATATCTTCAAATAAAAACTAGACAGAAGCATTCTCATAAACTTGTTTGTGATGTGTGAACTCAGCTAACAGAGGTGGATCTTTCTTTTGATAGAGCAGTTCTGAAAAACACGTTTTGTTAAATCTGCAAGTGGACATTTGGATAGATTTGAAGATGTCGTTGGAAACGGGAATATCTTCATATCAAATCTAGACAGAAGCATTCTCAGAAACACCTTCGTGATGTTTGCAATCAAGTCACAGAGTTGAACCTTCCGTTTCATAGAGCAGGTTGGAAACACTCTTATTGTAGCATGTGCAAGTGGACATTTGGAGCGCCCTGAGGCCTACGGGGAAAAAGCAAATATCTTCCCATAACCACTAGACAGAAACATTCTCAGAAACTCCTTTATGACGTATGTACTCAACTAACAGAGAAGAACCTTCCTTTTGACAGAGCAGTTTTGATACACACTTTTTGTAGAATCTGCAAGTGCATATTTGGATAGCTGTGAAGATTTCGTTGGAAACGGGAATATCTTCCTATAAAATCTAGACAGAAGCATTCTCAGAAACTGCTCTGTGATGTCTGCATTCAAGTCACAGAGTTGAACATTGCCTTTCATAGAGCAGGTTTGAAATGATCTTTTTCTAGTATATGGAAGTGGACGTTTCAGACGGTTTGAGGCCCATGGTGATAAAGGGAATATCTTCCCCTACAAGCTAGAAAGAAGCATTCTGTGAAACTTGTTTGTGATGTGTGTACTCAACTGACAGAGTTGAACCTTTCTTTTTACAGAGCAGTTTTGAAACACTCTTTTTGTAGAATCTGCGAGGGGATATTTGGATAGATTTCAGGATTTCGTTGGAAACGGGAATATCTTCATATAAAATCTCGACAGAAGCATTCTCAGAAACTTCTTTGTGATATGTGCATTCAAGTCAAAGAGTTGAATATTCCCTTTCACAGAGTAGGTTTGAAACACTCTTTTTGTAGTATCTGGAAGTGGACATTTGGAGCGCCTTGACGCCTACGGTGAAAAGGGAAATATCTTCCCATAAAAACTAGACAGAAGCAATCTCAGAATTTTCTTTGGGATATATGCACATAGCTAATAGAGTTGAACCTTTCTATTGACAGAGCAGTTTTGAAACAGTCTTTCTGTGGAATCTGCAAGTGGATATTTGGATAGCTTGGAGGATTTCGTTGGAAACGGGATTACGTATAAAAAGTAGACAGCAGCATCCTCAGAAACATCCTTGTGATGTGTGCATTCAAGTCACAGTAGTTGAACATTCCCTTTCGTACAGCAGTTTTGAAACACTCTTTCTGTAGTATCTGGAAGTGAACTTTAGGACAGCTTTCAGGTCTATAGTGAGAAAGGATATATCTTCAAATAAAAACTAGACAGAAGCATCCTCAGAAACTTCTTTGTGATGTGTGCATTCAAGTCACAGTAGTTGAACATTCCCTTTCGTACAGCAGTTTTGAAACACTCTTTCTGTAGTATCTGGAAGTGAACATTAGGACAGCTTTCAGGTCTATGGTGAGAAAGGAAATATCTTCAAATAAAAACTACACAGAAGCATTCTCAGAAACGTCTTTGTGATGTTTGCATTCAACTCATAGAGTTGAACATTCCCTTTCAGAGAGCAGCTTTGAAGCACTCTTTTTGTAGCATGTGCAAGTGGACATTTGGAGCGCCCTGAGGCCTACGGGGAAAAAGCAAATATCTTCCCATAACCACAAGACAGAAACATTCTCAGAAACTCCTTTATGACGTATGCACTCACCTAACAGAGAAGAAACTTCCTTTTGACAGAGCAGTTTTGATACACTCTTTTTGTAGAATCTGCAAGTGGATATTTGGATAGCTGTGAAGATTTCGCTGGAAACGGGAATATCTTCCTATAAAATCTAGACAGAAGCATTCTGTGAAACTTGTTTGTGATGTGTGTACTCAACTAACAGAGTTGAACCTTTGTTTTTACAGAGCAGTTTTGAAACACTCTTTTTGTAGAATCTGCGAGGGGATATTTGGATAGATTTCAGGATTTCGTTGGAAACGGGAATATCTTCATATAAAATCTCGACAGAAGCATTCTCAGAAACTTCTTTGTGATATGTGCATTCAAGTCACAGAGTTGAATATTCCCTTTCACAGAGTAGGTTTGAAACACTCTTTTTGTAGAATCTGCGAGGGGATATTTGGATAGATTTCAGGATTTCGTTGGAAACGGGAATATCTTCATATAAAATCTCGACGGAAGCATTCTCTGAAACTTCTTTGTGATATGTGCATTCAAGTCACAGAGTTGAATATTCCCTTTCACAGAGTAGGTTTGAAACACTCTTTTTGTAGTATCTGGAAGTGGACATTTGGAGCGCCTTGACGCCTACGGTGAAAAGGGAAATATCTTCCCATAAAAACTAGACAGAAGCAAACTCAGAATCTTCTTTGTGATATATGCACGCAGCTAACAGAGTTGAACCTTTCTATTGACTGAGCAGATTTGAAACAGTCTTTCTGTGGAATCTGCAAGTGGATATTTGGATAGATTGGAGGATTTCGTTGGAAACGGGATTACGTATAAAAAGTACACAGCCGCATCCTCAGAAACATCTTTGTGATGTGTGCATTCAAGTCACAGAGTTGAACATTCCCTTTCGTACAGCAGTTTTGAAACACTCTTTCTGTAGTATCTGGAAGTGAACATTAGGACAGCTTTCAGGTCTATGGTGAGAAAGGAAATATCTTCAAATAAAAACTAGACAGAAGCATTCTCAAAAACTTGTTTGTGATGTGTGAACTCAGCTAACAGAGGTGGATCTTTCTTTTGATAGAGCAGTTCTGAAAAACACTTTTTGTTGAATCTGCAAGTGGACATTTGGATAGATTTGAAGATTTCGTTGGAAACGGGAATATCTTCATATCAAATCTAGACAGAAGCATTCCCAGAAACGTCTTTGTGATGTTTGCATTCAACTCATAGGGTTGAACATTCCCTTTCAGAGAGCAGCTTTGAAGCACTCTTTTTGTAGTATGTGCAAGTGGATATTTGGAGCGCTCTGAGGCCTACGGTGAAAAAGCAAATATCTTCCCATAACCACTAGACAGAAACATTCTCAGAAACTCCTTTATGACGTATGCACTCACCTAACAGAGAAGAACCTTCCTTTTGACAGAGCAGTTTTGATACACTCTTTTTGTAGAATCTGCAAGTGGATATTTGGATAGCTGTGAAGGTTTCGTTGGAAACGGAAATATCTTCCTATAAAATCTAGACAGAAGCATTCTCAGAAACTGCTCTGTGATGTCTGCTTTCAAGTCACAGAGTTGAACATTGCCTTTCATAGAGCAGGTTTGAAACGCTCTTTTTGTAGTATATGGAAGTGGATGTTTCGGACGGTTGGAGGCCCATGGTGATAAAGGGAATATCTTCCCCTACGAGCTAGAAAGAAGCATTGTGTGAAACTTGTTTGTGATGTGTGTACTCAACTAACAGAGTTGAACCTTTCTTTTTACAGAGCAGTTTTGAAACACTCTTTTTGTAGAATCTGCGAGGGGATATTTGGATACATTTCGGGATTTCGTTGGAAACGGGAATATCTTCATATAAAATCTCGACAGAAGCATTCTCAGAAACTTTCCTTGTGATATGTGCATTCAAGTCACAGAGTTGAATATTCCCTTTCACAGAGTAGGTTTGAAACACTCTTTTTGTAGTATCTGGAAGTGGACATTTGGAGCGCCTTGACGCCTACGGTGAAAAGGGAAATATCTTCCCATCAAAACTAGACAGAAGCAATCTCAGAATCTTCTTTGGGATATATGCACGCAGCTAACAGAGTTGAACCTTTCTATTGACAGAGCAGTTTTGAAACAGTCTTTCTGTGGAATCTGCAAGTGGATATTTGGATAGCTTGGAGGATTTCGTTGGAAACGGGATTACGTATCAAATGTAGACAGCAGCATCCTCAGTAAACATCCTTGTGATGTGTGCATTCAAGTCACAGAGTTGAACATTCCCTTTCGTACAGCAGTTTTGAAACACTCTTTCTGTAGTATCTGGAAGTGAACTTTAGGACAGCTTTCAGGTCTATAGTGAGAAAGGATATATCTTCAAATAAAAACTAGACAGAAGCATTCTCATAAACTTGTTTGTGATGTGTGAACTCAGCTAGGAGACGTGGATCTTTCTTTTGATAGAGCAGTTCTGAAAAACACGTTTTGTTGAATCTGCAAGTGGACATTTGGATAGATTTGAAGATTTCGTTGGAAACGGGAATATCTTCATATCAAATCTAGACAGAAGCATTCTCAGAAACGTCTTTGTGATGTTTGCATTCAACTCATAGAGTTGAACATTCCGTTTCAGAGAGCAGGTTTGAAGCACTCTTTTTGTAGTATGTGCAAGTGGATATTTGGAGCGCTCTGAGGCCTACGGTGAAAAAGCAAATATCTTCCCATAATCACTAGACAGAAACATTCTCAGAAACTCCTTTATGACGTATGCACTCACCTAACAGAGAAGAACCTTCCTTTTGACAGAGCAGTTTTGATACACTCTTTTTGTAGAATCTGCAAGTGGATATTTGGGATAGCTGTGAAGATTTCGTTGGAAACGGGCATATCTTCCTATAAAATCTAGACAGAAGCATTCTCAGAAACTGCTCTGTGATGTCTGCATTCAAGTAACAGAGTTGAACATTGCCTTTCATAGAGCAGGTTTGAAACGCTCTTTTTGTAGTATATGGAAGTGGACTTTTCGGACGGTTTGAGGCCCATGGTGATAAAGGGAATATCTTCCCCTACAAGCTAGAAAGAAGCATTGTGTGAAACTTGTTTGTGATGTGTGTACTCAACTGACAGATTTGAACCTTTCTTTTTACAGAGCAGTTTTGAAACACTCTTTTTGTAGAATCTGCGAGGGGATATTTGGATAGATTTCAGGATTTCGTTGGAAACGGGAATATCTTCATATAAAATCTCGACAGATGCATTCTCAGAAACTTCTTTGTGATATGTGCATTCTAGTCACAGAGTTGAATATTCCCTTTCACAGAGTAGGTTTGAAACACTCTTTTTGTAGTATCTGGAAGTGGACATTTGGAGCGCCTTGACGCCTACGGTGAAAAGGGAAATATCTTCCCATGAAAACTAGACAGAAGCAATCTCAGAATCTTCTTTGGGATATATGCACGCAGCTAACAGAGTTGAACCTTTCTATTGACAGAGCAGTTTTGAAACAGTCTTTCTGTGGAATCTGCAAGTGGATATTTGGATAGCTTGGAGGATTTCGTTGGAAACGGGATTACGTATAAAAATTAGACAGCAGCATCCTCAGAAACTTCCTTGTAATGTGTGCATTCAAGTCACAGAGTTGAACATTCCCTTTCCTACAGCAGTTTTGAAACACTCTTTCTGAAGTATCTGGAAGTGAACTTTAGGAGAGCTTTCATGTCTATAGTGAGAAAGGCTATATCTTCAAATAAAAAATAGACAGAAGCATTTTTAAAAACTTGTTTGTGATGTGTGAACTCAACTAACAGAGGTGGATCTTTCTTTCGATACAGCAGTTTTGAAAAACACTTTTTGTTGAATCTGCAAGTGGACATTTGGATAGATTGGAAGATTTCTTTGGAAACGGGAATATCTTCATATCAAATCTAGACAGAAGCATTCTCAGCAAACGTCTTTGTGATGTTTGCATTCAACCCATAGAGTTGAACATTCCCTTTCAGAGAGCAGCTTTGAAGCACTCTTTTTGTAGTATGTGCAAGGGGATATTTGGAGCGCTCTGAGGCCTAAGGTGAAAAAGCAAATATCTTCCCATAACCACTAGACAGAAACATTCTCAGAAACTCCTTTATGACGTATGCACTCACCTAACAGAGAAGAACCTTCCTTTTGACAGAGCAGTTTTGATACACTCTTTTTGTAGAATCTGCAAGTGGATATTTGGATAGCTGTGAAGATTTCGTTGGAAACGGGAATAACTTCCTATAAAATGTAGACAGAAGCATTCTCAGAAACTGCTCTGTGATGTCTGCATTCAAGTCACAGAGTTGAACATTGCCTTTCATAGAGCAGGTTTGAAACGCTCTTTTTGTAGTATATGGAAGTGGACGTTTCGGACGGTTTGAGGCCCATGGTGATAAAGGGAATATCTTCCCCTACAAGCTAGAAGGAAGCATTCTGTGAAACTTGTTTGTGATGTGTGTACTCAGCTAATAGAGTTGAACCTTTCTTTATACAGAGCAGTTTTGAAACACTCTTTTTGTAGAATCTGCGAGGGGATATTTGGATAGATTTCAGGATTTCGTTGGAAACGGGAATATCTTCATATAAAATCTCGACAGAAGCATTCTCAGAAACTTCTTTGTGATATCTGCATTCAAGTCACAGAGTTGAATATTCCCTTTCACAGAGTAGGTTTGAAACACTCTTTTTGTAGTATTTGGATGTGGACATTTTGAGCGCCTTGACGCCTACGGTGAAAAAGGAAATATCTTCCCATAAAAACTAGACAGAAGCAATCTCCGAATCTTCTTTGGGATGTATGCACGCAGCTAACAGAGTTGAACCTTTCTATTGACAGAGCAGTTTTGAAACAGTCTTTCTGTGGAATCTGCAAGTGGATATTTGGATAGCTTGGAGGATTTCGTTGGAAACGGGATTACGTATAAAAAGTAGACAGCAGCATTCTCAGAAACATCTTTGTGATGTGTGCATTCAAGTCAAAGTGTTGAACATTCCCTTTCGTACAGCAGGTTTGAAACACTCTTTCTGTAGTATCTGGAAGTGAACGGGACGAGAGCTTTCAGGCCTATAGTGAGAAAGGAGATATCTTCAAATAAAAACTAGACAGAAGCATTCTCATAAACTTGTTTGTGATGTGTGAACTCAGCTAACAGAGGTGGATCTTTCTTTTGATAGAGCAGTTCTGAAAAACACTTTTTGTTGAATCTGCAAGTGGACATTTTGATAGATATGAAGATTTCGTTGGAAACGGGAATATCTTCATATCAAATCTAGACAGAAGCATTCTCAGAAACGTCTTTGTGATGTTTGCATTGAACTCATAGAGTTGAACATTCCGTTTCAGAGACCAGCTTTGAAGCACTCTTTTTGTAGTATGTGCAAGTGGATATTTGGAGCGCTCTGAGGCCTACGGTGAAAAAGCAAATATCTTCCCATAACCACTAGACAGAAACATTCTCAGAAACTCCTTTATGACGTATGTACTCAACTAACAGAGAAGAACCTTCCTTTTGACAGAGCAGTTTTGATAAACTCATTTTGTAGAATCTGCAAGTGGATATTTGGATAGCTGTGAAGATTTCGCTGGAAACGGGAGTATCTTCCTATAAAATCTAGACAGAAGCATTCTCAGAAACTGCTCTGTGATGTCTGCATTCAAGTCACAGAGTTGAACATTGCCTTTCATAGAGCAGGTTTGAAATGCTCTTTTTGTAGTATATGGAAGTTGACGTTTCGGACGGTTTGAGGCCCATGGTGATAAAGGGAATATCTTCCCCTACAAGCTAGAAAGAAGCATTCTGTGAAACTTGTTTGTGATGTGTGTACTCAACTAACAGAGTTGAACCTTTCTTTTCACAGAGCAGTTTTGAAACACTCTTTTTGTAGAATCTGCGAGGGGATATTTGGATAGATTTCAGGATTTCGTTGGGAACGGGAATATCTTCATATAAAATCTCGACAGAAGCATTCTCAGAAACTTCCTTGTGATATGTGCATTCAAGTCACAGTGTTGAATATTCCCTTTCACAGAGTAGGTTTGAAACACTCTTTTTGTAGTATCTGGAAGTGGACATTTGGAGCGCCTTGACGCCTACGGTGAAAAGGGAAATATCTTCCCATAAAAACTAGACAGAAGCAATCTCAGAATCTTCTTTGGGATATATGTACGCAGCTAATAGAGTTGAACCTTTCTATTGACAGAGCAGTTTTGAAACAGTCTTTCTGTGGAATCTGCAAGTGGATATTTGGATACCTTGGAGGATTTCGTTGGAAACGGGATTACGTATAAAAAGTAGACAGCAGCATCCTCAGAAACTTCTTTGTGATGTGTGCATTCAAGTCACAGAGTTGAACATTCCCTTTCGTACAGCAGTTTTGAAACACTCTTTCTGTAGTATCTGGAAGTGAACATTAGGACAACTTTCAGCTCTATGGTGAGAAAGGAAATATCTTCAAATAAAAACTAGACAGAAGCATTCTCATAAACTTGTTTGTGATGTGTGAACTCAGCTAACGGAGGTGGATCTTTCTTTTGATAGAGCAGTTCTGAAAAACACTTTTTGTTGAATCTGCAAGTGGACATTTGGATAGATTTGAAGATTTCGTTGGAAACGGGAATATCTTCATATCAAATCTAGACAGAAGCTTCTCAGAAACGTCTTTGTGATGTTTGCATTCAACTCATAGAGTTGAACATTCCCTTTCAGAGAGCAGCTTTGAAGCACTGTTTTTGTAGTATGTGCAAGTGGATATTTGGAGCGCTCTGAGGCCTAAGGTGAAAAAGCAAATATCTTCCCATAACCACTAGACAGAAACATTCTCAGAAACTCCTTTATGACGTATGCACTCACCTAACAGAGAAGAACCTTCCTTTAGACAGAGCAGTTTTGATACACTCTTTTTGTAGAATCTGCAAGTGGATATTTGGATAGCTGTGAAGATTTCGTTGGAAACGGGAATATCTTCCTATAAAATCTAGACAGAAGCATTCTCAGAAACTGCTCTGTGATGTCTGCATTCAAGTTACAGAGTTGAACATTGCCTTTCATAGAGCAGGTTTGAAACGCTCTTTTTGTAGTATATGGAAGTGGACGTTTCGGACGGTTTGAGGCCCATGGTGATAAAGGGAATATCTTCCCCTACAAGCTAGAAAGAAGCATTCTGTGAAACTTGTTTGTGATGTGTGTACTCAACTAACAGAGTTGAACCTTTCTTTTTACAGAGCAGTTTTGAAACACTCTTTTTGTAGAATCTGCGAGGGGATATTTGGATAGATTTCAGGATTTCGTTGGAAACGGGAATATCTTCATATAAAATCTCGACAGAAGCATTCTCAGAAACTACTTTGTGATATCTGCATTCAAGTCACAGAGTTGAATATTCCCTTTCACAGAGTAGGTTTGAAACACTCTTTTTGTAGTATCTGGAAGTGGACATTTGGAGCGCCTTGACACCTACGGTGAAAAAGGGAAATATCTTCCCATAAAAACTAGACAGAAGGAATCTCAGAATCTTCTTTGGGATATATGCACGCAGCTAACAGAGTTGAACCTTTCTATTGATAGAGCAGTTTAGAAACAGTCTTTCTGTGGAATCTGCAAGTGGATATTTGGATAGCTTGGAGGATTTCGTTGGAAACGGGATTACGTATAAAAAGTAGACAGCAGCATCCTCAGAAACTTCTTTGTGATGTGTGCATTCAAGTCACAGAGTTGAACATTCCCTTTCGTACAGCAGTTTTGAAACACTCTTTCTGTAGTATCCGGAAGTGAACATTAGGACAGCTTTCAGCTCTATGGTGAGAAAGGAAATATCTTCAAATAAAAACTAGACAGAAGCATTCTCATAAACTTGTTTGTGATGTGAGAACTCAGCTAACAGAGGTGGATCTTTCTTTTGATAGAGCAGTTCTGAAAAACACTTTTTGTTGAATCTGCAAGTGGACATTTGGATAGATTTGAAGATTTCGTTGGAAACGGGAATATCTTCATATCAAATCTAGACAGAAGCATTCTCAGAAACGTCTTTGTGATGTTTGCATTCAACTCATAGAGTTGAACATTCCGTTTCAGAGAGCAGCTTTGAAGCACTCTTTTTGTAGTATGTGCAAGTGGATATTTGGTGCGCTCTGAGGCCTACGGTGAAAAAGCAAATATCTTCCCATAACCACTAGACAGAAACATTCTCAGAAACTCCTTTATGACGTATGCACTCACCTAACAGAGAAGAACCTTCCTTTTGACAGAGCAGTTTTGATACACTCTTTTTGTAGAATCTGCAAGTGGATATTTGAATAGCATTGAAGATTTCGTTGGAAACGGGAATATCTTCGTATAAAATCTAGACAGCAGCATTCTGAGAAACTGCTCTGTGATGTCTGCATTCAAGTCACAGAGTTGAACATTGCCTTTCATAGAGCAGGTTTGAAACGCTCTTTTTGTAGTATATGGAAGTGGACGTTTCGGACGGTTTGAGGCCCATGGTGATAAAGGGAATATCTTCCCCTACAAGCTAGAAAGAAGCATTCTGTGAAACTTGTTTGTGATGTGTGTACTCAACTAACAGAGTTGAACCTTTCTTTTTACAGAGCAGTTTTGAAACACTCTTTTTGTAGAATCTGCGAGGGGATATTTGGATACATTTCAGCATTTTGTTGGAAACGGGAATATCTTCATATAAAATCTCGACAGAAGCATTCTCAGAAACTTATTTGTGATATCTGCATTCAAGTCACAGAGTTGAATATTCCCTTTCACAGAGTAGGTTTGAAACACTCTTTGTAGTATCTGGAAGTGGACATTTGGAGCGCCTTGACGCCTACGGTGAAAAGGGAAATATCTTCCCATAAAAACAAGACAGAAGCAATCTCAGAATCTTCTTTGGGATATATGCACGCAGCTAACAGAGTTGAACCTTTCTATTGACAGAGCAGTTTTGAAACAGTCTTTCTGTGGAATCTGCAAGTGGATATTTGGATAGATTGGAGGATTTCGTTGGAAAGGGGATTACGTATCAAAAGTAGACAGCAGCATCCTCAGAAACTTCTTTGTGATGTGTGCATTCAAGTCACAGAGTTGAACATTCCCTTTCGTACAGCAGTTTTGAAACACTCTTTCTGTAGCATCTGGAAGTAAACATTAGGACAGCTTTCAGGTCTATGGTGAGAAAGGAAATATCTTCAAATAAAAACTAGACAGAAGCATTCTCATAAACTTGTTTGTGATGTCTGAACTCAGCTAACAGAGGTGGATCTTTCTTTTGATAGAGCAGTTCTGAAAAACACTTTTTGTTGAATCTGCAAGTGGACATTTGGATAGATTTGAAGATTTCGTTGGAAACGGGAATATCTTCATATCAATCTAGACAGAAGCATTCTCAGAAACGTCTTTGTGATGTTTGCATTCAACTCATAGAGTTGAACATTCCGTTTCAGAGAGCAGGTTTGAAGCACTCTTTTTGTAGTATGTGCAAGTGGATATTTGGAGCGCTCTGAGGTCTACGGTGAAAAAGCAAATATCTTCCCATAACCACTAGACAGAAACATTCTCAGAAACTTCTTTATGACGTATGTACTCAACTAGCAGAGAAGAACTTTCCTTTTGACAGAGCATTTTTGATACACTCTTTTTGTACTATCTGCAAGTGGATATTGGGATAGCTGTGAAGATTTCGTTGGAAACGGGAATATCTTCCTATAAAGTCTGGACAGAAGCATTCTCAGAAACTGCTCTGTGATGTCTGGATTCAAGTCACAGAGTTGAACATTGCCTTTCATAGAGCAGGTTTCAAACACTCTTTTTTTAGTATATGGAAGTGGATGTTTCGGACGGTTTGAGGTCCATGGTGATACAGGGAATATCTTCCCCTACAAGCTAGAAAGAAGCATTCTGTGAAACTTGTTTGTGATGTGTGTACTCAACTAACAGAGTTGAACCTTTCTTTTTACAGAGCAGTTTTGAAACACTCTTTTTGTAGAATCTGCGAGGGGATATTTGGATAGATTTCAGGATTTCATTGGAAACGGGAATATCTTCATAGAAAATCTCGACAGAAGCATTCTCAGAAACTTCTTTGTGATATGTGCATTCAAGTCACAGAGTTGAATATTCCCTTTCACAGAGTAGGTTTGAAACACTCTTTTTGTAGTATCTGGAAGTGGACATTTGGAGCGCCTTGACGCCTACGGTGAAAAGGGAAATATCTTCTCATAAAAAGTAGACAGAAGCAATCTCAGAATCTTCTTTGGGATATATGCACGCAGCTAACAGAGTTGAACCTTTCTATTGACAGAGCAGTTTTGAAACAGTCTTTCTGTGGAATCTGCAAGTGGATATTTGGATAGCTTTGAGGATTTCGTTGGAAACGGGATTACGTACAAAAAGTAGACAGCAGCATCCTCAGAAACTTCTTTGTGATGTATGCATTCAAGTCACAGAGTTGAACATTCCCTTTCGTACAGCAGTTTTGAAACACTCTTTCTGTAGTATCTGGAAGTGAACATTAGGACAGCTTTCAGGTCTATGGTGAGAAAGGAAATATCTTCAAATAAAAACTAGACAGAAGCATTCTCATAAACTTGTTTGTGATGTGTGAACTCAGCTAAGAGACGTGGATCTTTCTTTTGATAGAGCAGTTCTGAAAAACACTTTTTGTTGAATCTGCAAGTGGACATTTGGGTAGATTTGAAGATTTCTTTGGAAACGGGAATATCTTCATATCAAATCTAGACAGAAGCATTCTCAGAAACGTCTTTGTGATGTTTGCATTCAACTCATAGAGTTGAACATTCCCTTTCAGAGAGCAGCTTTGAAGCACTCTTTTTGTAGTATGTGCAAGTGGATATTTGGAGCGCTCTGAGGCCTATAGGGAAAAAGCAAATATCTTCCCATAACCACTAGACAGAAACATTCTCAGAAACTCCTTTATGACGTATGTACTCAACTAACAGAGAAGAACCTTCTTTTTGACAGAGCAGTTTTGATACACTCTTTTTGTAGAATCTGCAAGTGGATATTTGGATAGCTGTGAAGATTTCGTTGGAAACGGGAATATCTTCCTATAAAATCTAGACAGAAGCATTCTCAGAAACTGCTCTGTGATGTCTGCATTCAAGTCACAGAGTTGAACATTGCCTTTCATAGAGCAGGTTTGAAACGCTCTTTTTGTAGTATATGGAAGTGGATGTTTCGGACGGTTTGAGGCCCATGGTGATAAAGGGAATATCTTCCCCTACAAGCTAGAAAGAAGCATTCTGTGAAACTTGTTTGTGATGTGTGTACTCAACTAACAGAGTTGAACCTTTCTTTTTACAGAGCAGTTTTGAAACACTCTTTTTGTAGAATCTGCGAGGGGATATTTGGATAGATTTCAAGATTTCGTTGGAAACGGGAATATCTTCATAAAAAATCTCGACAGAAGCATTCTCAGAAACTTCTTTGTGATATGTGCATTCAAGTCAGAGAGTTGAATATTCCCTTTCACAGAGTAGGTTTGAAACACTCTTTTTGTAGTATCTGGAAGTGGACATTTTGAGCACCTTGACGCCTACGGTGAAAAGGGAAATATCTTCTCATAAAAAGTAGACAGAAGCAATCTCAGAATCTTCTTTGGGATATATGCACGCAGCTAACAGATTTGAACCTTTCTATTGACAGAGCAGTTTTGAAACAGTCTTTCTGTGGAATCTGCAAGTGGATATTTGGATAGCTTGGAGGATTTCGTTGGAAACGGGATTACGTATAAAAAGTAGACAGCAGCATCCTCAGAAACTTCTTTGTGATGTGTGCATTCAAGTCACAGAGTTGAACATTCCCTTTCGTACAGCAGTTTTGAAACACTCTTTCTGTAGTATCTGTAAGTGAACATTAGGACAGTTTTCAGGTCTATGGTGAGAAAGGAAATATCTTCAAATAAAAACTAGACAGAAGCATTCTCATAAACTTGTTTGTGATGTGTGAACTCAGCTAACAGAGATGGATCTTTCTTTTGATAGAGCAGTTCGGAAAAACACTTTTTGTTGAATCTGCAAGTGGACATTTGGATAGATTTGAAGATTTCGTTGGAAACGGGAATATCTTCATATCAAATCTAGACAGAAGCATTCTCAGAAACGTCTTTGTGATGTTTGCATTCAACTCATAGAGTTGAACATTCCGTTTCAGAGAGCAGCTTTGAAGCACTCTTTTTGTAGTGTGTGCAAGTGGATATTTGGAGCGCTGTGAGGCCTACGGTGAAAAAGCAAATATCTTCCCATAACCACTAGACAGAAACATTCTCAGAAACTCTTTTATGACGTATGCACTCACCTAGCAGAGAAGAACCTTCCTTTTGACAGAGCAGTTTTGATACACTCCTTTTGTAGAATCTGCAAGTGGATATTTGGATAGCTGTGAAGATTTCGTTGGAAACGGGAATATCTTCCTATAAAATCTAGACAGAAGCATTCTCAAGAAACTGCTCTGTGATGTCTGCATTCAAGTCACAGAGTTGAACATTGCCTTTCATAGAGCAGGTTTGGAATGCTCTTTTTGCAGTATATGGAAGTGGACGTTTCAGACGGTTTGAGGCCCATGGTGATAAAGGGAATATCTTCCCCTACAAGCTAGAAAGAAGCATTCTGTGATACTTGTTTGTGATGTGTGTACTCAACTAACAGAGTTGAACCTTTCTTTTTACAGAGCAGTGTTGAAACACTCTTTTTGTAGAATCTGCGAGGGGATATTTGGATAGATTTCAGGATTTCGTTGGAAACGGGAATATCTTCATATAAAATCTCGACGGAAGCATTCTCAGAAACATCTTTGTGATATCTGCATTCAAGTCACAGAGTTGAATATTCCCTTTCACCAAGTAGGTTTGAAACACTCTTTTTGTAGTATCTGGAAGTGGACATTGGGAGCGCCTTGACACCTACGGTGAAAAGGGAAATATCTTCCCATAAAAACTAGACAGAAGCAATCTCAGAATCTTCTTTGGGATATATGCACGCAGCTAACAGAGTTTAACCTTTCTATTGACAGAGCAGTTTTGAAACAGTGTTTCTGTGGAATCTGCAAGTGGATATTTGGATAGATTGGAGGATTTCGTTGGAAACGGGATTACATATAAAAAGTAGACAGCAGCATCCTCAGAAACTTCTTTGTGATGTGTGCATTCAAGTCACAGAGTTGAACATTCCCTTTCGTACAGCAGTTTTGAAACACTCTTTCTGTAGTATCTGGAAGTGAACATTAGGACAGCTTTCAGCTCTATGGTGAGAAAGGAAATATCTTCAAATAAAAACTGGACAGAAGCATTCTCATAAACTTGCTTGTGATGTGTGAACTCAGCTAACAGAGGTGGATCTTTCTTTTGATAGAGCAGTTCTGAAAAACACTTTTTGTTGAATCTGCAAGTGGACATTTGGATAGATTTGAAGATTTTGTTGGAAACGGGAATATCTTCATATCAAGTCTAGACAGAAGCATTCTCAGAAACGTCTTTGTGATGTTAGCATTCAACTCATAGAGTTGAACATTCCCTTTCAGAGAGCAGCTTTGAAGCACTCTTTTTGTAGTACGTTGAAGTGGACATTTGGAGCGCTTTGAGGCCTACAGGGAAAAAGCAAATATCTTCCCATAACCACTAGACAGGAACATTCTCAGAAACTTCTTTATGACGTATGTACTCAACTAGCAGAGAAGAACTTTCCTTTTGACAGAGCATTTTTGATACACTCTTTTTGTACTATCTGCAAGTGGATATTTGGATAGCTGTGAAGATTTCGATGGAAACGGGAATATCTTCCTATAAAGTCTGGACAGAAGCATTCTCAGAAACTGCTCTGTGATGTCTGCATTCAAGTCACAGAGTTGAACATTGCCTTTCATAGAGCAGGTTTCAAACACTCTTTTTTTAGTATATGGAAGTGGACGATTCGGATGGTTTGAGGATGATGGTGATAAAGGAAATATCTTCCCCTACAAGCTAGAAAGAAGCATTGTGTGAAACTTGTTTGGGATGTGTGTACTCAACTAACAGAGTTGAACCTTTCTTTTTACAGAGCAGTTTTGAAACACTCTTTTTGTAGAATCTGCGAGGGGATATTTGGATAGATTTCAGGATTTCGTTGGAAACGGGAATATCTTCATATAAAATCTCGACAGAAGCATTCTCAGAAACTTCTTTGTGATATCTGCATTCAAGTCACAGAGTTGAATATTCCCTTTCACAGTGTAGGTTTGAAACACTCTTTTGTAGTATCTGGAAGTATACATTTGGAGCGCCTTGACGCCTACGGTGAAAAGGGAAACATCTTCCCATAAAAACTAGACAGAAGCAATCTCAGAATCTTCTTTGGGATATATGCACGCAGCTAACAGAGTTGAACCTTTCTATTGACAGAGCAGTTTTGAAACAGTCTTTCTGTGGAATCTGCAAGTGGATATTTGGTTAGATTGGAGGATTTCGTTGGAAACGGGATTACGTATAAAAAGTAGACAGCAGCATTCTCAGAAACTTCTTTGTGATGTGTGCATTCAAGTCACAGAGTTGAACATTCCCTTTCGTACAGCAGTTTTGAAACACTCTTTCTGTAGTATCTGGAAGTGAACATTAGGACAGCTTTCAGGTCTATGGTGAGAAAGGAAATATCTTCAAATAAAAACTAGACAGAAAGCATTCTCATAAACTTGTTTGTGATGTGTGAACTCAGCTAACAGAGGTGGATCTTTCTTTTGATAGAGCAGTTCTGAAAAACACTTTTTGTTGAATCTGCAAGTGGACATTTGGATAGATTTGAAGATTTCTTTGGAAACGGGAATATCTTCATATCAAATCTAGACAGAAGCATTCTCAGAAACGTCTTTGTGATGTTTGCATTCAACTCACAGAGTTGAACATTCCCTTTCAGAGAGCAGCTTTGAAGCACTCTTTTTGTAGTATGTGCAAGGGGATATTTGGAGCGCTCTGAGGCCTACGGTGAAAAAGCAAATATCTTCCCATAACCACTAGACAGAAAGATTCTCAGAAACTCCTTTATGACGTATGTACTCAACTAACAGAGAAGAACCTTCCTTTTGACAGAGCAGTTTTGATACACTCTTTTTGTAGAATCTGCAAGTGGATATTTGGATAGCTGTGAAGATTTCGTTGGAAACGGGAATATCTTCCTATAAAATCTAGACAGAAGCATTCTCAGAAACTGCTCTGTGATGTCTGCATTCAAGTCACAGAGTTGAACATTGCCTTTCATAGAGCAGGTTTGAAACGCTCTTTTTGTAGTATATGGAAGTGGATGTTTCGGACGGTTGGAGGCCCATGGTGATAAAGGGAATATCTTCCCCTACAAGCTAGAAAGTAGCATTCTGTGAAACTTGTTTGTGATGTGTGTACTCAACTAACAGAGTTGAACCTTTCTTTTTACAGAGCGGTTTTGAAACACTCTTTTTGTAGAATCTGCGAGGGGATATTTGGATAGATTTCAGGATTTCGTTGGAAACGGGAATATCTTCATAGAAAATCTCGACAGAAGCATTCTCAGAAACTTCTTTGTGATATCTGCATTCAAGTCACAGAGTTGAATATTCCCTTTCACAGAGTAGGTTTGAAACACTCTTTTTGTAGCATCTGGAAGTGGACATTTGGAGCGCCTTGACACCTACGGTGAAAAGGGAAATATTTTCCCATAAAAACTAGACAGAAGCAATCTCAGAATCTTCTTTGGGATATATGCACGCAGGTAACAGAGTTGAACCTTTCTATTGACAGAGCAGTTTTGAAACAGTCTTTCTGTGGAATCTGCAAGTGGATATTTGGATAGCTTGGAGGATTTCGTTGGAAACGGGATTACGTATAAAAAGTAGAAAGCAGGATCCTCAGAAACTTCTTTGTGATGTGTGCATTCAAGTCACAGAGTTGAACATTCCCTTTCGTACAGCAGTTTTGAAACACTCTTTCTGTAGTATCTGGAAGTGAACATTACGACAGCTTTCAGGTCTATGGTGAGAAAGGAAATATCTTCAAATAAAAACTAGACAGAAGCATTCTCATAAACTTGTTTGTGATGTGTGAACTCAGCTAACAGAGGTGGATCTTTCTTTTGATAGAGCAGTTCTGAAAAACACTTTTTGTTGAATCTGCAAGTGGGCATTTGGATAGATTTGAAGATTTCAGTTGGAAACGGGAATATCTTCATATCAAATCTAGACAGAAGCATTCTCAGAAACGTCTTTGTGATGTTTGCATTCAACTCATAGAAGTTGAACATTCCGTTTCAGAGAGCAGCTTTGAAGCACTCTTTTTGTAGCATGTGCAAGTGGATATTTGGAGCGCTCTGAGGCCTACGGTGAAAAAGCAAATATCTTCCCATAACCAGTAGACAGAAACATTCTCAGAAACTCCTTTATGACGTGTGCACTCACCTAACAGAGAAGAACCTTCCTTTTGACAGAGCAGTTTTGATACACTCTTTTTGTAGAATCTGCAAGTGGATATTTGGATAGCTGTGAAGATTTCTTTGGAAACGGGAATATCTTCCTATAAAATCTAGACAGAAGCATTCTCAGAAACTGCTCTGTGATGTCTGCATTCAAGTCACAGAGTTGAACATTGCCTTTCATAGAGAAGGTTTGAAACGCTCTTTTTGTAGTATATGGATGTGGACGTTTCGGACGGTTTGAGGCCCATGGTGATAAAGGGAATATCTTCCCCTACCAGCTAGAAAGAAGCATTCTGTGAAACTTGTTTGTGATGTGTGTACTCAACTAACAGAGTTGAACCTTTCTTTTTACAGAGCAGTTTTGAAACACTCCTTTTGTAGAATCTGTGAGGGGATATTTGGATAGATTTCAGGATTTCGTTGGAAACGGGAATATCTTCATATAAAATCTCGACAGAAGCATTCTCAGAAACTTCTTTGTGATATGTGCATTCAAGTCACAGAGTTGAATATACCCTTTCACAGAGTAGGTTTGAAACACTCTTTTTGTAGTATCTGGAAGTGGACATTTGGAGCGCCTTGACGCCTACGGTGAAAAGGGAAATATCTTCCCATAAAAACTAGACAGAAGCAATCTCAGAATCTTCTTTGGGATATATGCACGCAGCTAACAGAGTTGAACCTTTCTATTGACAGAACAGTTTTGAAAGAGTCTTTCTGTGGAATCTGCAACTGGATATTTGGATAGCTTGGAGGATTTCGTTGGAAACGGGATTACGTATAATAAGTAGACAGCAGCATTCTCAGAAACTTCTTTGTGATGTGTGCATTCAAGTCACAGAGTTCAACATTCCCTTTCGTACAGCAGTTTTGAAACACTCTTTCTGTAGTATCTGGAAGTGAACATTAGGACAGCTTTCAGGTCTATGGTGAGAAAGGAAATATCTTCAAATAAAAACTAGACAGAAGCATTCTCATAAACTTGTTTGTGATGTGTGAACTCAGCTAACAGAGGTGGATCTTTCTTTTGATAGAGCAGTTCTGAAAAACACTTTCTGTTGAATCTGCAAGTGGACATTTGGATAGATTTGAAGATTTCGTTGGAAATGGGAATATCTTCATATCAAATCTAGACAGAAGCATTCTCGGAAACGTCTTTGTCATGTTTGCATTCAACTCATAGAGTTGAACATTCCGTTTCAGAGAGCAGCTTTGAAGCACTCTTTTTGTAGTATGTGCAAGGGGATATTTGGAGCGCTGTGAGGCCTACGGTGAAAAAGCAAATATCTTCCCATAACCACTAGACAGAAACATTCTCAGAAACTCCTTTATGACGTATGTACTCAACTAACAGCGAAGAACCTTCCTTTTGACAGAGCAGTTTTGATACACTCTTTTTGTAGAATCTGCAAGTGGATATTTGGATAGCTGTGAAGATTTCGTTGGAAACGGGAATATCTTCCTATAAAATCTAGACAGAAGCATTCTCAGAAACTGCTGCTGTGATGTCTGCATTCAAGTCACAGAGTTGAACATTGCCTTTCATAGAGCAGGTTTGAAACGCTCTTTTTGTAGTATATGGAAGTGGACTTATCGGACGGTTTGAGGCCCATGGTGATAAAGGGAATATCTTCCCCTACAAGCTAGAAAGAAGCATTCTGTGAAACTTGTTTGTGATGTGTGTACTCAACTAACAGAGTTGTACCTTTCTTTTTACAGAGCAGTTTTGAAACACTCTTTTTGTAGAATCTGCGAGGGGATAATTGGATAGATTTCAGGATTTCATTGGAAACGGGAATATCTTCATATAAAATCTCGACAGAAGCATTCTCAGAAACTTCTTTGTGATATGTGCATTCAAGTCACAGAGTTGAATATTCCCTTTCACAGAGGAGGTTTGAAACACTCTTTTTGTAGTATCTGGAAGTGGACATTCGGAGCGCCTTGACGCCTACGGTGAAAAGGGAAATATCTTCCCATAAAAACTAGACAGAAGCAATCTCAGAATCTTCTTTGGGATATATGCACACAGCTAACAGAGTTGAACCTTTCTATTGACAGAGCAGTTTTGAAACAGTCTTTCTGTGGAATCTGCAAGTAGATATTTGGATAGATTGGAGGATTTCATTGGAAACGGGATTACGTATAAAAAGTAGACAGCAGCATCCTCAGAAACTTCTTTGTGATGTGTGCATTCAAGTCACAGAGTTGAACATTCCCTTTCGTACAGCAGTTTTGAAACACTCTTTCTGTAGTATCTGGAAGTGAACATTAGGACAGCTTTCAGGTCGATGGTGAGAAAGGCAATATCTTCAAATAAAAACTAGACAGAAGCATTCTCATAAACTTGTTTGTGATGTGTGAACTCAGCTTAGAGACGTGGCATCTTTCTTTTGATAGAGCAGTTCTGAAAAACACGTTTTGTTGAATCTGCAAGCGGACATTTGGATAGATTTGAAGATTTCGTTGGAAACGGGAATATCTTCATATCAAATCTAGACAGAAGCATTCTCAGAAACGTCTTTGTGATGTTTGCATTCAACTCATAGAGTTGAACATTCCCTTTCAGAGAGCAGCTTTGAAGCACTCTTTTTGTAGGATGTGCAAGGGGATATTTGGAGCGCTCTGAGGCCTAAGGTGAAAAAGCAAATATCTTCCCATAACCACTAGACAGAAACATTCTCAGAAACTCCTTTATGACGTATGCACTCACCTAACAGAGAAGAACCTT
Organism: Homo sapiens; assembly: GCF_000001405.40. Taxonomy (NCBI): domain Eukaryota; kingdom Metazoa; phylum Chordata; class Mammalia; order Primates; family Hominidae; genus Homo; species Homo sapiens. The sequence continues at coordinate 16,585,495 of NC_000013.11, forward strand.
CCTTTTGACAGAGCAGTTTTGATACACTCTTTTTGTAGAATCTGCAAGTGGATATTTGGATAGCTGTGAAGATTTCGTTGGAATCGGGAATATCATCCTATAAAATCTAGACAGAAGCATTCTCAGAAACAGCTCTGTGATGTCTGCATTCAAGTCACAGAGTTGAACATTGCCTTTCATAGAGCAGGTTTGAAACGCTCTTTTTGAAGTATATGGAAGTGGACGTTTCGGACGGTTTGAGGCCCATGGTGATAAAGGGAATATCTTTCCCTACAAGCTACAAACAAGCATTCTGTGAAACTTGTTTGTGATGTGTGTACTCAATTAACAGAGTTGAACCTTACTTTTTAAAGAGCAGTTTTGAAACACTCTTTTTGTAGAATCTGCGAGGGGATATTTGGATAGATTTCAGGATTTCGTTGGAAACGGGAATATCTTCATATAAAATCTCGACAGAAGCATTCTCAGAAACTTCTTTGTGATATGTGCATTCAAGTCACAGAGTTGAATATTCCCTTTCACAGAGTAGGTTTGAAACACTCTTTTTGTAGTATCTGGAAGTGGACATTTGGAGCGCCTTGACACCTACGGTGCAAAGGGAAATATCTTCCCATAAAAACTAGACAGAAGTAATCTCAGAATCTTCTTTGGGATATATGCACGCAGCTAACAGAGTTGAACCTTTCTATTGACAGAGCAGTTTTGAAACAGTCTTTCTGTGGAATCTGCAAGTGGATATTTGGATGGCTTGGAGGATTTCGTTGGAAACGGGATTACGTATAAAAATTGGACAGCAGCATTCTCAGAAACTTCTTTGTGATGTGTGCATTCAAGTCAAAGTGTTGAACATTCCCTTTCGTACAGCAGTTTTGAAACACTCTTTCTGTAGTATCTGGAAGTGAACGTGATGAGAGCTTTCAGGTCTATGGTAAGAAAGGAAATATCTTCAAATAAAAACTAGACAGAAGCATTCTCATAAACTTGTTTGTGATGTGTGAACTCAGCTAACAGAGGTGGATCTTTCTTTTTATAGAGCAGTTCTGAAAAACACTTTTTGTTGAATCTGCAAGTGGACATTTGGATAGATTTGAAGATTTCGTTGGAAACGGGAATATCTTCATATCAAATCTAGACAGAAGCATTCTCAGAAACGTCTTTGGGATGTTTGCATTCAACTCATAGAGTTGAACATTCCGTTTCAGAGACCAGCTTTGAAGCACTCTTTTTGTAGTATGTGCAAGTGGATATTTGGAGCGCTCTGAGGCCTACGGTGAAAAAGCAAATATCTTCCCATAACCACTAGACAGAAACATTCTCAGAAACTCCTTTATGACGTATGTACTCAACTAACGGAGAAGAACCTTCCTTTTGACAGAGCAGTTTTGATACACTCTTTTTGTAGAATCTGCAAGTGGATATTTGGATAGCTGTGAAGATTTCGTTGGAAACGGGAATATCTTCCTGTAAAATCTAGACAGAAGCATTCTCAGGAACTGCTCTGCGATGTCTGTATTCAAGTCACAGAGTTGAACATTGCCTTTCATAGAGCAGGTTTGAAACGCTCTTTTTGTAGTATATGGAAGTGGACGTTTCGGACGGTTTGAGGCCCATGGTGATAAAGGGAATATCTTCCCCTACAAGCTAGAAAGAAGCATTCTGTGAAACTTGTTTGTGATGTGTGTACTCAACTAACAGAGTTGAACCTTTCTTTTTACAGAGCAGTTTTGAAACACTCTTTTTGTAGAATCTGCGATGGGATATTTGGATACATTTCAGCATTTCGTTGGAAACGGGAATATCTTCATATAAAATCTCGACAGAAGCATTCTCAGAAACTTCTTTGTGATATGTGCATTCAAGTCACAGAGTTGAATATTCCCTTTCACAGAGTAGGTTTGAAACACTCTTTTTGTAGTATCTGGAAGTGGACATTTGGAGCGCCTCGACGCCTACGGTGAAAAGGGCAATATCTTCCCATAAAAACTAGACAGAAGCAATCTCAGAATCTTCTTTGGGATATATGCACGCAGCTAACAGAGTTGAACCTTTCTATTGACAGAGCAGTTTTGAAACAGTCTTTCTGTGGAATCTGCAAGTGGATATTTGGATAGCTTGGAGGATTTCCTTGGAAACGGGATTACGTATAAAAAGTAGACAGCAGCATCCTCAGAAACTTCTTTGTGATGTGTGCATTCAAGTCACAGAGTTGAACATTCCCTTTCGTACAGCAGTTTTGAAACACTCTTTCTGTAGCATATGGAAGTGAACATTAGAACAGCTTTCAGGTCTATCGTGAGAAAGGAAATATCTTCAAATAAAAACTAGACAGAAGCATTCTGATAAACTTGTTTGTGAAGTGTGATCTCAGCTAACAGAGGTGGATCTTTCTTGTGATAGAGCAGTTCTGAAAAACACTTTGTTGAATCTGCAAGTGGACATTTGGATAGATTTGAAGATTTCGTTGGAAACGGGAATATCTTCATATCAAATCTAGACAGAAGCATTCTCAGAAACGTCTTTGTGATGTTTGCATTCAACTCATAGAGTTGAACATTCCGTTTCAGAGAGCAGCTTTGAAGCACACTTTTTGTAGTATGTGCAAGGGGATATTTGGAGCGCTCCGAGGCCTAAGGTGAAAAAGCAAATATCTTCCCATAACCACTAGACAGAAACATTGTCAGAAACTCCTTTATGACGTATGCACTCACCTAACAGAGAAGAACCTTCCTTTTGACAGAGCAGTTTTGATACACTCTTTTTGTAGAATCTGCAAGTGGATATTTGGATAGCTGTGAAGATTTCGTTGGAAACGGGAATATCTTCCTATAAAATCTAGACAGAAGCATTCTCAGAAACTGCTCTGTGATGTCTGCATTCAAGTCACAGAGTTGAACATTGCCTTTCATAGAGCAGGTTTGAAACGCTCTTTTTGTAGTATATGGAAGTGGACGTTTCGGACGGTATGAGGCCCATGGTGATAAAGGGAATATCTTCCCCTACAAGCTAGAAAGAAGCATTCTGTGAAACTTGTTTGTGATGTGTGTACTCAACTAACAGAGTTGAACCTTTCTTTTTACAGTGCAGTTTTGAAACACTCTTTTTGTAGAATCTGCGAGGGGATATTTGGATAGATTTCAGGATTTCGTTGGAAACGGGAGTATCTTCATATAAAATCTCGACAGAAGCATTCTCAGAAACTTCTTTGTGATATCTGCCTTTAAGTCACAGAGTTGAATATTCCCTTTCACAGAGTAGGTTTGAAACACTCTATTTGTAGTATCTGGAAGTGGACATTTGGAGCGCCTTGACACCTACGGTGAAAAGGGAAATATCTTCCCATAAAAACTAGACAGAAGCAATCTCAGAATCTTCTTTGGGATATATGCACGCAGCTAACAGAGTTGAACCTTTCTATTGACAGAGCAGTTTTGAAACAGTCTTTCTGTGGAATCTGCAAGTGGATATTTGGATAGCTTGGAGGATTTCGTTGGAAACGGGATTACGTATATAAAGTAGACCACAGCATCCTCAGAAACATCCTTGTGATGTGTGCATTCAAGTCACAGAGTTGAACATTCCCTTTCGTACAGCAGATTTGAAACACTCTTTCTGTAGTATCTGGAAGTGAACTTTAGGACAGCTTTCAGGTCTATAGTGAGAAAGGATATATCTTCAAATAAAAACTAGACGGAAGCATTCTCATAAACTTGTTTGTGATGTGTGAACTCAGCTAACAGAGGTGGATCTTTCTTTTGATAGAGCAGTTCTGAAAAACACTTTTTGTTGAATCTGCAAGTGGACATTTGGATAGATGTGAAGATTTCGTTGGAAACGGGAATATCTTCATATCCAATCTAGACAGAAGCATTCTCAGAAACGTCTTTGTGATGTTTGCATTCAACTCATAGAGTTGAACATTCCCGTTTCAGAGACCAGCTTTGAAGCACTCTTTTTGTAGTATGTGCAAGTGGATATTTGGAGCGCTCTGAGGCCTACGGTGAAAAAGCAAATATCTTCCCATAACCACTAGACAGAAACATTCTCAGAAACTCCTTTATGACGTATGCACTCTCCTAACAGAAAAGAACCTTCCTTTTGACAGAGCAGTTTTGATACACTCTTTTTGTAGAATCTGCAAGTGGATATTTGGATAGCTGTGAAGATTTCGTTGGAAACGGGAATATCTTCCTATAAAATCTAGACAGAAGCATTCTCAGAAACTGCTCTGTGATGTCTGCATTCAAGTCACAGAGTTGAACATTGCCTTTCATAGAGCAGATTTGAAACGCTCTTTTTGTAGTATATGGAACTGGATGTTTCGGACGGTTGGAGGCCCATGGTGATAAAGGGAATATCTTCCCCTACAAGCTAGAAAGAAGCATTCTGTGAAGCTTGTTTGTGATGTGTGTACTCAACTAACAGAGTTGAACCTTTCTTTTTACAGAGCAGTTTTGAAGCACTCTTTTTGTAGAATCTGCGAGGGGATATTTGGATAGATTTCAGGATTTCCTTGGAAACGGGAATATCTTCATATAAAATCTCGACAGAAAGCATTCTCAGAAACTTCTTTGTGATATCTGCCTTCAAGTCACAGAGTTGAATATTCCCTTTCACAGAGTAGGTTTGAAACACTCTTTTTGTAGTATCTGGAAGTGGACATTTGGAGCGCCTTGACGCCTACGGTGAAAAGGGAAATATCTTCCCATAAAAACTAGACAGAGCAATCTCAGAATCTTCTTTGGGATATATGGACGCAGCTAACAGAGTTGAACCTTTCTATTGACAGAGCAGTTTTGAAACAGTCTTTCTGTGGAATCTGCAAGTGGATATTTGGATAGCTTGTAGGATTTCGTTGGAAACGGGATTACGTATAAAAAGTAGACAGCAGCATCCTCAGAAACTTCTTTGTGATGTGTGCGTTCAAGTCACAGAGTTGAACATTCCCTTTCGTACAGCAGTTTTGAAACACTCTTTCTGTAGTATCTGGAAGTGAACATTAGGACAGCTTTCAGGTCTATGGTGAGAAAGGAAATATCTTCAAATAAAAACTAGACAGAAGCATTCTCATAAACTTGTTTGTGATGTGTGAACTCAGCTAACAGAGGTGGATCTTTCTTTTGATAGAGCAGTTCTGAAAAACACGTTTTGTTGAATCTGCAAGTGGACATTTCGATAGATTTGAAGATTTCGTTGGAAACGGGAATATCGTCATATCAAATCTAGACAGAAGCATTCTCAGAAACGTCTTTGTGATGTTTGCATTCAACTCATAGAGTTGAACATTCCGTTTCAGAGAGCAGCTTTGAAGCACTCTTTTTGTAGTATGTGCAAGTGGATATTTGGAGTGCTCTGAGGCCTACGGTGAAAAAGCAAATATCTTCCCATAACCACTAGACAGAAACATTCTCAGAAACTCCTTTATGACGTATGTACTCAACTAACAGAGAAGAAACTTCCTTTTGACAGAGCAGTTTTGATACACTCTTTTTGTAGAATCTGCAAGTGGATATTTGGATAGCTGTGAAGATTTCGTTGGAAACGGGAATATCTTCCTATAAAATCCAGACAGAAGCATTCTCAGAAACTGCTCTGTGATGTCTGCATTCAAGTCACAGAGTTGAACATTGCTTTTCCTAGAGAAGGTTTGAAACGCTCTTTTTGTAGTATATGGAAGTAGACTTTTCGGACGGTTTGAGGCCCATGGTGATAAAGGGAATATCTTCCCCTACAAGCTAGAAAGAAGCATTCTGTGAAACTTGTTTGTGATGTGTGTACTCAACTAACAGAGTTGAACCTTTCTTTTTACAGAGCAGTTTTGAAACACTCTTTTTGTAGAATCTGCGAGGGGATATGTGGATAGATTTCAGGATTTCGTTGGAAACGGGAATATCTTCATATAAAATCTCGACAGAAGCATTCTCAGAAACTTCTTTGTGATATGTGCATTCAAGTCACAGAGTTGAATATTCCCTTTCACAGTAGTAGGTTGGAAACACTCTTTTTGTAGTATCTGGAAGTGGACATTTGGAGCGCCTTGACACCTACGGTGAAAAGGGAAATATCTTCCCATAAAAACTAGACAGAAGCAATCTCAGAATCTTCTTTGGGATATATGCACGCAGCTAACAGAGTTGAATCTTTCTATTGACAGAGCAGATTTGAAACAGTCTTTCTGTGGAATCTGCAAGTGGATATTTGGATAGATTGGAGGATTTCTTTGGAAACGGGATTACGTATAAAAAGTAGACAGCAGCATCCTCAGAAACTTCCTTGTGATGTGTGCACTCAAGTCACAGAGTTGAAAATTCCCTTTCGTACAGCAGGTTTGAAACACTCTTTCTGTAGTATCTGGAAGTGAACTTTAGGAGAGCTTTCAGGTCTATAGTGAGGAAGGATATATCTTCAAATAAAAACTAGACAGAAGCATTCTCATAAACTTGTTTGTGATGTGTGAACTCAGCTAACAGAGGTGGATCTTTCTTTTGATAGAGCAGTTCTGAAAAACACTTTCTGTTGAATCTGCAAGTGGACATTTGGATAGATTTGAAGATTTCGTTGGAAACGGGAATATCTTCATATCAAATCTAGACAGAAGCATTCTCAGAAACGTCTTTGTGATGTTTGCATTCAACTCATAGAGTTGAACATTCCCTTTCAGAGAGCAGCTTTGAAGCACTTTTTGTAGCATGTGCAAGTGGACATTTGGAGCGCCCTGAGGCCTACGGGGAAAAAGCAAATATCTTCCCATAACCACTAGACAGAAACATTTTCAGAAACTCCTTTATGACGTATGCACTCACCTAACAGAGAAGAACCTTCCTTTTGACAGAGCAGTTTTGATACACTCTTTTTGTAGAATCTGCAAGTGGATATTTGGATACCTGTGAAGATTTCGTTGGAAACGGGAATATCTTCCTATAAAATCTAGACAGAAGCATTCTCAGAAACTGCTACTGTGATGTCTGCATTCAAGTCACAGAGTTGAACATTGCCTTTCATAGAGCAGGTTTGAAATGCTCTTTTTGTAGTATATGGAAGTGGACGTTTCAGACGGTTTGAGGCCCATGGTGATAAAGGGAATATCTTCCCCTACAAGCTAGAAAGAAGCATTCTGTGAAACTTGTTTGTGATGTGTGTACTCATCTAACAGAGTTGAACCTTTCTTTTTACAGAGCAGTTTTGAAACACTCTTTTTGTAGAATCTGCGAGGGGATATTTGGATAGATTTCAGGATTTCGTTGGAAACGGGAATATCTTCATATAAAATCTCGACAGAAGCATTCTCAGAAACTTCTTTGTGATATGTGCATTCAAGTCACAGAGTTGAATATTCCCTTTCACAGAGTAGGTTTGAAACACTCTTTTTGTAGTATCTGGAAGTGGACATTTGGAGCGTCCTTGGCGCCTACGGTGAAAAGGGAAATATCTTCCCATAAAAACTAGACAGCAGCAATCTCAGAATCTTCTTTGGGATATATGCACGCAGCTAACAGAGTTGAACCTTTCTATTGACAGAGCAGTTTTGAAACAGTCTTTCTGTGGAATCTGCAAGTGGATATTTGGATAGCTTGGAGGATTTCGTTGGAAACGGGATTACGTATAAAAGTAGACAGCAGCATCCTCAGAAACTTCTTTGTGATGTGTGCATTCAAGTCACAGAGTTCAACATTCCCTTTCGTACAGCAGTTTTGAAACACTCTTTCTGTAGTATCTGGAAGTGAACATTAGGACAGCTTTCAGGTCTATGGTGAGAAAGGAAATATCTTCAAATAAAAACTAGACACAAGCATTCTCATAAACTTGTTTGTGATCTGTGAACTCAGCTAAGAGACGTGGATCTTTCTTTTGATAGAGCAGTTCTGAAAAACACTTTTTGTTGAATCTGCAAGTGGACATTTGGATAGATTTGAAGATTTCTTTGGAAACGAGAATATCTTCATATCAAATCTAGACAGAAGCATTCTCAGAAACGTCTTTGTGATGTTTGCATTCAACTCATAGAGTTGAACATTCCCTTTCCGAGAGCAGCTTTGAAGCACTCTTTTTGTAGTATGTGCAAGTGGATATTTGGAGCGCTCTGAGGCCTACGGTGAAAAAGCAAATATCTTCCCATAACCACTAGACAGAAACATTCTCAGAAACTCCTTTATGACGTATGCACTCACCTAACAGAGAAGAACCTTCCTTTCGACAGAGCAGTTTTGATACACTCTTTTTGTGGAATCTGCAAGTGGATATTTGGATAGCTGTGAAGATTTCGTTGGAAACGGGAATATCTTCCTATAAAATCTAGACAGAAGCATTCTCAGAAACTGCTCTGTGATGTCTGCATTCAAGTCACAGAGTTGAACATTGCCTTTCATAGAGCACGTTTGAAACGCTCTTTTTGTAGTATATGGAAGTGGACGTTTCGGACGGTTTGTGGCCCATGGTGATAAAGGGAATATCTTCCCCTACAAGCTAGAAAGAAGCATTATGTGAAACTTGTTTGTGAGGTGTGTACTCAACTAACAGAGTTGAACCTTTCTTTTTACAGAGCAGTTTTGAAACACTCTTTTTGTAGAATCTGCGAGGGGATATTTGGATAGATTTCAGGATTTCGTTGGAAAGGGGAATATCTTCATATAAAATCTCGACAGAAGCATTCTCAGAAACTTCCTTGTGATATGTGCATTCAAGTCACAGAGTTGAATATTCCCTTTCACAGAGTAGGTTTGAAACACTCTTTTTGTAGTATCTGGAAGTGGACATTTGGAGCGCCCTGACGCCTACGGTGAAAAGGGAAATATCTTCCCATAAAAACTAGACAGAAGCAATCTCCGAATCTTCTTTGGGATATATGCACGCAGCTAATAGAGTTGAACTTTTCTATTGACAGAGCAGATTTGAAACAGTCTTTCTGTGGAATCTGCAAGTGGATATTTGGATAGCCTGGAGGATTACGTTGGAAACGGGATTACGTATAAAAAGTAGACAGCAGCATCCTCAGAAACATCCTTGTGATGTGTGCATTCAAGTCACAGAGTTGAACATTCCCTTTCATACAGCAGTTTTGAAACACTCTTTCTGTAGTATCTGGAAGTGAACTTTAGGACAGCTTTCAGGTCTATAGTGAGAAAGGATATATCTTCAAATAAAAACTAGACAGAAGCATTCTGATAAACTTGTTTGTGAAGTGTGAACTCAGCTAACAGAGGTGGATCTTTCTTTTGATTGAACAGTTCTGAAAAACACTTTTTGTTGAATCTGCAAGTGGACATTTGGATAGATTTGAAGATTTCGTTGGAAACGGGAATATCTTCATATCAAATCTAGACAGAAGCATTCTCAGAAACGTCTCTGTCATGTTTGCATTCAACTCATAGAGTTGAACATTCCCTTTCAGAGAGCAGCTTTGAAACATTCTTTTTGTAGTATGTGCAAGTGGATATTTGGAGCGCTCTGAGGCCTACGGTGAAAAAGAAAATATCTTCCCATAACCACTAGACAGAAACATTCTCAGAAACTCCTTTATGACGTAAGCACTCACCTAACAGAGAAGAACCTTCCTTTTGACAGAGCAGTTTTGTTACACTCTTTTTGTAGAATCTGCAAGTGGATATTTGGATACCTGTGAAGATTTCGTTGGAAACGGGAATATCTTCCTATAAAATCTAGACAGAAGCATTCTCAGAAACTGCTCTGTGATGTCTGCATTCAAGTCACAGAGTTGAACATTGCCGTTCATAGAGCAGGTTTGAAACACTCTTTTTGTAGGATATGGAAGTGGACGTTTCGGACGGTTTGAGGCCCATGGTGATAAAGGGAATATCTTCCCCTACAAGCTAGAAAGAAGCATTCTGTGAAACTTGTTTGTGATGTGTGTACTCAACTAACAGAGGTGAACCTTTCTTTTTACAGAGCAGTTTTGAAACACTCTTTTTGTAGAATCTGCGAGGGGATATTTGGATACATTTCAGGATTTCGTTGGAAACGGGAATATCTTCATATAAAATCTCTACAGAAGCATTCTCAGAAACTTCCTTGTGATATGTGCATTCAAGTCACAGAGTTGAATATTCCCTTTCACAGAGTAGGTTTGAAACACTCTTTTTGTAGTATCTGGAAGTGGACATTTGGAGCGCCTTGACACCTACGGTGAAAAGGGAAAAATCTTCCCATAAAAACTAGACAGAAGCAATCTCAGAATCTTCTTTGGGATATATGCACGCAGCTAACAGAGTTGAAGCTTTCTATTGACAGAGCAGTTTTGAAACAGTCTTTCTGTGGAATCTGCAAGTGGATATTTGGATAGCTTTGAGGATTTCGTTGGAAACGGGATTACGTATAAAAAGTAGACAGCAGCATCCTCAGAAACTTCTTTGTGATGTGTGCATTCAAGTCACAGAGTTGAACATTCCCTTTCGTACAGCAGTTTTGAAACACTCTTTCTGTAGTATCTGGAAGTGAACATTAGGACAGCTTTCAGCTCTATGGTAAGAAAGGAAATATCTTCAAATAAAAACTAGACAGAAGCATTCTCATAAACTTCTTTGTGATGTGTGAACTCAGCTAACCGAGGTGGATCTTTCTTTTGATAGAGCAGTTCTGAAAAACACTTTTTGTTGAATCTGCAAGTGGACATTTGGATAGATATGAAGATTTCGTTGGAAACGGGAATAACTTCATTTCAAATCTAGACAGAAGCATTCTCAGAAACGTCTTTGTGATGTTTGCATTCAACTCATAGAGTTGAACATTCCCTTTCAGAGAGCAGCTTTGAAGCACTCTTTTTGTAGTATGTGCAAGGGGATATTTGGAGCGCTCTGAGGCCTAAGGTGAAAAATCAAATATCTTCCCATAACCACTAGACAGAAACATTCTCAGAAACTCCTTTATGACGTATGCACTCAACTAACAGAGAAGAACCTTCCTTTTGACAGAGCAGTTTTGATACACTCTTTTTGTAGAATCTGCAAGTGGATATTTGGATACCTGTGAAGATTTCGTTGGAAACGGGAATATCTTCCTATAAAATCTAGACAGAAGCATTCTCAGAAACTGCTCTGTGATGTCTGCATTCAAGTCACAGAGTTCAACATTGCCTTTCATAGAGCAGGTTTGAAATGCTCTTTTTGTAGTATATGGAAGTGGACTTTTCGGACGGTTTGAGGCCCATGGTGATAAAGGGAATATCTTCCCCTACAAGCTAGAAAGAAGCATTCTGTGAAACTTGTTTGTGATGTGTGTACTCAACTAACAGAATTGAACCTTTCTTTTCACAGAGCAGTTTTGAAACACTCTTTTTGTAGAATCTGCGAGGGGATATTTGGATAGATTTCAGGATTTCGTTGGAAACGGGAATATCTTCATATAAAATCTCGACAGAAGCATTCTCAGAAACTTCTTTGTGATATCTGCATTCAAGTCACAGAGTTGAATATTCCCTTTCACAGAGTAGGTTTGAAACACTCTTTTTGTAGTGTCTGGAAGTGGACATTTGGAGCACATTGACACCTACTTTGAAAAGGGAAATATCTTCCCATAAAAACTAGACAGAAGCAATCTCAGAATCTTCTTTGGGATATTTGCACGCAGCTAACAGAGTTGAACCTTTCTATTGACAGAGCAGTTTTGAAACAGTCTTTCTGTGGAATCTGCAAGTGGATATTTGGATAGCTTGGAGGATTTCATTGGAAACGGGATTACGTATAAAAATTAGACAGCAGCATCCTCAGAAACTTCTTTGTGATGTGTGCATTCAAGTCACAGAGTTGAACATTCCCTTTCGTACAGCAGTTTTGAAACACTCTTTCTGTAGTAACTGGAAGTGAACATTAGGACAGCTTTCAGGTGTATGGTGAGAAAGGAAATATCTTCAAATAAAAACTAGACAGAAGCATTCTCATAAACTTGTTTGTGATGTGTGAACTCAGCTAACAGAGGTGGATCTTTCGTTTGATAGAGCAGTTCTGAAAAACACTTTTTGTTGAATCTGCAAGTGGACATTTGGATAGATTTGAAGATTTCGTTGGAAACGGGAATATCTTCATATCAAATCTAGACAGAAGCATTCTCAGAAACGTCTTTGTGATGTTAGCATTCAACTCATAGAGTTGAACATTCCCGTTCAGAGAGCAGCTTTGAAGCACTCTTTTTGTAGTATGTGCAAGTGGATATTTGGAGCGCTCTGAGGCCTATGGTGAAAAAGCAAATATCTTCCCATAACCACTAGACAGAAGCATTCTCAGAAACTCCTTTATGACGTATGCACTCACCTAACAGAAAAGAACCTTCCTTTTGACAGAGCAGTTTTGATACACTCTTTTTGTAGAATCTGCAAGTGGATATTTGGATAGCTGTGAAGATTTCGTTGGAAACGGGAATATCTTCCTATAAAATCTAGACAGAAGCATTCTCAGAAACTGCTCTGTGATGTCTGCATTCAAGTCACAGAGTTGAACATTGCCTTTCATAGAGCAGGTTTGAAACGCTCTTTTTGTAGTATATGGAAGTGGACGTTTCGGACGGTTTGAGGCCCATGGTGATAAAGGGAATATCTTCCCCTACTAGCTAGAAAGAAGCATTGTGTGAAACTTGTTTGTGATGTGTGTACTCAACTAACAGAGTTGAACCTTTCTTTTTACAGAGCAGTTTTGAAACACTCGTTTTGTAGAATCTGCGAGGGGATATTTGGATAGATTTCAGGATTTCGTTGGAAACGGGAATATCTTCATATAAAATCTCGACAGAAGCATTCTCAGAAACTTCTTTGTGATATCTCCATTCAAGTCACCGAGTTGAATATTCCCTTTCACAGAGTAGGTTTGAAACACTCTTTTTGTAGTATCTGGAAGTGGACATTTGGAGCGCCTTGACGCCTACGGTGAAAAGGGAAATATCTTCCCATAAAAACTAGACAGAAGCAATCTCAGAATCTTCTTTGGGATATATGCACGCAGCTAACACAGTTGAACCTTTCTATTGACAGAGCAGTTTTGAAACAGTCTTTCTGTGGAATCTGCAAGTGGATATTTGGAGAGCTTGGAGGATTTCGTTGGAAACGGGATTACGTATAAAAAGTAGACAGCAGCATCCTCAGAAACTTCTTTGTGATGTGTGCATTCAAGTCACAGAGTTGAACATTCCCTTTCGTACAGCAGTTTTGAAACACTCTTTCTGTAGTATCTGGAAGTGAACATTAGGACAGCTTTCAGGTCTATGGTGAGAAAGGAAATATCTTCAAATAAAAAGTAGACAGAAGCATTGTCATAAACTTGTTTGTGATGTGTGAACTCAGCTAACAGAGGTGGATCTTTCTTTTGATAGAGCAGTTCTGAAAAACACGTTTTGTTGAATCTGCAAGTGGACATTTGGATAGATTTGAAGATTTCGTTGGAAACGGGAATATCTTCATATCAAATCTAGACAGAAGCATTCTCAGAAACGTCTTTGTGATGTTTGCATTCAACTCATAGAGTTGAACATTCCGTTTCAGAGAGCAGCTTTGAGGCACTCTTTTTGTAGTATGTGCAAGTGGATATTTGGAGCGCTCTGAGGCCTAAGGTGAAAAAGCAAATATCTTCCCATAACCACTAGACAGAAACATTCTCAGAAACTCCTTTATGACGTATGCACTCACCTAACAGAAAAGAACCTTCCTTTTGACAGAGCAGTTTTGATACACTCTTTTTGTAGAATCTGCAAGTGGATATTTGGATAGCTGTGAAGATTTCGTTGGAAACGGGAATATCTTCCTATAAAATCTATACAGAAGCATTCTCAGAAACTGCTCTGTGATGTCTGCATTCAACTCACAGAGTTGAACATTGCCTTTCATAGAGCAGGTTTGAAATGCTCTTTTTGTAGTATATGGAAGTGGACGTTTCAGACGGTTTGAGGCCCATGGTGATAAAGGGAATATCTTCCCCTACAAGCTAGAAAGAAGCATTCTGTGAAACTTGTTTGTGATGTGTGTACTCAACCAACAGAGTTGAACCTTTCTTTTTACAGAGCAGTGTTGAAACACTCTTTTTGTAGAATCTGCGAGGGGATATTTGGATAGATTTCAAGATTTCGTTGGAAACGGGAATATCTTCATATAAAATCTCGACAGAAGCATTCTCAGAAACTTCTTTGTGATATGTGCATTCAAGTCACAGAGTTGAATATTCCCTTTCACAGAGTAGGTTTGGAACACTCTTTTTGTAGTATCTGGAAGTGGACATTTGGAGCGCCTTGACGCCTACGGTGAAAAGGGAAATATCTTCCCATAAAAACTAGACAGAAGCAATCTCAGAATCTTCTTTGGGATATATGCACGCAGCTAACAGAGTTGAACATTTCTATTGACAGAGCAGTTTTGAAACAGTCTTTCTGTGGAATCTGTAAGTGGATATTTGGATAGATTGGAGGATTTCGTTGGAAACGGGATTACGTATAAAAAGTAGACAGCAGCATCCTCAGAAACTTCTTTGTGATGTGTGCATTCAAGTCACAGAGTTGAACATTCCCTTTCGTACAGCAGTTTTGAAACACTCTTTCTGTAGTATCTGGAAGTGAACATTAGGACAGCTATCAGGTCTATGGTGAGAAAGGAAATATCTTCAAATAAAAACTAGACAGAAGCATTCTCATAAACTTGTTTGTGATGTGTGAACTCAGCTAACAGAGGTGGATCTTTCTTTTGATAGAGCAGTTCTGAAAAACACTTTTTGTTGAATCTGCAAGTGGACATTTGGATAGATTTGAAGATTTCATTGGAAACGGGAATATCTTTATATCAAATCTAGACAGAAGCATTCTCAGAAACGTCTTTGTGATGTTTGCATTCAACTCATAGAGTTGAACATTCCGTTTCAGAGAGCAGCTTTGAGGCACTCTTTTTGTAGTATGTGCAAGTGGATATTTGGAGCTCTCTGAGGCCTACGGTGAAAAAGCAAATATCTTCCCATAACCACTAGACAGAAACATTCTCAGAAACTCCTTTATGACGTATGCACTCACCTAACAGAGAAGAACCTCCCTTTTGACAGAGCAGTTTTGATACACTCTTTTTGTAGAATCTGCAAGTGGATATTTGGATACCTGTGAAGATTTTGTTGGAAACGGGAATATCTTCCTATAAAATCTAGACAGAAGCATTCTCAGAAACTGCTATGTGATGTCTGCATTCAAGTCACAGAGTTGAACATTGCCTTTCCTAGAGCAGGTTTTAAACGCTCTTTTTGTAGTATATGGAAGTGGACGTTTCGGACGGTTTGAGGCCCATGGTGATAAAGGGAATATCTTCCCCTACAAGCTAGAAAGAAGCATTCTGTGAAACTTGTTTGTGATGTGTGTACTCAACTAACAGAGTTGAACCTTTCTTTTTGCAGAGCAGTTTTGAAACACTCTTTTGTAGAATCTGCGAGGGGATATTTGGATAGATTTCAGGATTTCATTGGAAACGGGAATATCTTCATATAAAATCTCGACAGAAGCATTCTCAGAAACTTCTTTGTGATATCTGCATTCAAGTCACAGAGTTGAATATTCACTTTCACAGAGTAGGTTTGAAACACTCCTTTTGTAGTATCTGGAAGTGGACATTTGGAGCGCCTTGACGCCTACGGTGAAAAGGGAAATATCTTCCCATAAAAACTAGACAGAAGCAATCTCAGAATTTTCTTTGGGATATATGCACACAGCTAACAGAGTTGAACTTTTCTATTGACATAGCAGTTTTGAAACAGTCTTTCGGTGGAATCTGCAAGTGGATATTTGGATAGCTTGGAGGATTTCGTTGGAAATGGGATTACGTATAAAAAGTAGACAGCAGCATCCTCAGAAACTTCTTTGTGATGTGTGCATTCAAGTCACAGAGTTGAACATTTCCTTTCGTACAGCAGTTTTGAAACACTCTTTCTGTATTATCTGGAAGTGAACATTAAGACAGCTTTCAGCTCTATGGTGAGAAAGGAAATATCTTCAAATAAAAACTGGACAGAAGCATTCTCATAAACTTGTTTGTGATGTGTGAACTCAGCTAACCAGAGGGGGATCTTTCTTTTGATAGAGCAGTTCTGAAAAACACTTTTTGTTGAATCTGCAAGTGGACATTTGGATAGATTTGAAGATTTCGTTGGAAACGGGAATATCTTCATATCAAATCTAGACAGAAGCATTCTCAGAAACGTCTTTGTGATGTTTGCATTCAACTCATAGAGTTGAACAATTCCCTTTCAGAGAGCAGCTTTGAAGCACTCTTTTTGTAGTATGTGCAAGGGGATATTTGGAGCGCTCTGAGGCCTAAGGTGAAAAAGCAAATATCTTCCCATAACCACTAGACAGAAACATTCTCAGAAACTCCTTTATGACGTATGCACTCACCTAACAGAGAAGAACCTTCCTTTTGACAGAGCAGTTTTGATACACTCTTTTTGTAGGATCTGCAAGTGGATATTTGGATAGCTGTGAAGATTTCGTTGGAAACGGGAATATCTTCCTATAAAATCTAGACAGAAGCATTGTCAGAAACTGCTCTGTGATGTCTGCATTCAAGTCACAGAGTTGAACATTGCCTTTCATAGAGCAGCTTTCAAACACTCTTTTTTTAGTATATGGAAGTGGACGTTTCGGACGGTTTGAGGCCCATGGTGATAAAGGAAATATCTTCCCCTACAAGCTAGAAAGAAGCATTCTGTGAAACTTGTTTGTGATGTGTGTACTCAACTAACAGAGTTGAACCTTTCTTTTTACAGAACAGTTTTGAAACACTCTTTTGTAGAATCTGCGAGGGGATATTTGGATAGATTTCAGGATTTCGTTGGAAACGGGAATAACTTCATATAAAATCTCGACAGAAGCATTCTCAGAAACTTCTTTGTGATATCTGCCTTCAAGTCACAGAGTTGAATATTCCCTTTCACAGAGTAGGTTTGAAACACTCTTTTTGTAGTATCTGGAAGTGGACATTTGGAGCGCCTTGACGCCTACGGTGAAAAGGGTAATATCTTCCCATAAAAACTAGACAGAAGCAATCTCAGAATCTTCTTTGGGATATATGCACGCAGCTAACAGAGTTGAACCTTTCTATTGACAGAGCAGTTTTGAAACAGTCTTTCTGTGGAATCTGCAAGTGGATATTTGGATAGCTTGGAGGATTTCGTTGGAAACAGGATTACGTATAAAAAGTAGACAGCAGCATCCTCAGAAACTTCCTTGTGATGCGTGCATTCAAGTCACAGAGTTGAATATTCCCTTTCGTACAGCAGTTTTGAAACACTCTTTCTGTAGTATCTGGAAGTGAACTTTAGGAGAGCTTTCAGGTCTATAGTGAGAAAGGATATATCTTCAAATAAAAACTAGACAGAAGCATTCTCATGTGTGATGTGTGAACTCAGCTAACAGAGGTGGATCTTTCTTTTCATACAGCAGTTTTGAAAAACACTTTTTGTTGAATCTGCAAGTGGACATTTGGATAGATTTGAAGATTTCGTTGGAAACGGGAATATCTTCATATCAAATCTAGACAGAAGCTTTCTCAGAAACGTCTTTGTGATGTTTGCATTCAACTCATAGAGTTGAACATTCCGTTTCAGAGAGCAGCTTTGAGGCACTCTTTTTGTAGTATGTGCAAGTGGATATTTGGAGCGCTCTGAGGCCTACGGTGAAAAAGCAAATATCTTCCCATAACCACTAGACAGAAACATTCTCAGAAACTCCTTTATGACGTATGCACTCACCCAACAGAGAAGAACCTTCCTTTTGACAGAGCAGTTTTGATACACTCTTTTTGTAGTATCTGCAAGTGGATATTGGGATAGCTGTGAAGATTTCGTTGGAAACGGGAATATCTTCCTATAAAATCTAGACAGAAGCATTCTCAGAAACTGCTCTGTGATGTCTGCATTCAAGTCACAGAGTTGAACATTACCTTTCATAGAGCAGGTTTGAAACGCTCTTTTTGTAGTATATGGAAGTGGACGTTTCGGACGGTTTGAGGCCCATGGTGATAAAGGGAATATCTTCCCCTACAAGCTAGAAAGAAGCATTCTGTGAAACTTGTTTGTGATGTGTTTACTCAACTAACAGAGTTGAACTTTTCTTTTGATAGAGCAGTTTTCAAACATTCTTTTTTGTAGAGTCTGCAAGTGGATATTTGGCTAGCTTTGAGGATTTTGTTGGAAACGGGAATATCTTCACATAAAAACTAGGCAGAAGCATTCTCAGAAACTTCTTTGTGATATCTGCATTCAAGTCACAGAGTTGAATATTCCCTTTCACAGAGTAGGTTTGAAACACTCTTTTTGTAGTATCTGGAAGTGGACATTTGGAGCGCCTTGACGCCTAAGGTGAAAAGGGAAATATCTTCCCATAAAAACTAGACAGAAGCAATCTCAGAATCTTCTTTGGGATATATGCACGCAGCTAACAGAGTTGAACTTTTCTATTGACAGAGCAGTTTTGAAACAGTCTTTCTGTGGAATCTGCAAGTGGATATTTGGATAGATTGGAGGATTTCGTTGGAAACGGGATTACGTATAAAAAGTAGACAGCAGCATCCTCAGAAACTTCTTTGTGATGTGTGCATTCAAGTCACAGAGTTGAACATTCCCTTTCGTACAGCAGTTTTGAAACACTCTTTCTGTAGTATCTGGAAGTGAACATTAGGACAGCTTTCAGGTCTATGGTGAGAAAGGAAATATCTTCTAATAAAAACAAGACAGAAGCATTCTCATAAACTTGTTTGTGATGTGTGAACTCAGCTAACAGAGGAGGATCTTTCTTTTGATAGAGCAGTTCTGAAAAACACTTTTTGTTGAATCTGCAAGTGGACATTTGGATAGATTTGAAGATTTCGTTGGAAACGGGAATATCTTCATATCAAATCTAGACAGAAGCATTCTCAGAAACGTCTTTGTGATGTTTGCATTCAACTCATAGAGTTGAACATTCCCTTTCAGAGAGCAGCTTTGAAGCACTCTTTTTGTAGTATGTGGAAGTGGATATTTGGAGCGCTCTGAGGCCTACGGTGAAAAAGCAAATATCTTCCCATAACCACTAGACAGAAACATTCTCAGAAACTCCTTTATGACGTATGCACTCACCTAACAGAGAAGAACCTTCCTTTTGACAGAGCAGTTTTGATACACTCTTTTTGTAGAATCTGCAAGTGGATATTTTGATAGCTGTGAAGATTTCGTTGGAATCGGGAATATCTTCCTACAAAATCTAGACAGAAGCATTCTCAGAAACTGCTCTGTGATGTCTGCATTCAAGTCACAGAGTTGAACATTGCCTTTCATTTAGCAGGTTTGAAACGCTCTTTTTGTAGTATATGGAAGTGGACGTTTCGGACTGTTTGAGGCCCATGGTGATAAAGGGAATATCTTCCCCTACAAGCTAGAAAGAAGCATTCTGTGAAACTTATTTGTGATGTGTGTACTCAACTAACAGAGTTGAACCTTTCTTTTTACAGAGCAGTTTTGAAACACTCTTTTTGTAGAATCTGCGAGGGGATATTTGGATAGATTTCAGGATTTCGTTGGAAACGGGAATATCTTCATATAAAATCTCGACAGAAGCATTCTCAGAAACTTCTTTGTGATATGTGCATTCAAGTCACAGTGTTGAATATTCCCTTTCACAGAGTAGGTTTGAAACACTCTTTTTGTTGTATCTGGAAGTGGACATTTGGAGCGCCTTGACACCTACGATGAAAAGGGAAATATCTTCCCATAAAAACTAGACAGAAGCAATCTCAGAATCTTCTTTGGGATATATGCACGCAGCTAACAGAGTTGAACCTTTCTATTGACAGAGCAGTTTTGAAACAGTCTTTCTGTAGAATCTGCAAGTGGATATTTGGATAGCTTGGAGGATTTCATTGGAAACGGGATTACGTATAAAAAGTAGACAGCAGCATCCTCAGAAGCTTCTTTGTGATGTGTGCATTCAAGTCACAGAGTTGAACATTCCCTTTCGTACAGCAGTTTTGAAACACTCTTTCTGTAGTATCTGGGAGTGAACATTAGGACAGCTTTCAGGTCTATGGTGAGAAAGGAAATATCTTCAAATAAAAACTAGACAGAAGCATTCTCATAAACTTGTTTGTGATGTGTGAACTCAGCTAACAGAGGTGGATCTTTCTTTTGATAGAGGAGTTCTGAAAAACACTTTTTGTTGAATCTGCAAGTGGACATTTGGATAGATTTGAAGATTTCTTTGGAAACGGGAATATCTTCATATCAAATCTAGACAGAAGCATTCTCAGAGACGTCTTTGTGATGTTTGCATTCAACTCATAGAGTTGAACATTCCGTTTCAGAGAGCAGCTTTGAGGCACTCTTTTTGTAGTATGTGCAAGTGGATATTTGGAGCGCTCTGAGGCCTACGGTGAAAAAGCAAATATCTTCCCATAACCACTAGACAGAAACATTCTCAGAAACTCCTTTATGACGTATGCACTCACCTAACAGAGAAGAACCTTCCTTTTGACAGAGCACTTTTGATACACTCTTTTTGTAGAATCTGAAAGTGGATATTTGGATAGCTGTGAAGATTTCGTTGGAAACGGGAATATCTTCCTATAAAATACTAGACAGAAGCATTCTCAGAAACTGCTCTGTGATGTCTGCATTCAAGTCACAGAGTTGAACATTGCCTTTCATACAGCAGGTTTGAAACGCTCTTTTTGTAGTATATGGAAGTGGACGTTTCGGACGGTTTGAGGCCCATGGTGATAAAGGGAATATCTTCCCCTACAAGCTAGAAAGAAGCATTCTGTGAAACTTGTTTGTGATGTGTGTACTCAACTAACAGAGTTGAACCTTTCTTTTTAGAGAGCAGTTTTGAAACACTCTTTTTGTAGAATCTGCGAGGGGATATTTGGATACATTTCAGGATTTCGTTGGAAACGGGAATATCTTCATATAAAATCTCGACAGAAGCATTCTCAGAAACTTCTTTGTGATATGTGCATTCAAGTCACAGAGTTGAATATTCCCTTTCACAGAGTAGGTTTGAAACACTCTTTTTGTAGTATCTGGAAGTGGACATTTGGAGCGCCTTGACGCCTACGGTGAAAAGGGAAGTATCTTCCCATCAAAACTAGACAGAAGAAATCTCAGAATCATCTTTGGGATATATGCACGCAGCTAACAGAGTTGAACCTTTCTATTGACAGAGCAGATTAGAAACAGTCTTTCTGTGGAATCTGCAAGTGGATATTTGGATAGCTTGGAGGATTTCGTTGGAAACGGGATTACGTATAAAAAGTAGACAGCAGCATCCTCAGAAAGTTCTTTGTGATGTGTGCATTCAAGTCACAGAGTTGAACATTCCCTTTCGTACAGCAGTTTTGAAACACTCTTTCTGTAGTATCTGGAAGTGAACATTTGGACAGCTTTCAGCTCTATGGTGAGAAAGGAAATATCTTCAAATAAAAACTAGACAGAAGCATTCTCATAAACTTGTTTGTGGTGTGTGAACTCAGCTAACAGAGGTGGATCTTTCTTTTGATAGAGCAGTTCTGAAAAACACTTTTTGTTGAATCTGCAAGTGGACATTTGGATAGATTTGAAGATTTCGTTGGAAACGGGAATATCTTCATATCAAATCTAGACAGAAGCATTGTCAGAAACGTCTTTGTGATGTTTGCATTCAACTCATAGAGTTGAACATTCCCTTTCAGAGAGCAGATTTGAAGCACTCTTTTTGTAGTATGTGCAAGTGGATATTTGGAGCGCTCTGAGGCCTTCGGTGAAAAAGCAAATATCTTCCCATAACCACTAGACAGAAACATTCTCAGAAACCCCTTTATGACGTATGTACTCAAATAACAGAGAAGGACCTTCCTTTTGACAGAGCAGTTTTGATACACTCTTTTTGTAGAATCTGCAAGAGGATATTTGGATAGCTGTGAAGATTTCGTTGGAAACGGGAATACCTTCCTATAAAATCTAGACAGAAGCATTCTCAGAAACTGCTCTGTGATGTCTGCATTCAAGTCACAGAGTTGAACATTGCCTTTCATAGAGCAGGTTTGAAACGCTCTTTTTGTAGTATATGGAAGTGGATGTTTCGGACGGTTGGAGGCCCATGGTGATAAAGGGAATATCTTCCCCTAAAAGCTAGAAAGAAGCATTCTGTGAAACTTGTTTGTGATGTGTGTACTCAACTAACAGAGTTGAACCTTTCTTTTTACAGAGCAGTTTTGAAACTCTCTTTTTGTAGAATCTGCGAGGGGATATTTGTATAGATTTCAGGATTTCGTTGGAAACGGGAATATCTTCATATAAAATCTCGACAGAAGCATTATCAGAAACTTCTTTGTGATATGTGCATTCAAGTCACAGAGTTGAATATTCCCTTTCACAGAGTAGGTTTGAAACACTCTTTTTGTAGTATCTGGAAGTGGACATTTGGAGCGCCTTGACGCCTACGGTGAAAAGGGAAATATCTTCCCATAAAAACTAGACAGAAGCAATCTCAGAATCTTCTTTGGGATATATGCACGCAGCTAACAGAGTTGAACCTTTCTATTGACAGAGCAGTTTTGAAACAGTCTTTCTGTGGAATCTGCAAGTGGATATTTGGATAGCTTGGAGGATTTCGTTGGAAACGGGATTACGTATAAAAAGTAGACAGCACGCATCCTCAGAAACTTCTTTGTGATGTGTGCATTCAAGTCACAGTAGTTGAACATTCCCTTTCGTACAGCAGTTTTGAAACACTCTTTCTGTAGTATCTGGAAGTGAACATTAGGACAGCTTTCAGGTCTATGGTGAGAAAGGAAATATCTTCAAATAAAAACTAGACAGAAGCATTCTCATAAACTTGTTTGTGATGTGTGAACTCAGCTAACAGAGGTGGATCTTTCTTTTGATAGAGCAGTTCTGAAAAACACTTTTTGTTGAATCTGCAAGTGGACATTTGGATAGATTTGAAGATGTCGTTGGAAACGGGAATATCTTCATATCAAGTCTAGACAGAAGCATTCTCAGAAACGTCTTTGTGATGTTTGCATTCAACTCATAGATTTGAACATTCCGTTTCAGAGAGCAGCTTTGAGGCACACTTTTTGTAGTATGTGCAAGTGGATATTTGGAGCGCTCTGAGGCCTACGGTGAAAAAGCAAATATCTTCCCATAACCACTAGACAGAAACATTCTCAGAAACTCCTTTATGACTGTATGCACTCACCTAACAGAGAAGAACCTTCCTTTTGACAGAGCAGTTTTGATACACTCTTTTTGTAGAATCTGCAAGTGGATATTGGGATAGCTGTGAAGATTTCGTTGGAAACGGGAATATCTTCCTATAAAATCTAGACAGAAGCATTCTGTGAAACTTGTTTGTGATGTGTGTACTCAACTAACAGAGTTGAACCTTTCTTTTTACAGAGCAGTTTTGAAACACTCTTTTTGTAGAATCTGCGAGGGGATATTTGGATAGATTTCAGGATTTCGTTGGAAACCGGAATATCTTCATATAAAATCTCGACAGAAGCATTCTCAGAAACTTCTTTGTGATATCTGCATTCAAGTCACAGAGTTGAATATTCCCTTTCACAGAGCAGTTTTGAAACACTCTTTTTGTAGAATCTGCGAGGGGATATTTGGATAGATTTCAGGATTTCGTTGGAAACGGGAATAACTTCATATAAAATCTCGACAGAAGCATTCTCAGAAACTTCTTTGTGATATGTGCATTCAAGTCACAGAGTTGAATATTCCCTTTCACAGAGTAGGTTTGAAACACTCTTTTTGTAGTATCTGGAAGTGGACATTTGGAGCTCCTTGACACCTACGGTGGAAAGGGAAATATCTTCCCATAAAAACTAGACAGAAGCAATCTCAGAATCTTCTTTGGGATATATGCACGCAGCTAACAGAGTTGAACCTTTCTATTGACAGAGCAGTTTTGAAACAGTCTTTCTGTGGAATCTGCAAGTGGATATTTGGATAGCTTGGAGGATTTCGTTGGAAACCGGATTACGTATAAAAAGTAGACAGCAGCATCCTCAGAAAATTCTTTGTGATGTGTGCATTCAAGTCACAGAGTTGAACATTCCCTTTCGTACAGCAGTTTTGAAACACTCTTTCTGTAGTATCTGGAAGTGAACATTAGGACAGCTTTCAGCTCTATGGTGAGAAACAAAATATCTTCAAATAAAAACTAGACAGAAGCATTCTCATAAACTTGTTTGTGATGTGTGAACTCAGCTAACAGAGGTGGATCTTTCTTTTGATAGAGCAGTTCTGAAAAACACTTTTTGTTGAATCTGCAAGTGGACATTTGGATAGATTTGAAGATTTCGTTGGAAACGGCAATATCTTCATATCAAATCTAGACAGAAGTATTCTCAGAAACGTCTTTGTGATGTTTGCATTCAACTCATAGAGTTGAACATTCCGTTTCAGAGAGCAGCTTTGAGGCACTCTTTTTGTAGTATGTGCAAGTGGATATTTGGAGCGCTCTGAGGCCTACGGTGAAAAAGCAAATATCTTCCCATAACCACTAGACAGAAACATTCTCAGAAACTCCTTTATAACGTATGCACTCACCTAACAGAGAAGAACCTTCCTTTTGACAGAGCAGTTTTCATACACTCTTTTTGTAGAATCTGCAAGTGGATATTTGGATAGCTGTGAAGATTTCGTTGGAAACGGGAATATCTTCCTATAAAATCTAGACAGAAGCATTCTCAGAATCTGCTCTGTGATGTCTGCATTCAAGTCACAGAGTTGAACATTGTCTTTCATAGAGCAGGTTTGAAGCGTTCTTTTTGTAGTATATGGAAGCGGACGTTTCGGACGGTTTGAGGCCCATGGTGATAAAGGGAATATCTTCCCCTACAAGCTAGAAAGAAGCATTCTGTGAAACTTGTTTGTGATGTGTGTACTCAACTAACAGAGTTGAACCTTTCTTTTTACAGAACAGTTTTGAAACACTCTTTTTTTAGAATCTGCGAGGGGATATTTGGATAGATTTCAGGATTTCGTTGGAAACGGGAATATCTTCCTATAAAATCTCGACAGAAGCATTCTCAGAAACTTCTTTGTGATATGTGCATTCAAGTCACAGAGTTGAATATTCCCTTTCACAGAGTAGGTTTGAAACAATCTTTTTGTAGTATCTGGAAGTGGACATTTGGAGCGCCTTGACACCTACGGTGAAAAGCGAAATATCTTCCCACAAAAATTAGACAGAAGCAATCTCAGAATCTTCTTTGGGATATATGCACACAGCTAACAGAGTTGAACCTTTCTATTGACAGAGCAGTTTTGAAACAGTCTTTCTGTGGAATCTGCAAGTGGATATTTGGATAGCTTGGAGGATTTCGTTGGAAACGGGATTACGTATCAAAAGTAGACAGCAGCATCCTCAGAAACTTCTTTGTGATGTGTGCATTCAAGTCACAGAGTTGAACATTCCCTTTCGTACAACAGTTTTGAAACACTCTTTCTGTAGTATCTGGAAGTGAACATTAGGACAGCTTTCAGCTCTATGGTGAGAAAGGAAATATCTTCAAATAAAAACTAGACAGAAGCATTCTGATAAACTTGTTCGTGAAGTGTGAACTCAGCTAACAGAGGTGGATCTTTCTTTTGATAGAGCAGTTCTGAAAAACACTTTTTGTTGAATCTGCAAGTGGACATTTGGATAGATTTGAAGATTTCGTTGGAAACGGGAATATCTTCATATCAAATCTAGACAGAAGCATTCTCAGAAACGTCTTTGTGATGTTTGCATTCAACTCATAGAGTAGAACATTCCGTTTCAGAGAGCAGCTTTGAGGCACTCTTTTTGTAGTATGTGCAAGTGGATATTTGGAGCGCTCTGAGGTCTACGGTGAAAAAGCAAATATCTTCCCATAACCACTAGACAGAAGCATTCTCAGAAAATCCTTTATGACGTATGCACTCACCTAACAGAAAAGAACCTTCCTTTTGACAGAGCAGTTTTGATACACTCTTTTTGTAGAATCTGCAAGTGGATATTTGGATAGCTGTGAAGATTTCGTTGGAAACGGGAGTATCTTCCTATAAAATTTAGACAGAAGCATTCTCAGAAACTGCTCTGTGATGTCTGCATTCAAGTCACAGAGTTGAACATTGCCTTTCCTAGAGCAGGTTTGAAACGCTCTTTTTGTAGTATATGAAAGTGGACGTTTCGGACGGTTTGAGGACCATGGTGATAATGAGAATATCTTCCCCTACAAGCTAGAAAGAAGCATTCTGTGAATCTTGTTTGTGATGTGTGTACTCAACTAACAGAGTTGAACCTTTCTTTTTACAGAGCAGTTTTGAAACACTCTTTTTGTAGAATCTGCGAGGGGATATTTGGATAGATTTCAGGATTTCGTTGGAAACCGGAATATCTTCATATAAAATCTCGACAGAAGCATCCTCAGAAACTTCTTTGTGATATGTGCATTCAAGTCACAGAGTTGAATATTCCCTTTCACAGAGTAGGTTTGAAACACTCTTTTTGTAGTATCTGGAAGTGGACATTTGGAGCGCCTTGACGCCTACGGTGAAAAGGGAAATATCTTCCCATAAAAACTAGACAGAAGCAATCTCAGAATCTTCTTTGGGATATATGCACGCAGCTAACAGAGTTGAACCTTTCTATTGACAGAGCAGTTTTGAAACAGTCTTTCTGTGGAATCTGCAAGTGGATATTTGGATAGCTAGGAGGATTTCTTTGGAAACGGGATTACGTATAAAAAGTAGACAGCAGCATCCTCAGAAACTTCTTTGTGATGTGTGCATTCAAGTCACAGAGTTGAACATTCCTTTTCGTACAGCAGTTTTGAAACACTCTTTCTGTAGTATCTGGAAGTGAACATTATGACAGCTTTCAGGTCTATGGTGAGAAAGGAAATATCTTCAAATAAAAACAAGACAGAAGCATTCTCATAAACTTGTTTGTGATGTCTGAACTCAGCTAACAGACGTGGATCTTTCTTTTGATACAGCAGTTTTGAAAAACACTTTTTGTTGAATCTGCAAGTGGACATTTGGATAGATTTGAAGATTTCGTTGGAAACGGGAATATCTTCATATCAAATCTAGACAGAAGCATTCTCAGAAACGTCTTTGTGATGTTTGCATTCAACTCATAGAGTTGAACATTCCGTTTCAGAGAGCAGCTTTGAAGCACTCTTTTTGTAGTATATGCAAGTGGATATTTGGAGCGCTCTGAGGCCTACGGTGAAAAAGCAAATATCTTCCCATAATCACTAGACAGAAACATTCTCAGAAACTCCTTTATGACGTATGTACTCACCTAACAGAGAAGAACCTTCCTTTTGACAGAGCAGTTTTGATACACTCTTTTTGTAGAATCTGCAAGTGGATATTTGGATAGCTGTGAAGATTTCGTTGGAAACGGGAATATCTTCCTATAAAATCTAGACAGAAGCATTCTCAGAAACTGCTCTGTGATGTCTGCATTCAAGTCACAGAGTTGAACACTGCCTTTCCTAGAGCAGGTTTGAAACGCTCTTTTTGTAGTATATGGAAGTGGACGTTTCGTACGGTTTGAGGCCCATGGTGATAAAGGGAATATCTTCCCCTACAAGCTAGAAAGAAGCATTCTGTGAAACTTGTTTGTGATGTGTGTACTCAACTAACAGAGTTGAACCTTTCTTTTTACAGAGCAGTTTTGAAACACTCTTTTTGTAGAATCTGCGAGGGGATATTTGGATACATTTCAGGATTTCGTTGGAAACGGGAATATCTTCATATAAAATCTTGACAGAAGCATTCTCAGAAACTTCCTTGTGATATGTGCATTCAAGTCACAGAGTTGAATATTCCCTTTCACAGTAGTAGGTTTGAAACACTCTTTTTGTAGTATCTGGAAGTGGACATTTGGAGCGCCTTGACGCCTACGGTGAAAAGGGAAATATCTTCCCATAAAAACTAGACAGAAGCAATCTCAGAATCTTCTTTGGGATATATGTACGCAGCTAATAGAGTTGAACCTTTATATTGACAGAGCAGTTTTGAAACAGTCTTTCTGTGGAATCTGCAAGTGGATATTTGGATAGCTTGGAGGATTTCGTTGGAAACGGGATTACGTATAAAAAGTAGACAGCAGCATCCTCAGAAACTTCTTTGTGATGGGTGCATTCAAGTCACAGAGTTGAACATTCCCTTTCGTACAGCAGTTTTGAAACACTCTTTCTGTAGTATCTGGAAGTGAACATTAGGACAGCTTTCAGGTCTATGGTGAGAAAGGAAATATCTTCAAATAAAAACTAGACAGAAGCATTCTCATAAACTTGTTTGTGATGTGTGAACTCAGCTAACAGAGGTGGATCTTTCTTTTGATAGAGCAGTTCTGAAAAACACTTTTTGTTGAATCTGCAAGTGGACATTTGGATAGATTTGAAGATTTCGTTGGAAACGGGAATATCTTCATATCAAGTCTAGACAGAAGCATTCTCAGAAACGTCTTTGCGTTGTTTGCATTCAACTCATAGAGTTGAACATTCCGTTTCAGAAAGCAGATTTGAGGCACTCTTTTTGTAGTATGTGCAAGTGGATATTTGGAGCGCTCTGAGGCCTACGGTGAAAAAGCAAATATCTTTCCATAACC
The DNA here is from genome assembly GCF_000001405.40 of Homo sapiens. Classification (NCBI taxonomy): domain Eukaryota; kingdom Metazoa; phylum Chordata; class Mammalia; order Primates; family Hominidae; genus Homo; species Homo sapiens. Next base: position 16,614,070 of record NC_000013.11, read on the forward strand.
ACTAGACAGAAACATTCTCAGAAACTTCTTTATGACGTATGTACTCAACTAGCAGAGAAGAACTTTCCTTTTGACAGAGCATTTTTGATACACTCTTTTTGTACTATCTGCAAGTGGATATTTGGATAGCTGTGAAGATTTCGTTGGAAACGGGAATATCTTCCTATAAAGTCTGGACAGAAGCATTCTCAGAAACTGCTCTGTGATGTCTGCATTCAAGTCACAGAGTTGATCATTGCCTTTCATAGAGCAGGTTTGAAACGCTCTTTTTGTAGTATATGGAAGTGGACGTTTCAGACGGTTTGAGGCCCATGGTGATAAAGGGAATATCTTCCCCTACAAGCTAGAAAGAAGCATTCTGTGAAACTTGTTTGTGAGGTGTGTACTCAACTAACAGAGTTGAACCTTTCTTTTTACAGAGCAGTTTTGAAACACTCTTTTTGTAGAATCTGCGAGGGCATATTTGGATAGATTTCAGAATTTCGTTGGAAAGGGGAATATCTTCATATAAAATCTCGACAGAAGCATTCTCAGAAACTTCTTTGTGATATGTGCATTCAAGTCACAGAGTTGAATATTCCCTTTCACAGAGTAGGTTTGAAACACTCTTTTTGTAGTATCTGGAAGTGGACATTTGGAGCGCCTTGATGCCTACGGTGAAAAGGGAAATATCTTCCCATAAAAATTCGACAGAAGGAATCTCAGAATCTTCTTTGGGATATATGCACGCAACTAACAGAGTTGAACCTTTCTATTGACAGAGCAGTTTTGAAACAGTCTTTCTGTGGAATCTGCAAGTGGATATTTGGATAGCTTGGAGGATTTCGTTGGAAACGGGATTACGTATAAAAAGTAGACAGCAGCATCCTCAGAAACTTCTTTGTGATGTGTGCATTCAAGTCACAGAGTTGAACATTCCTTTTCGTACAGCAGTTTTGAAACACTCTTTCTGTAGTATCTGGAAGTGAACATTAGGACAGCTTTCAGCTCTATGGTGAGAAAGGAAATATCTTCAAATAAAAACTAGACAGAAGCATTCTCATAAACTTGTTTGTGATGTGTCAACTCAGCTAACAGAGGTGGATCTTTCTTTTGATAGAGCAGTTCTGAAAAACACTTTTTGTTGAATCTGCAAGTGGAGATTTGGATAGATTTGAAGATTTCGTTGGAAACGGGAATATCTTCATATCAAATCTAGACAGAAGCATTCTCAGAAACGTCTTTGCGATGTTTGCATTCAACTCATAGAGTTGAACATTCCCTTTCAGAGAGCAGCTTTGAGGCACTCTTTTTGTAGTATGTGCAAGTGGATATTTGGAGCGCCCTGAGGCCTACGGGGAAAAAGCAAATATCTTCCCATAACCACTAGACAGAAACATTCTCAGAAACTGCTTTATGACGTATGCACTCACCTAACAGAGAAGAACCTTCCTTTTGACAGAGCAGTTTTGATACACTCTTTTTGTAGAATCAGCAAGTGGATATTTGGATAGCTGTGAAGATTTCGTTGGAAACGGGAATATCTTCCTATAAAATCTAGACAGAAGCATTCTCAGAAACTGCCCTGTGATGTCTGCATTCAAGTCACAGAGTTGAACATTGCCTTTCATAGAGCAGGTTTGAAACGCTCTTTTTGTAGTATATGGAAGTAGACGTTTCGGACGGTTTGAGGCCCATGGTGATAAAGGGAATATCTTCCCCTACAAGCTAGAAAGAAGCATTCTGTGAAACTTGTTTGTGATGTGTATACTCAACTAACAGAGTTGAACCTTTCTTTTTACAGAGCAGTTTTGAAACACTCTTTTTGTAGAATCTGCGAGGGGATATTTGGATAGATTTCAGGATTTCGTTGGAAACGGGAATATCTTCATTTAAAATCTCGACAGAAGCATTCTCAGAAACTTCTTTGTGATATCTGCCTTCAAGTCACAGAGTTGAATATTCCCTTTCGCAGAGTAGGTTTGAAACACTCTTTTTGTAGTATCTGGAAGTGGACAATTGGAGCTCCTTGACACCTACGGTGAAAAGGGAAATATCTTCCCATAAATACTAGACAGAAGCAATCTCAGAATCTTCTTTGGGATATGTGCACGCAGCTAACAGAGTTGAACCTTTCTATTGACAGAGCAGTTTTGAAACAGTCTTTCTGTGGAATCTGCAAGTGGATATTTTGATAGATTGGAGGATTTCGTTGGAAACGGGATTACGTATAAAAAGTAGACAGCAGCATCCTCAGAAACTTCTTTGTGATGTGCGCATTCAAGTCACAGAGTTGAATATTCCCTTTCGTACAGCATTTTTGAAACACTCTTTCTGTAGTATCTGGAAGTGAACATTAGGACAGCTTTCAGGTCTATGGTGAGAAAGGAAATATCTTCAAATAAAAACTAGACAGAAGCATTCTCATAAACATGTTTGCGATGTCTGAACTCAGCTAACAGAGGTGGATCTTTCTTTTGATAGAGCAGTTCTGAAAAACACTTTTCGTTGAATCTGCAAGTGGACATTTGGATAGATTTGAAGATTTCGTTGGAAACGGGAATATCTTCATATCAAATCTAGACAGAAAGCATTCTCGGAAACGTCTTTGTGATGTTTGCATTCAACTCATAGTATTTGAACATTCCGTTTCAGAGAGCAGCTTTGAGGCACTCATTTTGTAGTATGTGCAAGTGGATATTGGGAGCGCTCTGAGGCCTTCGGTGAAAAAGCAAATATCTTCCCATAACCACTAGACAGAAACATTCTCAGAAACTCGTTTATGACGTATGCACTCACCTAACAGAGAAGAACCTTCCATTTGACAGAGCAGTTTTGATGCACTCTTTTTGTAGAATCTGCAAGTGGATATTTGGATAGCTGTGAAGATTTTGCTGGAAACGGGAATATCTTCCTATAAAATCTAGACAGAAGCATTCTCAGAAACTGCTCTGTGATGTCTGCATTCAAGTCACAGAGTTGAACATTGCCTTTCATGGAGCAGGTTTGAAACGCTCTTTTTGTAGTATATGGAAGTGGACGATTCGGATGGTTTGAGGCCCATGGTGATAAAGGGAATATCTTCCCCTACGAGCTAGAAAGAAGCATTCTGTGAAACTTGTTTGTGATGTGTGTACTCAACTAACAGAGTTGAACCTTTCTTTTTACAGAGCAGTTTTGAAACACTCTTTTTGTAGAATCTGCGAGGGGAAGTTTGGATAGATTTCAGGATTTAGTTGGAAACGGGAATATCTTCATATAAAATCTCGACAGAAGCATTCTCATAAGCTTCTTTGTGATATGTGCATTCAAGTCACAGAGTTGAATATTCCCTTTCACAGAGTAGGTTTGAAACACTCTTTTTGTAGTATCTGAAGTGGACATTTGGAGCGCCTTGACGCCTACGGTGAAAAGGGAAATACCTTCTCATAAAAAGTAGACAGAAGCAATCTCAGAATCTTCTTTGGGATATATGCACGCAGCTAACAGAGTTGAACCTTTCTATTGACAGAGCAGTTTTGAAACAGTCTTTCTGTGGAATCTGCAAGTGGATATTTGGATAGCTTGGAGGATTTCGTTGGAAACGGGATTACGTATAAAATGTAGAAAGCCGCATCCTCAGAAACTTCTTTGTGATGTGTGCATTCAAGTCACAGAGTTGAATATTCCCTTTCGTACAGCAGTTTTGAAACACTCTTTCTGTAGTATCTGGAAGTGAACATTAGGACAGCTTTCAGGTCTATGGTGAGAAAGGAAATATCTTCAAATAAAAACTAGACAGAAGCAGTCTGATAAACTTGTTTGTGAAGTGTGAACTCAGCTAACAGAGGTGGATCTTTCTTTTGATACAGCAGTTTTGAAAAACACTTTGTTGAATCTGCAAGTGGACATTTGTATAGATTTGAAAATTTCGTTGGAAACGGGAATATCTTCATATCAAATCTAGACAGAAGCATTCTCAGAAACGTCTTTGTGATGTTTGCATTCAACTCATAGAGTTGAACATTCCGTTTCAGAGAGCAGCTTTGAAGCACTCTTTTTGTAGTATGTGCAAGTGGACATTTGGAGCGCTTTGAGGCCTACGGTGAAAAAGCAAATATGCTTCCCATAACCACTAGACAGAAACATTCTCAGAAACTCCTGTATGACGTATGCACTCACCTAACAGAGAAGAACCTTCCTTTTGACAGAGCAGTTTTGATACACTCTTTTTGTAGAATCTGCAAGTGGATATTTGGATAGCTGTGAAGGTTTCGTTGGAAACGGGAATATCTTCCTATAAAATCTAGACAGAAGCATTCTCAGAAACTGCTGCTGTGATGTCTGCATTCAAGTCACAGAGTTGAACATTGCCTTTCATAGAGCAGGTTTGAAACGCTCTTTTTGTAGTATATGGAAGTAGACGTTTCGGACGGTTTGAGGCCCATGGTGATAAAGGGAATATCTTCCCCTACAAGCTAGAAAGAAGCATTCTGTGAAACTTGTTTGTGATGTGTGTACTCAACTAACAGAGTTGAACCTTCCTTTTTACAGAGCAGTTTTGAAACACTCTTTTTGTAGAATCTGCGAGGGGATATTTGGATAGATTTCAGGATTTCGTTGGGAACGGGAATATCTTCATATAAAATCTCGACAGAAGCATTCTCAGAAACTTCTTTGTGATATGTGCATTCAAGTCACAGAGTTGAATATTCCCTTTCACAGAGTAGGTTTGAAACACTCTTTTTGTAGTATCTGGAAGTGGACATTTGGAGCGCCTTGACGCCTACGGTGAAAAGGGAAATATCTTCCCATAAAAACGAGACAGAAGCAATCTCAGAATCTTCTTTGGGATATATGCACGCAGCTAACAGTGTTGAACCTTTCTATTGACAGAGCAGTTTTGAAACAGTCTTTCTGTGGAATCTGCAAGTGGATATTTGGATAGCTTGGAGGATTTCGTTGGAAACGGGATTACGTATAAAAAGTAGACAGCAGCATCCTCAGAAACTTCTTTGTGATGTGTGCATTCAAGTCACAGAGTTGAACATTCCCTTTCGTACACCAGTTTTGAAAGACTCTTTCTGTAGCATCTGGAAGTGAACATTAGGACAGCTTTCAGGTCTATGGTGAGAAAGGAAATATCTTCAAATAAAAACTAGACAGAAGCATTCTCATAAACTTGTTTGTGATGTGTGAACTCAGCTAACAGAGGTGGATCTTTCTTTTGATAGAGCAGTTCTGAAAAACACTTTTTGTTGAATCTGCAAGGGGACATTTGGATAGATTTGAAGATTTCGTTGGAAACGGGAATATCTTCATATCAAATGTAGACAGAAGCATTCTCGGAAACGTCTTTGTGATGTTTGCATTCAACTCATAAAGTTGAACATTCCGTTTCAGAGAGCAGCTTTGAGGCACTCTTTTTGTAGTATGTGCAAGTGGATATTTGGAGCGCTCTGAGGCCTTCTGTGAAAAAGCAAATATCTTCCCATAACCACTAGACAGAAAACATTCTCAGAAACTCCTTTATGACGTATGCACTCACCTAACAGAGAAGAACCTTCCTTTTGACAGAGCAGTTTTGATACACTCTTTTTGTAGAATCTGCAAGAGGATATTGGGATAGCTGTGAAGATTTCGTTGGAAACGGGAATATCTTCCTATAAAATCTAGACAGAAGCATTCTCAGAAACTGCTCTGTGATGTCTGCATTCAAGTCACAGAGTTGAACATTGCCTTTCATAGAGCAGGTTTGAAACGCTCTTTTTGTAGTATATGGAAGTGGACGTTTCGGACGGTTTGAGGCCCATGGTGATAAAGGGAATATCTTGCCCTACAAGCTAGAAAGACAAGCATTCTGTGAAACTTGTTTGTGATGTGTGTACTCAACTAACAGAGTTGAACCTTTCTTTTTACAGAGCAGTTTTGAAACACTCTTTTTGTAGAATCTGCGAGGGGATATTTGGATAGATTTCAGGATTTCGTTGGAAAGGGGATTATCTTCATATAAAATCTCGACAGAAGCATTCTCAGAAACTTCTTTGTGATATCTGCATTCAAGTCACAGAGTTGAATATTCCCTTTCACAGAGTCGGTTTGAAACACTCTTTTTGTAGTATCTGGAAGTGGACATTTGGAGCGCCTTGACGCCTACAGTGAAAAGGGAAATATCTTCCCATAAAAACTAGACAGAAGAAATCTCAGAATCATCTTTGGGATATATGCACGCAGCTAACAGAGTTGAACCTTTCTATTGACAGAGCAGTTTTGAAACAGTCTTTCTGTGGAATCTGCAAGTGGATATTTGGATAGCTTGGAGGATTTCGTTGGAAACGGGATTACGTATAAAAAGTAGACAGCAGCATCCTCAGAATCTTCTTTGTGATGTGTGCATTCAAGTCAAAGAGTTGAACATTCCCTTTCGTACAGCAGTTTTGAAACACTCTTTCTGTAGTATCTGGAAGTGAACATTAGGACAGCTTTCAGGTCTATGGTGAGAAAGGAAATATCTTCAAATAAAAACTAGACAGAAAGCATTCTCAAGAACTTGTTTGTTATGTGTGAACTCAGCTAACAGAGGTGGATGTTTCTTTTGATAGAGCAGTTCTGAAAAACACGTTTTGTTGAATCTGCAAGTGGACATTTGGATAGATTTGAAGATGTCGTTGGAAACGGGAATATCTTCATATCAAATCTAGACAGAAGCATTCTCAGAAACGTCTTTGTGATGTTGGCATTCAACTCATAGAGTTGAACATTCCGTTTCAGAGAGCAGCTTTGAGGCACTCTTTTTGTAGTATGTGCAAGTGGATATTTTGAGCGCTCTGAGGCCTACGGTGAAAAAGCAAATATCTTCCCATAACCACTAGACAGAAACATTCTCAGAAACTCCTTTATGACGTATGTACTCAACTAACAGAGAAGAACCTTCTTTTTGACAGAGCATTTTTGATACACTCTTTTTGTAGAATCTCCAAGTGGATATTTGGATAGCTGTGAAGATTTCGTTGGAAACGGGAATATCTTCCTATAAAATCTAGACAGAAGCATTCTCAGAAACTGCTCTGTGATGTCTGCATTCAAGTCACAGAGTTGAACATTGCCTTTCATAGAGCAGGTTTGAAACGCTCTTTTTTTAGTATATGGAAGTTGACGTTTCGGACGGTTTGAGGCCCATGGTGATAAAGGGAATATCTTCCCCTACAAGCTAGAAAGAAGCATTCTGTGAAACTTGTTTGTGATGTGTGTACTCAACTAACAGAGTTGAACCTTTCTTTCTACAGAGCAGTTTTGAAACACTCTTTTTGTAGAATCTGCGAGGGGATATTTGGATAGATTTCAGGATTTCGTTGGAAAGGGGAATATCTTCATATAAAATCTCGACAGAAGCATTCTCAGAAACTTCTTTGTGATATGTGCATTCAAGTCACAGAGTTGAATATTCCCTTTCACAGAGTAGGTTTGAAACACTCTTTTTGTAGTATCTGGAAGTGGACATTTGGAGCGCCTTGACGCTTACGGTGAAAAGGGAAATATCTTCCCATAAAAACTAGACAGAAGCAATCTCAGAATCTTCTTTGGGATATATGCACGGAGCTAACAGAGTTGAACCTTTCTATTGACAGAGCAGTTTTGAAACAGTCTTTCTGTGGAATCTGCAAGTGGATATTTGGATAGCTTGGAGGATTTCGTTGGAAACGGGATTACGTATAAAAAGTAGACAGCAGCATCCTCCGAAACTTCTTTGTGATGTGTGCATTCAAGTCACAGAGTTGAACATTCCCTTTCGTACAGCAGTTTGGAAACACTCTTTCTGTAGTATCTGGAAGTGAACATTAGGACAGCTTTCAGCTCTATGGTGAGAAAGGAAATATCTTCAAATAAAAACTAGACAGAAGCATTCTCATAAACTTGTTCGTAATGTGTGAACTCAGCTAACACACGTGGATCTTTCTTTTGATAGAGCAGTTCTGAAAAACACTTTTTGTTGAATCTGCAAGTGCACATTTGGATAGATTTGAAGATTTCGTTGGAAACGGGAATATCTTCATATCAAATCTAGACAGAAGCATTCTCAGAAACGTCTTTGCGATGTTTGCATTCAACTCATAGATTTGAACATTCCGTTTCAGAGAGCAGCTGTGAGGCACTCTTTTTGTAGTATGTGCAAGTGGATATTTGGAGCGCTCTGAGGCCTACGGTGAAAAAGCAAATATCTTCCCATAACCACTAGACAGAAGCATTCTCAGAAACTCCTTTATGAAGTATGTACTCAACTAACAGAGAAGAACCTTCCTTTTGACAGAGCAGTTTTGATACACTCTTTTTGTAGAATCTGCAAGTGGATATTTGGATAGCTATGAAGATTTCGTTGGAAACGGGAATATCTTCCTATAAAATCTAGACAGAAGCATTCTCAGAAACTGCTCTGTGATGTCTGCATTCAAGTCACAGAGTTGAACATTGCCTTTCATAGAGCAGGTTTGAAACGCTCTTTTTGTATTATATGGAAGTGGACTTATCGGACGGTTTGAGGCCCATGGTGATAAAGGGAATATCTTCCCCTACAAGCTAGAAAGAAGCATTCTATGAAACTTGTTTGTGATGTGTGTACTCAACTAACAGAGTTGAACCTTTCTTTTTACAGAGCAGCTTTGAAACACTCTTTTTGTAGAATCTGCGAGGGGATATTTGGATAGATTTCAGGATTTCGTTGGAAACGGGAATATCTTCATATAAAATCTCGACAGAAGCATTCTCAGAAACTTCTTTGTGATATGTGCATTCAAGTCACAGAGTTGAATATTCGCTTTCACAGAGGAGGTTTGAAACACTCTTTTTGTAGTATCTGGAAGTGGACATTTGGAGCGCCTTGACGCCTACGGTGAAAAGGGAAATATCTTCCCATAAAAACTAGACAGAAGCAATCTCAGAATCTTCTTTGGGATATATGCACGCAGCTAACAGAGTTGAACCTTTCTATTGACAGAGCAGTTTTGAAACAGTCTTTCTGTGGAATCTGCAAGTGGATATTTGGATAACTTGGAGGATTTCGTTGGAAACGGGATTAAGTATAAAAAGTAGACAGCAGCATCCTCAGAAACTTCTTTGAGATGTGTGCATTCAAGTCACAGAGTTGAACATTCCCTTTCGTACAGCAGTTTTGAAACACTCTTTCTGTAGTAACTGGAAGTGAACATTAGGACAGCTTTCAGGTCTATGGTGAGAAAGGAAATATCTTCAAATAAAAACTAGACAGAAGCTTTCTGATAAACTTGTTTGTGAAGTGTGAACTCAGCTAACAGAGGTGGATCTTTCTTTTGATACAGCAGTTTTGAAAAACACTTTGTTGAATCTGCAAGTGGACATTTGGATAGATTTGATGATTTCGTTGGAAACGGGAATATCTTCATATCAAATCTAGACAGAAGCATTCTCAGAAACGTCTTTGTGATGTTTGCATTCAACTCATAGAGTTGAACATTCCGTTTCAGAGAGGAGGTTTGAAGCACTCTTTTTGTAGTATGTGCAAGTGGATATTTGGAGCGCTCTGAGGCCTACGGTGAAAAAGCAAATATCTTCCCATAACCACTAGACAGAAACATTCTCAGAAACTCCTTTATGACGTATGCACTCACCTAACAGAAAAGAACCTTCCTTTTGACAGAGCAGTTTTGATACACTCTTTTTGTGGAATCTGCAAGTGGATATTTGGATAGCTGTGAAGATTTCGTTGGAAACGGGAATATCTTCCTATAAAATCTAGACAGAAGCATTCTGTGAAACTTGTTTGTGATGTGTGTACTCAACTAACAGAGTTGAACCTTTCTTTTTACAGAGCAGTTTTGAAACACTCTTTTTGTAGAATCTGCGAGGGGATATTTGGATACATTTCAGCATTTCGTTGGAAACGGGAATATCTTCATATAAAATGCTCGACAGAAGCATTCTCAGAAACTTCTTTTTGATATGTGCATTCAAGTCACAGAGTTGAATATTCCCTTTCACAGAGTAGGTTTGAAACACTCTTTTTGTAGTATCTGGAAGTGGACATTTGGAGCGCCTTGACGCCTACGGTGAAAAGGGAAATATATTCCCATAAAAACTAGACAGAAGCAATCTCAGAATCTTCTTTGGGATATATGCACGCAGCTAACAGAGTTGAACCTTTCTATTGACAGAGCAGTTTTGAAAAAGTCTTTCTGTGGAATCTGCAAATGGATATTTGGATAGCTTGGAGGATTTCGTTGGAAACGGGATTACGTATAAAAAGTAGCCAGCAGCATTCTCAGAAACTTCGTTGTGATGTGTGCATTCAAGTCACAGAGTTCAACATTCCCTTTCGTAGAGCAGGTTTGAAACACTCTTTCTCTAGTATCTGGAAGTGAACGTTACGAGAGCTTTCAGGTCTATGGTGAGAAAGAAAATATCTTCAAATAAAAACTAGACAGAAGCATTCTCATAAACTTGTTTGTGATGTGTGAACTCAACTAACAGAGGTGGATCTTTCTTTTCATATAGCAGTTTTGAAAAACACTTTTTGTTGAATCTGCAAGTGGACATTTGGATAGATTTGAAGATTTCGTTGGAAACGGGAATATCTTCATATCAAAACTAGACAGAAGCATTCTCAGAAACGTCTTTGTGATGTTTGCATTCAACTCATAGAGTTGAACATTCCCTTTCAGAGAGCAGCTGTGAAGCACTCTTTTTGTAGTATGTGCAAGTGGATATTTGGAGCGCTACTGAGGCCTACGGTGAAAAAGCAAATATCTTCCCATAACCACTAGACAGAAACATTCTCAGAAACTCCTTTATGATGTATGCACTCACCTAACAGAGAAGAACCTTCCTTTTGACAGAGCAGTTTTGATACACTCTTTTTGTAGAATCTGCAAGTGGATATTTGGATAGCTGTGAAGATTTCGTTGGAAACGGGAATATCTTCCTATAAAATCTAGACAGAAGCATTCTCAGAAACTGCTCTGTGATGTCTGCATTCAAGTCACAGAGTTGAACATTGCCTTTCATAGAGCAGGTTTGAAATGCTCTTTTTGTAGTATATGGAAGTGGACGTTTCACACGGTTTGAGGCCGATGGTGATAAAGGGAATATCTTCCCCTACAAGCTAGAAAGAAGCATTCTGTGAAACTTGTTTGTGATGTGTGTACTCAACTAACAGAGTTGAACCTTTCTTTTTACAGAGCAGTTTTGAAACACTCTTTTTGTAGAATCTGCGAGGGGATATTTGGATAGATTTCAGGATTTCGTTGTAAACGAGAATATCTTCATATAAAATCTCGACAGAAGCATTCTCAGAAACTTCTTTGTGATATGTGCATTCAAGTCACAGAGTTGAATATTCCCTTTCACAGAGTAGGTTTGAAACACTCTTTTTGTAGTATCTGGAAGTGGACATTTGGAGCGCCTTGACGCCTACGGTGAAAAGGGAAATATCTTCCCATACAAACTAGACCGAAGCAATCTCAGAATCTTCTTTGGGATATATGCACGCAGCTAACAGAGTTGAACCTTTCTATTGACAGAGCAGTTTTGAAACAGTCTTTCTGTGGAATCTGCAAGTGGATATTTGGATAGATTCGAGGATTTCGTTGGAAACGGGATTACGTATAAAAAGTAGACAGCAGCATCCTCAGAAACTTCTTTGTGATGTGTGCATTCAAGTCACAGAGTTGAACATTCCCTTTCGTACAGCAGTTTTGAAACACTCTTTCTGTAGTATCTGGAAGTGAACATTAGGACAGCTTTCAGGTCTATGGTGAGAAAGGAAATATCTTCAAATAACAACTAGACAGAAGCATTCTCATCAACTTGTTTGTGATGTGTGAACTCAGCTAACAGAGGTGGATCTTTCTTTTGATAGAGCAGTTCTGAAAAACACGTTTTGTTGAATCTGCAAGTGGACATTTGGATAGATTTGAAGATTTCGTTGGAAACGGGAATATCGTCATATCAAATCTAGACAGAAGCATTCTCAGAAACGTCTTTGTGATGTTTGCATTCAACCCATAGAGTTGAACATTCCGTTTCAGAGAGCAGCTTTGAGGCACTCTTTTTGTAGTATGTGCAAGTGGATATTTGGTGCGCTGTGAGGCCTACGGTGAAAAAGCAAATATCTTCCCAAAACCACTAGACAGAAACATTCTCAGAAACTCCTTTATGACGTATGCACTCACCTAACAGAGAAGAACCTTCCTTTTGACAGACCAGTTTTGATACACTCTTTTTGTAGAATCTGCAAGTGGATATTTGGATAGCTGTGAAGATTTCGTTGGAAACGGGAATATCTTCCTATAAAATCTAGACAGAAGCATTCTCAGAAACTGCTCTGTGATGTCTGCATTCAAGTCACAGAGTTGAACATTGCGTTTCATAGAGCAGGTTTGAAACTCTCTTTTTGTAGTATATGGAAGTGGACGTTTCGGACGGTTTGAGGCCCATGGTGATAAAGGGAATATCTTCCCCTACAAGCTAGAAAGAAGCATTCTGTGAAACTTGTTTGTGATGTGTGTACTCAAGTAACAGAGTTGAACCTTTCTTTTTACAGAGCAGTTTTGAAACGCTCTTTCTGTAGAATCTGCGAGGGGATATTTGGATAGATTTCAGGATTTCGTTGGAAACTGGAATATCTTCATATAAAATCTCGACAGAAGCATTCTCAGAAACTTCTTTGTGATATGTGCATTCAAGTCACAGAGTTGAATATTCCCTTTCACAGAGTAGGTTTGAAACACTCTTTTTGTAGTATCTGGAAGTGGACATTTGGAGCGCCTTGACGCCTACGGTGGAAAGGGAAATATCTTCCCATAAAAACTAGACAGAAGCAATCTCAGAATCTTCTTTGGGATATATGCACGCAGTTAACAGAGTTGAACCTTTCTATTGACAGAGCAGTTTTGAAACAGTCTTTCTGTGGAATCTGCAAATGGATATTTGGATAGCTTGGAGGATTTCGTTGGAAACGGGATTATGTATAAAAAGTAGACAGCAGCATCCTTAGAAACTTCTTTGTGATGTGTGCATTCAAGTCACAGAGTTGAACATTCCCTTTCGTACAGCAGTTTTGAAACACTCTTTCTGTAGTATCTGGAAGTGAACATTAGGACAGCTTTCAGCTCTATGGTGAGAAAGGAAATATCTTCAAATAAAAACTAGACAGAAGCATTCTCATAAACTTGTTTGTGATGTGTGATCTCAACTAACAGAGGTGGGTCTTTCTTTTGATACACCAGTTATGAAAAACCCTTTTAATTGAATCTGCAAGTGGACATTTGGATAGATTTGAAGATTTCGTTGGAAACGGGAATATCTTCATATCAAATCTAGACAGAAGCATTCTCAGAAACGTCTTTGTCATGTTTGCATTCAACTCATAGAGTTGAACATTCCGTTTCAGAGAGCAGCTTTGAAGCACTCTTTTTGTAGTATGTGCAAGTGGATATTTGGAGCACTCTGAGGCCTACGGTGAAAAAGCAAATATCTTCCCATAACCACTAGACAGAAACAATCTCAGAAACTCCTTTATGACGTATGCACTCACCTAACAGAGAAGAACCTTCCTTTTCACAGAGCAGTTTTGATACACTCTTTTTGTAGAATCTGCAAGTGGATATTTGGATAGCTGTGAAGATTTCGTTGGAAACGAGAATATCTTCCTATAAAATCTAGACAGAAGCATGCTCAGAAACTGCTCTGTGATGTCTGCATTCAAGTCACAGAGTTCAACATTGCCTTTCATAGAGCAGGTTTGAAACGCTCTTTTTGTAGTATATGGAAGTGGAAATTTCGAGCCGTTTGAGGCCCATGGTGATAAAGGAAATATCTTCCCCTACAAGCTAGAAAGAAGCATTCTGTGAAACTTGTTTGTGATGTGTGTACTCAACTAACAGAGTTGAACCTTTCTTTTTACAGAGCAGTTTTGAAACACTCTTTTTGTGGAATCTGCGAGGGGATATTTGGATAGATTTCAGGATTTCGTTGGAAACGGGAATATCTTAATATAAAATCTCGACAGAAGCATTCTCAGAAACTTCTTTGTGATATCTGCATTCAAGTCACAGAGTTGAATATTCCCTTTCACAGAGTAGGTTTGAAACACTCTTTGTAGTATCTGGAAGTGGACATTTGGAGCACCTTGACACCTACGGTGAAAAGGGAAATATCTTCCCATAAAAACTAGACAGAAGCAATCTCAGAATCTTCTTTGGGATATATGCACGCAGCTAACCGAGTTGAACCTTTCTATTAACAGAGCATTTTTGAAACAGTCTTTCTGTGGAATCTGCAAGTGGATATTTGGATAGCTTGGAGGATTTCGTTGGAAACGGGATTACGTATAAAAAGTAGACAGCAGCATCCTCAGAAACTTCTTTGTGATGTGTGCATTCAAGTCACAGATTTGAACATTCCCTTTCGTACAGCAGTTTTGAAACACTCTTTCTGTAGTATCTGGAAGTGAACATTAGGACAGCTTTCAGCTCTATGGTGAGAAAGGAAATATCTTCAAATAAAAACTAGACAGAAGCATTCTCATAAACTTGTTTGTGATGTGTGAACGCAGCTAACAGAGGTGGATCTTTCTTTTGATACAGCAGTTTTGAAAAACACTTTTTGTTGAATCTGCAAGTGGACATTTGGATAGATTTGAAGATTTCTTTGGAAACGGGAATATCTTCATATCAAATCTAGACAGAAGCATTCTCAGAAACGTCTTTGTGATGTTTGCATTCAACTCATAGCAGTTGAACATTCCGTTTCAGAGAGCAGCTTTGAAGCACTCTTTTTGTAGTATGTGCAAGTGGATATTTGGAGCGCTCTGAGGCCTACGGTGAAAAAGCAAATATCTTCCCATAACCACTAGACAGAAACATTCTCAGAAACTCCTTTATGACGTATGCACTCACCTAACAGAGAAGAACCTTCCTTTTGACAGAGCAGTTTTGATACACTCTTTTTGTAGAATCTGCAAGTGGATATTGGGATAGCTGTGAAGATATCGTTGGAAACGGGAATATCTTCCTATAAAATCTAGACAGAAGCATTCTCAGAAACTGCTCTGTGATGTCTGCATTCAAGTCACAGAGTTGAACATTGCCTTTCCTAGAGCAGGTTTGAAACGCTCTTTTTGTAGTATATGGAAGTGGACGTTTCGGACGGTTTGAGGACCATGGTGATAAAGGGAATATCTTCCCCTGCAAGCTAGAAAGAAGCATTCTGTGAAACTTGTTTGTGATGTGTGTACTCAACTAACAGAGTTGAACCTTTCTTTTTACAGAGCAGTTTTGAAACACTCTTTTTGTAGAATCTGCGAGGGGATATTTGGATAGATTTCAGGATTTCGTTGGAAACGGGAATATCTTCATATAAAAGATCGACAGAAGCATTCTCAGAAACTTCTTTGTGATATGTGCATTCAAGTCACAGAGTTGAACATTCCCTTTCGTACAGCAGTTTTGAAACACTCTTTCTGTAGTATCTGGAAGTGAACATTAGGACAGCTTTCAGCTCTATGGTGAGAAAGGAAATATCTTCAAATAAAAACTAGACAGAAGCATTCTCGTAAACTTGTTTGTGATGTGTGAGCTCAGCTAACAGAGGTGGATCTTTCTTTTGATAGAGCAGTTCTGAAAAACACTTTTTGTTGAATCTGCAAGTGGACATTTGGATAGATTTGAAGATTTCGTTGGAAACGGGAATATCTTCATATCAAATTTTGACAGAAGCATCCTCAGAAACTTCTTTTTGATGTGTGCATTCAAGTCACAGAGTTGAACATTCCCTTTCGTACAGCAGTTTTGAAACACTCTTTCTGTAGTATCTGGAAGTGAACATTAGGACAGCTTTCAGGTCTATGGTGAGAAAGGAAATATCTTCAAATAAAAACTAGACAGAAGCATTCTAATAAACTTGTTTGTGATGTGTGAACTCATCTAACACAGGTGGATCTTTCTTTTGATAGAGCAGTTCTGAAAAACACTTTTTGTTGAATCTGCAAGTGGACATTTGGATAGATTTGAAGATTTCGTTGGAAACGGCAATATCTTCATATCAAATCTAGACAGAAGCATTCTCAGAAACGTCTTTGCGATGTTTGCATTCAACTCATAGAGTTGAACATTCCGTTTCAGAGAGCAGCTTTGAGGCACTCTTTTTGTAGTATGTGCAAGTGGATATTTGGAGCGCTACTGAGGCCTACGGTGAAAAAGCAAATATCTTCCCATAACCACTAGACAGAAACATTCTCAGAAACTCCTTTATGATGTATGCACTCACCTAACAGAGAAGAACCTTCCTTTTGACAGAGCAGTTTTGATACACTCTTTTTGTAGAATCTGCAAGTGGATAGTTGGATAGCTGTGAAGATTTCGTTGCAAACGGGAATATCTTCCTATAAAATCTAGACAGAAGCATTCTCAGAAACTGCTCTGTGATGTCTGCATTCAAGTCACAGAGTTGAACACTGCCTTTCCTAGAGCAGGTTTGAAACGCTCTTTTTGTAGTATATGGAAGTGGACGTTTCGGACGGTTTGAGGCCCATGGTGATAAAGGGAATATCTTCCCCTACAAGCTAGAAAGAAGCATTCTGTGAAACTTGTTTGTGATGTGTGTACTCAACTAACAGAGTTGGACCTTTCTTTTTACAGAGCAGTTTTGAAACACTCTTTTTGTAGAATCTGTGAGGGGATATTTGGATAGATTTCAGGATTTCGTTGGAAACGAGAATATCTTCATATAAAATCTCGACAGAAGCATTCTCAGAAACTTCTTTGTGATATGTGCATTCAAGTCACAGAGTTGAATATTCCCTTTCACAGAGTAGGTTTGAAACACTCTTTTTGTAGTATCTGGAAGTGGACATTTGGAGCGCCTCGACGCCTACGGTGAAAAGGGAAATATCTTCCCATAAAAACTAGACAGAAGCAATCTCAGAATCTTCTTTGGGATATATGCACGCAGCTAACAGAGTTGAACCTTTCTATTGACAGAGCAGTTTTGAAACAGTATTTCTGTGGAATCTGCAAGTGGATATTTGGATAGCTTGGAGGATTTCGTTGGAAACGGGATTACGTATAAAAAGTAGACAGCAGCATCCTCAGAAACTTCTTTGTGATGTGGGCATTCAAGTCACAGAGTTGAACATTCCCTTTCGTACATCAGTTTTGAAACGCTCTTTCTGTAGTATCTGGAAGTGAACATTAGGACAGCTTTCAGGTCTATGGTGAGAAAGGAAATATCTTCAAATAAAAACTAGACAGAAGCATTCTCATCAACTTCTTTGTGATGTGTGAACTCAGCTAACAGAGGTGGATCTTTCTTTTGATAGAGCAGTTCTGAAAAACACTTTTTGTTGAATCTGCAAGTGGACATTTGGATAGATTTGAAGATTTCGTTGGAAACGGGAATATCTTCATATCAAATCTAGACAGAAGCATTCTCAGAAACGTCTTTGTGATGTTTGCATTCAACTCATAGATTTGAACATTCCGTTTCAGAGAGCAGCTTTGAGGCACTCTTTTTGTAGTATGTGCAAGTGGATATTTGGAGCGCTCTGAGGCCTACGGTGAAAAAGCAAATATCTTCCCATAACCACTAGACAGAAACATTCTCAGAAACTCCTTTGTGACGTATGCACTCAAGTAACAGAGAAGAACCTTCCTTTTGACAGAGCAGTTTTGATACACTCTTTTTGTAGAATCTGCAAGTGGATATTTGGATAGCTGTGAAGATTTCGTTGGAAACGGGAATATCTTCCTATGAAATCTAGACAGAAGCATTCTCAGAAACTGCTCTGTGATGTCTGCATTCAAGTCACAGAGTTGAACATTGCCTTTCATAGAGCAGGTTTGAAACGCTCTTTTTGTAGTATATGGAAGTGGATGTTTCGGACGGTTGGAGGTCCATGGTGATAAAGGGAATATCTTCCCCTACAAGCTAGAAAGAGAAGCATTCTGTGAAACTTGTTTGTGATGTGTGTACTCAACTAACAGAGTTGAACCTTTCTTTTTACAGAGCAGTTTTGAAACACTCTTTTTGTAGAATCTGCGAGGGGATATTTCGATAGATTTCAGGATTTCGTTGGAAACGGGAATATCTTCATATAAAATCTCGACAGAAGCATTCTCAGGAACTTCTTTGTGATATCTGCATTCAAGTCACAGAGTTGAATATTCCCTTTCACAGAGTAGGTTTGAAACACTCTTTTTGTAGTATCTGGAAGTGGACATTTGGAGCGCCTTGACGCCTACGGTGAAAAGGGAAATATCTTCCCATAAAAACTAGACAGAAGCAATCTCAGAATCTTCTTTGAGATATATGCACGCAGCTAATAGAGTTGAACCTTTCTATTGACAGAGCAGTTTTGAAACAGTCTTTCTGTGGAATCTGCAAGTGGATATTTGGATAGCTTGGAGGATTTCGTTGGAAACGGGATTACGTATAAAAAATAGACAGCAGCATCCTCAGAAACTTCTTTGTGATGTGTGCATTCAAGTCACAGAGTTGAACATTCCCTTTCGTGCAGCAGTTTTGAAACACTCTTTCTGTAGTATCTGGAAGTGAACATTAGGACAGCTTTCAGGTCTATGGTGAGAAAGGAAATATCTTCAAATAAAAACTAGACAGAAGCATACTCATAAACTTGTTTGTGATGTGTGAACTCAGCTAACAGGGGTGGATCTTTCTTTTGATAGAGCAGTTCTGAAAAACACTTTTTGTTGAATCTGCAAGTGGACATTTGGATAGATTTGAAGATTTCGTTGGAAACGGGAATATCTTCATATCAAATCTAGACAGAAGCATTCTCAGAAACGTCTTTGTGATGTTAGCATTCAACTCATAGAGTTGAACATTCCCTTTCAGAGAGCAGCTTTGAAGCACTCTTTTTGTAGTATGTGCAAGTGGACATTTGGAGCGCTTTGAGGTCTACGGGGAAAAAGCAAATATCTTCCCATAACCACTAGACAGGAACATTCTCAGAAACTCCTTTATGACGTATGCACACACCTAACAGAAAAGAACCTTCCTTTTGACAGAGCAGTTTTGATACACTCTTTTTGTAGAATCTGCAAGTGGATATTTGGATAGCTGTGAAGATTTCGTTGGAAACGGGAATATCTTCCTATAAAATCTAGACAGAAGCATTCTCAGAAACTGCTCTGTGATGTCTGCATTCAAGTCACAGAGTTGAACATTGCCTTTCATAGAGCAGGTTTGAAACGCTCTTTTTGTAGTATATGGAAGTGGACTTTTCGGACGGTTTGAGGCCCATGGTGATAAAGGGAATATACTTCCCCTACAAGCTAGAAAGAAAGCATTCTGTGAAACTTGTTTGTGAGGTGTGTACTCAACTAACAGAGTTGAACCTTTCTTTTTACAGAGCAGTTTTGAAACACTCTTTTTGTAGAATATGTGAGGGGATATTTGGATAGATTTCAGGATTTCGTTGGAAACGGGAATATCTTCATATAAAATCTCGACAGAAGCATTCTCAGAAACTTCTTTGTGATATGTGCATTCACGTCACAGAGTTGAATATTCCCTTTCACAGAGTAGGTTTGAAACACTCTTTTTGTAGTATCTGGAAGTGGACATTTGGAGCGCCTTGACACCTACGGTGAAAAGGGAAATATCTTCCCATAAAAACTAGACAGAAGCAATCTCAGAATCTTCTTTGGGATATATGCCCGCAGCTAACAGAGTTGAACCTTTCTATTGACAGAGCAGTTTTGAAACAGTCTTTCTGTGGAATCTGCAAGTGGATATTTGGATAGCTTGGAGGATTTCGTTGGAAACGGGATTACGTATAAAAAGTAGACAGCAGCATCCTCAGAATCTTCTTTGTGATGTGTGCATTCAAGTCACAGAGTTGAACATTCCCTTTCGTACAGCAGTTTTGAAACACTCTTTCTGTAGTATCTGGGAGTGAACATTAGGACAGCTTTCAGGTCTATGGTGAGAAAGGAAATATCTTCAAATAAAAACTAGACAGACAAGCATTCTCATAAACTTGTTTGTGATGTGTGAACTCAGCTAACAACGGTGGATCTTTCTTTTGATAGAGCAGTTCTGAAAAACACTTTTTGTTGAATCTGCAAGTGGACATTTGGATAGTTTTGAAGATTTCCTTGGAAAAGGGAATATCTTCATATCAAATCTAGACAGAAGCATTCTCAGAAACGTCTTTGCGATGTTTGCATTCAACTCATAGAGTTGAACATTCCGTTTCAGAGAGCAGTTTGAGGCACTCTTTTTGTAGTATGTGCAAGTGGATATTTGGAGCGCTCTGAGGCCTACGGTGAAAAAGCAAATATCTTCCCATAACCACTAGACAGAAACATTCTCAGAAACTCCTTTATGACGTATGCACTCACCTAACAGAGAAGAACCTTCCTTTTGACAGAGCAGTTTTGATACACTCTTTTTGTAGAATCTGCAAGTGGATATTTGGATACCTGTGAAGATTTTGTTGGAAACGGGAATATCTTCCTATAAAATCTAGACAGAAGCATTCTCAGAAACTGCTCTCTGATGTCCGCATTCAAGTCACAGGAGTTGAACATTGCCTTTCCTAGAGCAGGTTTGAAACGCTCTTTTGGTAGTATATGGAAGTGGACGTTTCGGACGGTTTGAGGCCCATGGTGATAAAGGGAATATCTTCCCCTACAAGCTAGAAAGAAGCATTCTGTGAAATTGTTTGTGATGTGTGTACTCAACTAACAGAGTTGAACCTTTCTTTTTACAGAGCAGTTTTGAAACACTCTTTTTGTAGAATCTGCGAGGGGATATTTGGATAGATTTCAGGATTTCGTTGGAAACGGGAATATCTTCATATAAAATCTCGACAGAAGCATTCTCAGAAACTTCTTTGTGATATGTGCATTCAAGTCACAGAGTTGAATATTCCCTTTCACAGAGTAGGTTTGAAACAATCTTTTTGTAGTATCTGGAAGTGGACATTTGGAGCGCCTTGACGCCTACGGTGAAAAGGGAAATATCTTCTCATAAAAAGTAGACAGAAGCAATCTCAGAATCTTCTCTGGGATATATGCACGCAGCTAACAGAGTTGAACCTTTCTATTGACAGAGCAGTTTTGAAACAGTCTTTCTGTGGAATCTGCAAGTGGATATTTGGATAGCTTGGAGGATTTCGTTGGAAACGGGATTACGTATAAAAAGTAGACAGCAGCATCCTCAGAAACTTCTTTGTGATGTGTGCATTCAAGTCACAGAGTTGAACATTCCCTTTCGTACAGCAGTTTTGAAACACTCTTTCTGTAGTATCTGGAAGTGAACATTAGGACAGCTTTCAGCTCTATGGTGAGAAAGGAAATATCTTCAAATAAAAACCAGACAGAAGCATTCTCATAAACTTGTTTGTGATGTGTGAACTCAGCTAACAGACGTGGATCTTTCTTTTGATACAGCAGTTCTGAAAAACACTTTTTGTTGAATCTGCAAGTGGACATTTGGATAGATATGAAGATTTCGTTGGGAAACGGGAATATCTTCATATCAAATCTAGACAGAAGCATTCTCAGAAACGTCTTTGTGATGATTGCATTCAACTCATAGAGTTGAACATTCCGTTTCAGAGAGCAGCTTTGAAGCACTCTTTTTGTAGTATGTGCAAGTGGATATTTGGAGCGCTCTGGGGCCTACGGTGAAAAAGCAAATATCTTCCCATAACCACTAGACAGAAACATTCTCAGAAACTCCTTTATGACGTATGTACTCAACTAACAGAGAAGAACCTTCCTTTTGACAGAGCAGTTTTGATCCACTCTTTTTGTAGAATCTGCAAGTGGATATTTGGATAGCTGTGAAGGTTTCGTTAGAAACGGAAATATCTTCCTATAAAATCTAGACAGAAAGCATTCTCAGAAACTGCTCTGTGATGTCTGCATTCAAGTCACAGAGTTGAACATTGCCTTTCATAGAGCAGGTTTGAAACGCTCTTTTTGTAGTATATTGAAGTGGACGTTTCGGACGGTTTGAGGCCCATGGTGATAAAGGGAATATCTTCCCCTACAAGCTAGAAAGAAGCATTCTGTGAAACTTGTTTCTGATGTGTGTACTCAAGTAACAGAGTTGAACCTTTCTTTTTACAGAGCAGTTTTGAAACACTCTTTCTGTAGAATCTGCGAGGGGATATTTGGATAGATTTCAGGATTTCGTTGGAAACGGGAATATCTTCATATAAAATCTCGACAGAAGCATTCTCAGAAACTTCTTTGTGATATGTGCATTCAAGTCACAGAGTTGAATATTCCCTTTCACAGAGTAGGTTTGAAACACTCTTTTTGTAGTATCTGGAGGTGGACATTTGGAGCGCCTTGACGCCTACGGTGAAAAGGGAAATATCTTCCCATAAAAACTAGACAGAAGCAATCTCAGAATCTTCTTTGTGATATATGCACGCAGCTAACAGAGTTGAACCTTTCTATTGACAGAGCAGTTTTGAAACAGTCTTTCTGTGGAATCTGCAAGTGGATATTTGGATAGCTTGGAGGATTTCGTTGGAAACGGGATTACGTATAAAAAGTAGACAGCAGCATCCTCAGAAACTTCTTTGTGATGTGTGCATTCAAGTCACAGAGTTGAACATTCCCTTTTGTACAGCAGTTTTGAAACACTCTTTCTGTAGTATCTGGAAGTGAACATTAGGACAGCTTTCAGGTCTATGGTGAGAAAGGCAATATCTTCAAATAAAAACTAGACAGAAGCATTCTCATAAACTTGTTTGTGATGTGTGAACTCACCTAAGAGACGTGGATCTTTCTTTTGATAGAGCAGTTCTGAAAAACACTTTTTGTTGAATCTGCAAGTGGACATTTGGATAGATTTGAAGATTTCGTTGGAAACGGGAATATCTTCATATCAAATCTAGACAGAAGCATTCTCAGAAACGTCTTTGTCATGTTTGCATTCAACTCATAGAGTTGAACATTCCCTTTCAGAGAGCAGCTTTGAAGCACTCTTTTTGTAGTATGTGCAAGTGGACATTTGGAGCGCTTTGAGGCCTACGGGGAAAAAGCAAATATCTTCCCATAACCACTAGACAGGAACATTCTCAGAAACTCCTTTATGACGTATGTACTCAACTAAGAGAGAAGAACCTTCCTTTTGACAGAGCAGTTTTGATACACTCTTTTTGTAGAATCTGCAAGTGGATATTTGGATAGCTGTGAAGATTTCGTTGGAAACGGGAATATCTTCCTATAAAATCTAGACAGAAGCATTCTCAGTAAACTGCTCTGTGATGTCTGCATTCAAGTCACAGAGTTGAACATTGCCTTTCATAGAGCAGGTTTGAAACGCTCTTTTTGTAGTATATGGAAGTTGACGTTTCGGACGGTTTGAGGCCCATGGTGATAAAGGGAATATCTTCCCCTACAAGCTAGAAAGAAGCATTCTGTGAAACTTGTTTGTGATGTGTGTACTCAAGTAACAGAGTTGAACCTTTCTTTTTACAGAGCAGTTTTGAAACACTCTTTTTGTAGAATCTGCGAGGGGATATTTGGATAGATTTCAGGATTTCGTTGGAAACGGGAATATCTTCACATAAAATCTCGAAGGAAGCATTCTCAGAAACTTCTTTGTGATATGTGCATTCAAGTCACAGAGTTGAATATTCCCTTTCACAGAGTAGGTTTGAAACACTCTTTTTGTAGTATCTGGAAGTGGACATTTGTAGCGCCTTGACACCTACGGTGAAAAGGGAAATATCTTCCCATAAAAACTAGACAGAAGCAATCTCAGAATCTTCTTTGGGATGTATGCACCCAGCTAACAGAGTTGAACCTTTCTATTGACAGAGCAGTTTTGAAACAGTCTTTTTGTGGAATCTGCAAGTGGATATTTGGATAGCTTGGAGGATTTCGTTGGAAACGGGATTACGTATAAAAAGTAGACAGCAGCATCCTCAGAATCTTCTTTGTGATGTGTGCATTCAAGTCAAAGAGCTGAACATTCCCTTTCGTACAGCAGTTTTGAAACACTCTTTCTCTAGTATCTGGAAGTGAACATTAGGACAGCTTTCAGGTCTATGGTGAGAAAGGAAATATCTTCAAATAAAAACTAGACAGAAGCATTCTCATAAACTTGTTTGTGATGTGTGAACTCAGCTAACAGAGGTGGATCTTTCTTTTGATAGAGCAGTTCTGAAAAACACATTTTGTTGAACCTGCAAGTGGACATTTGGATAGATTTGAAGATTTCGTTGGAAACGGGAATATCTTCATATCAAATCTAGACAGAAGCATTCTCAGCAAACGTCTTTGTGATGTTTGCATTCAACTCATAGAGTTGAACATTCCGTTTCAGAGAGCAGCTTTGAAGCACTCTTTTTGTAGTATGTGCAAGTGGATATTTTGAGCGCTCTGAGGCCTACGGTGAAAAAGCAAATATCTTCCCATAACCACTAGACAGAAACATTCTCAGAAACTTCTTTATGACGTATGTACTCAACTAGCAGAGAAGAACTTTCCTTTTGACAGAGCACTTTTGATACACTCTTTTTGTAGTATCTGCAAGTGGATATTTGGATAGCTGTGAAGATTTCGTTGGAAACGGGAATATCTTCCTATAAAGTCTGGACAGAAGCATTCTCAGAAACTGCTCTGTGATGTCTGCATTGAAGTCACAGAGTTGAACATTGCCTTTCATAGAGCAGGTGTGAGACGCTCTTTTTGTAGTATATGGAAGTGGACGTTTCGGACGGTTTGAGGCCCATGGTGATAAAGGGAATATCTTCCCCTACAAGCTAGAAAGAAGCATTCTGTGAAACTTGTTTGTGATGTGTGTACTCAACTAACAGAGTTGAACCTTTCTTTTTACAGAGCAGTTTTGAAACACTCTTTTTGTAGAATCTGCGAGGGGATATTTGGATAGATTTCAGGATTTCGTTGGAAACGGGGATATCTTCATATAAAATCTCGACAGAAGCATTCTCAGAAACTTCTTTGTGATATCTGCCTTCAAGTCACAGAGTTGAATATTCCCTTTCACAGAGTAGGTTTGAAACACTCTTTTTGTAGTATCCGGAAGTGGACATTTGGAGCGCCTTGACGCCTACGGTGAAAAGGGATATATCTTCCCATAAAAACTAGACAGAAGCAATCTCAGAATCTTCTTTGGGATATATGCACGCAGCTAACAGAGTTGAACCTTTCTATTGACAGAGCAGTTTTGAAACAGTCTTTCTGTGGAATCTGCAAGTGGATATTTGGATAGCTTGGAGGATTTCGTTGGAAACGGGATTACGTATAAAACGTAGACAGCAGCATCCTCAGAAACTTCTTTGTGATGTGTGCATTCAAGTCACAGAGTTGAACATTCCCTTTCGTACAGCAGTTTTGAAACGCTCTTTCTGTAGTATCTGGAAGTGAACTTTAGGACAGCTTTCAGGTCTATGGTGAGAAAGGAAATATCTTCAAATAAAAACTAGACAGAAGCATTCTCATAAACTTGTTTGTGATGTGTGAACTCAGCTAACAGAGGTGGATCTTTCTTTTGAGAGAGCAGTTCTGAAAAACACTTTTTGTTGAATCTGCAAGTGGACATTTGGATAGATTTGAAGATTTCGTTGGAAACGGGAATATCTTCATATCAAATCTAGACAGAAGCATTCTCAGAAACGTCTTTGTGATGTTTGCATTCAACTCATAGAGTTGAACATTCCGTTTCAGAGAGCAGCTTTGAAGCACTCTTTTTGTAGTATGTGCAAGTGGATATTTGGATCGCTGTGAGGCCTAAGGTGAAAAAGCAAATATCTTCCCATAACCACTAGACAGAAACATTCTCAGAAACTCCTTTATGACGTATGCACTCACCTAACAGAAAAGAACCTTCCTTTTGACAGAGCAGTTTTGATACACTCTTTTTGTAGAATCTGCAAGTGGATATTTGGATAGCTGTGAAGGTTTCGTTGGAAACGGGAATATCTTCCTATAAAATCTAGACAGAAGCATTCTCAGAAACTGCTCTGTGATATCTGCATTCAAGTCACAGAGTTGAACATTGCCTTTCCTAGAGCAGGTTTGAAACGCTCTTTTTGTAGTATATGGAAGTGGACGTTTCGGACGGTTTGAGGCCCATGGTGATAAAGGGAATATCTTCCCCTACAAGCTAGAAAGAAGCATTCTGTGAAACTTGTTTGTGATGTGTGTACTCAACTAAGAGAGTTGAACCTTTCTTTTCACAGAGCAGTTTTGAAACACTCTTTTTGTAGAATCTGCGAGGGGATATTTGGATAGATTTCAGGATTTCATTGGAAACGGGAATATCTTCATATAAAATCTCGACAGAAGCATTCTCAGAAACTTCTTTGTGATATGTGCATTCAAGTCACAGAGTTGAATATTCCCTTTCACAGAGTAGGTTCGAAACACTCTTTTTGTAGTATCTGGAAGTGGACATTTGGAGCGCCTTGACGCCTACGGTGAAAAGGGAAATATCTTCCCATAAAAACTAGACAGAAACAATCTCAGAATCTTCTTTGGGATATATGCACGCAGCTAACAGAGTTGAACCTTTCTATTGACAGAGCAGTTTTGAAACAGTCTTTCTGCGGAATCTGCAAGTGGATATTTGGATAGCTTGGAGGATTTCGTTGGAAACGGGATTAGGTATAAAAAGTAGACAGCAGCCTCCTCAGAAACTTCTTTGTGATGTGTGCATTCAAGTCACACAGTTGAACATTCCCTTTCGTACAGCAGTTTTGAAACACTCTTTCTGTAGTATCTGGAAGTGAACATTAGGACAGCTTTCAGGTCTATGGTGAGAAAGGCAATATCTTCAAATAAAAACTAGACAGAAGCATTCTCATAAACTTGTTTGTGATGTGTGAACTCAGCTAACAGAGGTGGATCGTTCTTTTGATAGAGCAGTTCTGAAAAACACTTTTTGTTGAATCTGCAAGTGGACATTTGGATAGATTTGAAGATTTCGTTGGAAACGGGAATATCTTCATATCAAATCTAGACAGAAGCATTCTCAGAAACGTCTTTGTGATGTTTGCATTCAACTCATAGAGTTGAACATTCACTTTCAGAGAGCAGCTTTGAAGCACTCTTTTTGTAGTATGTGCAAGTGGATATTTTGATCGCTCTGTGGCCTACGGTGAAAAAGCAAATATCTTCCCATAACCACTAGACAGAAACATTCTCAGAAACTAATTTATGACGTATATACTCAACTAACAGAGAAGAACCTTCCTTTTGACAGAGCAGTTTTGATACACTCTTTTTGTAGGATCTGCAAGTGGATATTTGGATAGCTGTGAAGATTTCGTTGGAAACGGGAATATCTTCCTATAAAATCTAGACAGAAGCATTCTCAGAAACTGCTCTGTGATGTCTGCATTCAAGTCACAGAGTTGAACATTGCCTTTCATAGAGCAGGTTTGAAATGCTCTTTTTGAAGTATATGGAAGTGGACGTTTCAGACGGTTTGAGGCCCATGGTGATAAAGGGAATATCTTCCCCTACAAGCTAGAAAGAAGCATTCTGTGAAACTTGTTTGTGATGTGTGTACTCAACTAACAGAGTTGAACCTTTCTTTTCACAGAGCAGTTTTGAAACACTCTTTTTGTAGAATCTGCGAGGGGATATTTGGATAGATTTCAGCATTTGGTTGGAAACGGGAATATCTTCATGTAAAATCTCGACAGAAGCATTCTCAGAAACTTCCTTGTGATATGTGCATTCAAGTCACAGACTTGAATATTCCCTTTCACAGAGTAGGTTTGAAACACTCTTTTTGAAGTATCTGGAAGTGGACATTTGGAGCGCCTTGACGCCTACGGTGAAAAGGGAAATATCTTCCCATAAAAACTAGACAGAAGCAATCTCAGAATCTTCTTTGGGATATATACACGCAGCTAACAGAGTTGAACCTTTCTATTGACAGAGCAGTTTTGAAACAGTCTTTCTGTGGAATCTGCAAGTGGATATTTGGATAGCTTGGAGGATTTCGTTGGAAACGGGATTAAGTATAAAAAGTAGACAGCAGCATCCTCAGAAACTTCTTTGTGATGTGTGCATTCAAGTCACAGAGTTGAACATTCCCTTTCGTACAGCAGTTTTGAAACACTCTTTCTGTAGTAACTGGAAGTGAACATTAGGACAGCTTTCAGGTCTATGGTGAGAAACGAAATATCTTCAAATAAAAACTAGACAGAAGCATTCTCGTAAACTTGTTTGTGATGTGTGAACCCAGCTAAAAGAGGTGGATCTTTCTTTTGATAGAGCAGTTCTGAAAAACACTTTTTGTTGAATCTGCAAGTGGACATTTGGATAGATTTGAAGATTTCGTTGGAAACGGGAATATCTTCATATCAAATCTAGACAGAAGCATTCTCAGAGACGTCTTTGTGATGTTTGCATTCAACTCATAGAGTTGAACATTCCCTTTCAGAGAGCAGCTTTGAAGCACACTTTTTGTAGTATGTGCAAGTGGATATTTGGAGCGCTATGAGGCCTACGGTGAAAAAGCAAATATCTTCCCATAACCACTAGACAGAAACATTCTCAGAAACTCCTTTATGACGTATGTACTCAACTAACAGAGAAGAACCTTCCTTTTGACAGAGCAGTTTTGATAGACTCTTTTTGTAGAATCTGCAAGTGGATATTTGGATAGCTGTGAAGATTTCGTTGGAAACGGGAATATCTTCCTATAAAATCTAGACAGAAGCATTCTCAGAAACTGCTCTGTGATGTCTGCATTCAAGTCACAGAGTTGAACATTGCCTTTCATAGAGCAGGTTTGAAACGCTCTTTTTGTAGTATATGGAAGTAGACGTTTCAGACGGTTTGAGGCCCTTGGTGATAAAGGGAATATCTTCCCCTACAAGCTAGAAAGAAGCATTCTGTGAAACTTGTTTGTGATGTGTGTACTCAACTAACAGAGTTGAACCTTTCTTTTTACAGAGCAGTTTTGAAACACTCTTTTTGTAGAATCTGCGAGGGGATATTTGGATAGATTTCAGGAATTTGTTGGAAACCGTAATATCTTTATATAAAATCTCGACAGAAGCATTCTCAGAAACTTCTTTGTGATATCTGCCTTCAAGTCACAGAGTTGAATATTCCCTTTCGCAGAGTAGGTTTGAAACACTCTTTTTGTAGTATCTGGAAGTGGACATTTGGAGCTCCTTGACACCTACGGTGAAAAGGGAAATATCTTCCCATAAATACTAGACAGAAGCAATCTCAGAATCTTCTTTGGGATATATGCACGCAGCTAACAGAGTTGAACCTTTCTATTGACAGAGCAGTTTTGAAACAGTCTTTCTGTGGAATCTGCAAGTGGATATTTGTATAGCTTGGAGGATTTTGTTGGAAACGGGATTACGTATAAAAAGTAGACAGCAGCATCCTCAGAAACTTCTTTGTGATGTGTGCATTCAAGTCACAGAGTTGAACATTCCCTTTCATGCAGCAGTTTTGAAACACTCTTTCTGTAGTATCTGGAAGTGAACATTAGGACAGCTTTCAGGTCTATGGTGAGAAAGGAAATATCTTCAAATAAAAACTAGACAGAAGCATTCTCATAAAGTTCTTTGTGATGTGTGGACTCAACTAACAGAGGTGGATCTTTCTTTTGATACAGCACTTTTGAAAAACACTTTTTGTTGAATCTGCAAGTGGACATTTGGATAGATTGGAAGATTTCGTTGGAAACGGGAATATCTTCATATCAAATCTAGACAGAAGCATTCTCAGAAACGTCTTTGTGATGTTTTCATTCAACTCATAGAGTTGAACATTCCGTTTCAGAGAGCAGCTTTGAGGCACTCTTTTTGTAGTATGTGCAAGTGGATATTTGGAGCGCTCTGAGGCCTACGGTGAAAAAGCAAATATCTTCCCATAACCACTAGTCAGAAACATTCTTAGAAACTCCTTTATGACGTATGTACTCAACTAACAGAGAAGAACCTTCCTTTTGACAGAGCAGTTTTGATACACTCTTTTTGTAGAATCTGCAAGTGCATATTTGGATAGCTGTGAAGATTTCGTTGGAAACGGGAATATCTTCCTATAAAATCTAGACAGAAGCATTCTCAGAAACTGCTCTGTGATGTCTGCATTCAAGTCTCAGAGTTGAACATTGCCTTTCATAGAGCAGGTTTGAAACGCTCTTTTTGTAGTATATGGAAGTAGACGTTTCGGACGGTTTGAGGCCCATGGTGATAAAGGGAATATCTTCCCCTACAAGCTAGAAAGAAGCATTCTGTGAAACTTGTTTGTGATGTGTGTACTCAACTAAGATAGTTGAACCTTTCTTTTCACAGAGCAGTTTTGAAACACTCTTTTTGTAGAATCTGCGAGGGGATATTTGGATAGATTTCAGGATTTCGTTGGAAACGGGAATATCTTCATACAAAATCTCGACAGAATCATTCTCAGAAACTTCTTTGTGATATCTGCATTCAAGTCACAGAGTTGAATATTCCCTTTCACAGAGTAGGTTTGAAACACTCTTTTTGTAGTATCTGGAAGTGGACATTTGGAGCGCCTTGACACCTACGGTGAAAAGGGAAATATCTTCCCATAAAAACTAGACAGAAGCAATCTCAGAATCTTCTTTGGGATATATGCACGCAGATAACAGAGTTGAACCTTTCTATTGACAGAGCAGTTTTGAAACAGTCTTTCTGTGGAATCTGCAAGTGGATATTTGGATAGCTTGGAGGATTTCGTTGGAAACGGGATTACGTATAAAAAGTAGACAGCAGCATCCTGAGAAACTTCTTTGTGATGTGTGCATTGAAGTCACAGAGTTGAACATTCTCTTTCGTACAGCAGTTTTGAAACACTCTTTCTGTAGTATCTGGAAGTGAACATTAGGACAGCTTTCAGGTCTATGGTGAGAAAGGAAATATCTTCAAATAAAAACTAGACAGAAGCATTCTCATAAACTTGTTTGTGATGTGTTAACTCAGCTAACAGAGGTGGATCTTTCTTTTGATAGAGCAGTTCTGAAAAACACTTTTTGTTGAATCTGCAAGTGGACATTTGGATAGATTTGAAGATTTCGTTGGAAACGGGTATATCTTCATATCAAATCTAGACAGAAGCATTCTCAGAAACGTCTTTGTCATGTTTGCATTCAACTCATAGAGTTGAACATTCCGTTTCAGAGAGCAGCTTTGAAGCACTCTTTTTGTAGTA
The DNA here is from genome assembly GCF_000001405.40 of Homo sapiens. Taxonomy (NCBI): domain Eukaryota; kingdom Metazoa; phylum Chordata; class Mammalia; order Primates; family Hominidae; genus Homo; species Homo sapiens. The sequence continues at coordinate 16,645,224 of NC_000013.11, forward strand.
TGTGCAAGCGGATATTTGGAGCGCTACTGAGGCCTACGGTGAAAAAGCAAATATCTTCCCATAACCACTAGACAGAAAACATTCTCAGAAACTTCTTTATGACGTATGTACTCAACTAGCAGAGAAGAACTTTCCTTTTGACAGAGCATTTTTGATACATTCTTTTTGTAGTATCTGCAAGTGGATATTTGGATAGCTGTGAAGATTTCCTTGGAAACGGGAATATCTTCCTATAAAGTCTGGACAGAAGCATTCTCAGAAACAGCTCTGTGATGTCTGCATTCAAGTCACAGAGTTGAACATTGCCTTTCATAGAGCAGGTTTGAAACGCTCTTTTTGTAGTATATTGAAGTGGACTTTTCGGACGGTTTGAGGCCCATGGTGATAAAGGGAATATCTTCCCCTACAAGCTAGAAAGAAGCATTCTGTGATACTTGTTTGTGATGTGTGTACTCAACTAACAGAGTTGAACCTTTCTTTTTAAAGAACAGTTTTGAAACACTCTTTTTGTAGAATCTGCGAGGGGATATTTGGATAGATTTCAGGATTTCGTTGGAAACGGGAATATCTTCATATAAAATCTCGACAGAAGCATTCTCAGAAACTTCCTTGTGATATGTGTATTCAAGTCACAGAGTTGAATATTCCCTTTCACAGAGTAGGTTTGAAACACTCTTTTTGTAGTATCTGGAAGTGGACATTTGGAGCGCCTTGACGCCTACGGTGAAAAAGGAAATATCTTCCCATAAAAACTAGACAGAAGCAATCTCAGAATCTTCTTTGGGATATATGCACGGAGCTAACAGAGTTGAACCTTTCTATTGACAGAGCAGTTTTGAAACAGTCTTTCTGTGGAATCTGCAAGTGGATATTTGGATAGCTTGGAGGTTTTCTTTGGAAACGGGATTACGTATAAAAAGTAGACTGCAGCATCCTCAGAAACTTCTTTGTGATGTGTGCATTCAAGTCACAGTGTTGAACATTCCCTTTCGTACAGCAGTTTTGAAACACTCTTTCTGTAGTATCTGGAAGTGAACATTAGGACAGCTTTCAGGTCTATGGTGAGAAAGGAAATATCTTCAAATAAAAACAAGACAGAAGGCATTCTCATAAACTTGTTTGTGATGTGTGAACTCAGCTAACAGAGGTGTATCTTTCCTTTGATAGAGCAGTTCTGAAAAACACGTTTTGTTGAATCTGCAAGTGGACATTTTGATAGATTTGAAGATTTCGTTGCAAACGGGAATATCTTCATATCAAAGCTAGACAGAAGCATTCTCAGAAACGTCTTTGCGATGTTTGCATTCAACTCATAGTGTTGAACATTCCCTTTCAGAGAGCAGCTTTGAGGCACTCTTTTTGTAGTATGTGCAAGTGGATATTTGGAGCGCTCTGAGGCCTACGGTGAAAAAGCAAATATCTTCCCATAACCACTAGACAGAAACATTCTCAGAAACTCCTTTATGACGTATGCACTCACCTAACAGAGAAGAACCTTCCTTTTGACAGAGCAGTTTTGATACACTCTTTTTGTAGAATCTGTAAGTGGATATTTGGATAGCTGTGAAGATTTTGTTGGAAACGGGAATATCTTCCTATAAAATCTAGACAGAAGCATTCTCAGAAACTGCTCTGTGATGTCTGCATTCAAGTCACAGAGTTGAACATTGCCTTTCATAGAGCAGGTTTGAAACGCTCTTTTTGTAGTATATGGAAGTGGACGTTTCGGACGGTTTGAGGCCCATGGTGATAAAGGGAATATCTTCTCTCTACAAGCTAGAAAGAAGCATTCTGTGAAACTTGTTTGTGATGTGTGTACTCAACTAACAGAGTTGAACCTTTCTTTTTACAGAGCAGTTTTGAAACACTCTTTTTGTAGAATCTGCGATGGGATATTTGGATAGATTTCAGGATTTCGTTGGAAAGGGGAATATCTTCATATAAAATCTCGACAGAAGCATTCTCAGAAACTTCTTTGTGATATGTGCATTCAAGTCACAGAGTTGAATATTCCCTTTCACAGAGTAGGTTTGAAACACTCTTTTTGTAGTATCTGGAAGTGGACATTTGGAGCGCCTTGACGCCTACGGTGAAAAGGAAAATATCTTCCCATAAAAACTAGACAGAAGCAATCTCAGAATCTTCTTTGGGATATATGCACGTAGCTAACAGAGTTGAACCTTTCTATTGACAGAGCAGGTTTGAAACAGTCTTTCTGTGGAATCTGCAAGTGGATATTTGGATAGCTTCGAGGATTTCGTTGGAAACAGGATTACGTAGAAAAAGTAGACAGCAGCATCCTCAGAAACTTCCTTGTGATGTGTGCATTCAAGTCACAGAGTTGAACTTTCCCTTTCGTACAGCAGTTTTGAAACACTCTTTCTGTAGTATCTGGAAGTGAACATTAGGAGAGCTTTCAGGTCTATAGTGAGAAAGGATATATCTTCAAATAAAAACTAGACAGAAGCATTCTCATAAACTTGTTTGTGATGTGTGAACTCAGCTAACAGAGGTGGATCTTTCTTTTGATAGAGCAGTTGTGAAAAACACTTTTTGTTGATTATGCAAGTGGACATTTGGATAGATTTGAAGATTTCGTTGGAAACGGGAATATCTTCATATCAAATCTAGACAGAAGCATTCTCAGAAACGTCTTTGTGATGTTTGCATTCAACTCATAGAGTTGAACATTCCGTTTCAGAGAGCAGCTTTGAGGCACTCTTTTTGTAGTATGTGCAAGTGGATATTTGGAGCGCTCTGAGGCCTACGGTGAAAAAGCAAATATCTTCCCATAGCCACTAGACAGAAACATTCTCAGAAACTCCTTTATGACGTATGCACTCAACTAACAGAGAAAAACCTTCCTTTTGACAGAGCAGTTTTGATACACTCTTTTTGTAGAATCTGCAAGTGGATATTTGGATAGCTGTGAAGTTTTCGATGGAAACGGGAATATCTTCCTATAAAATCTAGACAGAAGCATTCTCAGAAACTGCTCTGTGATGTCTGCATTCAAGTCACAGAGTTGAACATTGCCTTTCCTAGAGCAGGTTTGAAATGCTGTTTTTGTAGTATATGGAAGTGGACGTTTCGGACGGTTTGAGGCCCATGGTGATAAAGGGAATATCTTCCCCTACAAGCTAGAAAGAAGCATTCTGTGAAACTTGTTTGTGATGTGTGTACTCAACTAACAGAGTTGAACCTTTCTTTTTACAGAGCAGTTTTGAAACACTCTTTTTGTAGAATCTGCGAGGGGATATTCGGATAGATTTCAGGATTTCGTTGGAAACGGGAATATCTTCATATAAAATCTCGACAGAAGCATTCTCAGAAACTTCTTTGTGATATGTGCATTCAAGTCACAGAGTTGAATATTCCCTTTCACAGAGTAGGTTTAAAACACTCTTTTTGTAGTATCTGGAAGTGGACATTTGGAGCGCCTTGACACCTACGGTGAAAAGGGAAATATCTTCCCATAAAAACTAGACAGAAGCAATCTCAGAATCTTCTTTGGGATATATGCACGCAGCTAACAGAGTTGAACCTTTCTATTGACTGAGCAGATTTGAAACAGTCTTTCTGTGGAATCTGCAAGTGGATATTTGGATAGCTTGGAGGATTTCGTTGGAAACGGGATTACGTATAAAAAGTAGACAGCAGCATCCTCAGAAACTTCTTTGTGATGTGTGCATTCAATTCACAGAGTTGAACATTCCCTTTCATACAGCAGTTTTGAAACACTCTTTCTGTAGTATCTGGAAGTGAACATTAGGACAGCTTTCAGGTCTATGGTGAGAAAGGAAATATCTTCAAATAAAAACTAGACAGAAGCATTCTCATAAACTTGTTTGTGATGTGTGAACTCAGCTTACAGAGGTGGATCTTTCTTTTGATAGAGCAGTTCTGAAAAACTCTTTTGTTGAATCTGCAAGTGGACATTTGGATAGATTTGAAGATTTCGTTGGAAACGGGAATATCTTCATATCAAATCTAGACAGAAGCATTCTCGGAAACGTCTTTGTGATGTTTGCATTCAACTCATAGAATTGAACATTCCGTTTCAGAGAGCAGCTTTGAGGCACTCATTTTGTAGTATGTGCAAGTGGATATTTGGAGCGCTCTGAGGCCTTCGGTGAAAAAGCAAATATCTTCCCATAACCACTAGACAGAAACTTTCTCAGAAACTCCTTTATGACGTATGCACTCACCTAACAGAGAAGAACCTTCCTTTTGACAGAGCAGTTTTGATACACTCTTTTTGTAGAATCTGCAAGTGGATATTTGGATAGCTGTGAAGATTTCGTTGGAAACGGGAATATCTTCCTATAAAATCTAGACAGAAGCATTCTCAGAAACTGCTCTGTGATGTCTGCATTCAAGTCACAGAGTTGAACATTCCCTTTCCTAGAGCAGGTTTGAAACGCTCTTCTTGTAGTATATGGAAGTGGACGTTTCGGATGGTTTGAGGCCCATGGTGATAAAGGGAATATCTTCCCCTACAAGCTAGAAAGAAACATTCTCAGAAACTCCTTTATGACGTATGCACTCACCTAACAGAGAAGAACCTTCCTTTTGACAGAGCAGTTTTGATACACTCTTTTTGTAGAATCTGCAAGTGGATATTTGGATAGCTGTGAAGATTTTGTTGGAAACGGGAATATCTTCCTATAAAATCTCGACAGAAGCATTCTCAGAAACTTCTTTGTGATATCTGCCTTTAAGTCACAGAGTTGAATATTCCCTTTCACAGAGTAGGTTTGAAACACTCTTTTTGTAGTATCTGGAAGTGGACATTTGGAGCTCCTTGACACCTACGGTGAAAAGGGAAATATCTTCCCATAAAAACTAGACAGAAGCAATCTCAGAATCTTCTTTGGGATATATGCACGCAGCTATCAGAGTTGAACCTTTCTATTGACAGAGCAGTTTTGAAACAGTCTTTCTGTGGAATCTGCAAGTGGATATTTGGATAGCTTGGAGGATTTCGTTGGAAAAGGGATTATGTATAAAAAGTAGACAGCAGCATCCTCAGAAACTTCTTTGTGATGTGTGCATTGAAGTCACAGAGTTGAACATTCCCTTTCGTACAGCAGTTTTGAAACACTCTTTCTGTAGTACCTGGAAGTGAACATTAGGACAGCTTTCAGGTCTATGGTGAGAAAGGAAATATCTTCAAATAAAAACTAGACAGAAGCATTCTCATAAACTTGTTCGTGATGTGTGAACTCAGCTAACACACGTGGATCTTTCTTTTGATAGAGCAGTTCTGAAAAACACTTTTTGTTGAATCTGCAAGTGGACATTTGGATAGATTTGAAGATTTCGTTGCAAACGGGAATATCTTCATATCAAATCTAGACAGAAGCATTCTCAGAAACGTCTTTGTGATGTTTGCATTCAACTCATAGATTTGAACATTCCGTTTCAGAGAGCAGCTTTGAAGCACTCTTTTTGTAGTATGTGCAAGGGGATATTTGGAGCGCTCTGAGGCCTATGGTGAAAAAGCAAATATCTTCCCATAACCACTAGACAGAAACATTCTCAGAAACTCCTTTATGACGTATGCACTCACCTAACAGAAAAGAACCTTCCTTTTGACAGAGCAGTTTTGATACACTCTTTTTGTAGAATCTGCAAGTGGATATTTGGATAGCTGTGAAGATTTCGTAGGAAACGGGAATATCTTCCTATAAAATCTAGACAGAAGCATTCTCAGAAACTGCTCTGAGATGTCTGCATTCAAGTCACAGAGTTGAACATTGCCTTTCCTAGAGCAGGTTTGAAACGCTCTTTTTGTAGTATATGGAAGTGGACGTTTCGGACGGTTTGAGGCCCATGGTGATAAAGGGAATATCTTCCCCTACAAGCTAGAAATAAGCATTCTGTGAAACTTGTTTGTGATGTGTGTACACAACTAACAGAGTTGAACCTTTCTTTTTACAGAGCAGTTTTGAAACACTCTTTTTGTAGAATCTGCGAGGGGATATTTGGATAGATTTCAGGATTTCGTTGGAAACGGGACTATCTTCATATAAAATCTCGACAGAAGCATTCTCAGGAACTTCTTTGTGATATCTGCACTCAAGTCACAGAGTTGAATATTCCCTTTCACAGAGTAGGTTTGAAACACTCTTTTTGTAGTATCTGGAAGTGGACATTTGTAGCTCCTTGACACCTACGGTGAAAAGGGAAATATCTTCCCATAAAAACTAGACAGAAGCAATCTCAGAATCTTCTTTGGGATATATGCACGCAGCTAACAGAGTTGAACCTTTCTATTGACAGAGCAGTTTTGTAACAGTCTTTCTGTGGAATCTGCAAGTGGATATTTGGATAGCTTGGAGGATTTCGTTGGAAACGGGATTACGTATAAAAAGTAGACAGCAGCATCCTCAAAAACTTCTTTGTGATGTGTGCATTCAAGTCACAGAGTTGAACATTCCCTTTCGTACAGCAGTTTTGAAACACTCTTTCTGTAGTAACTGGAAGTGAACATTAGGACAGCTTTCAGGTCTATGGTGAGAAAGGAAATATCTTCAAATAAAAACTAGACAGAAGCATTCTCATAATCTTGTTTGTGATGTGTGAACTCAGCTAACACACGTGGATCTTTCTTTTGATACAGCAGTTTTGAAAAACACTTTTTGTTGAATCTGCAAGTGGACATTTGGATAGATATGAAGATTTCGTTGGAAACGGGAATATCTTCATATCAAATCTAGACAGAAAGCATTCTCAGAAACGTCTTTGTGATGTTTGCATTCAACCCATAGAGTTGAACATTCCGTTTCAGAGAGCAGCTTTGAGGCACTCTTTTTGTAGTATGTGCAAGTGGATATTTGGTGCGCTGTGAGGCCTACGGTGAAAAAGCAAATATCTTCCCAAAACCACTAGACAGAAACATTCTCAGAAACTCCGTTATCACGTATGCACTCACCTAACAGAGAAGAACCTTCCTTTTGACTGAGCAGTTTTGATACACTCTTTTTGCAGAATCTGCAAGTGGATATTTGGATAGCTGTGAAGATTTCGTTGGAAACGGGAATATCTTCCTATAAAATCTAGACAGAAGCATTCTCAGAAACTGCTCTGTGATGTCTGCATTCAAGTCACAGAGTTGAACATTGCCTTTCATAGAGCAGGTTTGAAACGCTCTTTTTGTACTATATGGAAGTGGATGTTTCGGACGGTTGGAGGCCCATGGTGATAAAGGGAATATCTTCCCCTACAAGCTAGAAAGAAGCATTCTGTGAAACTTGTTTGTGATGTGTGTACTCAACTAACAGAGTTGAACCTTTCTTTTTACAGAGCAGTTTTGAAACACTCTTTTTGTAGAATCTGCGAGGGGATATTTGGATAGATTTCAGGATTTCGTTGGAAACTTGAATATCTTCATATAAAATCTCGACAGAAGCATTCTCAGAAACTTCTTTGTGATATGTGCATTAAAGTCACAGAGTTGAATATTCCCTTTCACAGAGTAGGTTTGAAACACTCTTTTTGTAGTATCTGGAAGTGGACATTTGGAGCGCCTTGACGCCTACGGTGAAAAGGGAAATATCTTCCCATAAAAACTAGACAGAAGCAATCTCAGAATCTTCTTTGGGATATATGCACGCAGCTAACAGAGTTGAACCTTTCTATTGACAGAGCAGTTTTGAAACAGTCTTTCTGTGGAATCTGCAAGTGGATATTTGGATAGCTTCGAGGATTTCGTTGGAAACGGGATTACGCATAAAAAGTAGACAGCAGCATCCTCAGAAACTTATTTGTGAGGTGTGCATTCAAGTCACAGAGTTGAACATTCCCTTTCGTACAGCAGTTTTGAAACACTGTTTCTGTAGTATCTGGAAGTCAACATTAGGACAGCTTTCAGGTCTATGGTGAGAAAGGAAATATCTTCAAATAAAAACTAGACAGAAGCATTCTCATAAACTTGTTTGTGATGTCTGAACTCAGCTAACAGAGGTGGATCTTTCTTTTGATAGAGCAGTTCTGAAAAACACTTTTTGTTGAATCTGCAAGTGGACATTTGGATAGATTTGAAGATTTCGTTGGAAACGGGAAGATCTTCATATCAAATCTAGACAGAAGCGTTCTCAGATACGACTTTGTGATGTTTGCATTCAACTCATAGAGGTGAACACTCCCTTTAAGAGAGCAGCTTTGAAGAACTCTTTTTGTAGTATGTGGAAGTGGACATTTGGAGCGCTATGAGGCCTATGGTGAAAAAGCAAATATCTTCCCATAAACACTAGACAGAAACATTCTCAGAAACTCCTTTATGACGTATGCACTCACCTAACAGAAAAGAACCTTCCTTTTGACAGAGCAGTTTTGATACACTCTTTTTGTAGAATCTGCAAGTGGATATTTGGATAGCTGTGAAGATTTCGTTGGAAACGTGAATATCTTCCTATAAAATCTAGACAGAAGCATTCTCAGAAACTGCTCTGTGATGTCTGCATTCACGTCACAGAGTTGAACATTGCCTTTCATAGAGCAGGTTTGAAACACTCTTTTTGTAGTATATGGAAGTGGACGTTTCGGACGGTTTGAGGCCCATGGTGATAAAGGGAATATCTTCCCCTACAAGCTAGAAAGAAGCATTCTGTGAAACTTGTTTGTGATGTGTGTACTCAACTAACAGAGTTGAACCTTTCTATTTACAGAGCAGTTTTGAAACACTCTTTTTGTAGAATCTGCGAGGGGATATTTGGATAGATTTCAGGATTTCGTTGGAAACGGGAATATCTTCATATAAAATCTCGACAGAAGCATTCTCAGAAACTTCATTGTGATATGTGCATTCAAGTCACAGAGTTGAATATTCCCTTTTACAGAGTAGGTTTGAAACACTCTTTTTGTAGTATCTGGAAGTGGACATTTGGAGCGCTTTGACGCCTACGGTGAAAAGGGAAATATCTTCTCATAAAAACTAGACAGAAGCAATCTCAGAATCTTCTTTGGGATATATGCACGCAGCTAACAGAGTTGAACCTTTCTATTGACAGAGCAGTTTTGAAACAGTCTTTCTGTGGAATCTGCAAGTGGATATTTGGATAGATTGGAGGATTTCTTTGGAAACGGGATTACGTATAAAAAGTAGACAGCAGCATCCTCAGAAACTTCTTTGTGATGTGTGCATTCAAGTCACAGAGTTGAACATTCCCTTTCGTACAGCAGTTTTGAAACACTCTTTCTGTAGTATCTGGAAGTGAACGTTAGGACAGCTTTCAGGTCTATGGTGAGAAAGGAAATATCTTCAAATAAAAACTAGACAGAAGCATTCTCATAAACTTGTTTGTGATGTGTGAACTCAGCTAACAGACGTGGATCTTTCTTTTGATACAGCAGTTTTGAAAAACACTTTTTGTTGAATCTGCAAGTGGACATTTGGATATATTTGAAGATTTCGTTGGAAACGGGAATATCTTCATATCAAATCTAGACAGAAGCATTCTCAGAAACGTCTTTGTCATGTTTGCATTCAACTCATAGAGTTGAACATTCCCTTTCAGAGAGCAGCTTTGAAACACTCTTTTTGTCGTATGTGCAAGTGGATATTTGGAGCGCTCTGAGGCCTACGGTGAAAAAACAAATATCTTCCCATAACCACTAGACAGAAACATTCTCAGAAACTCCTTTATGACGTATGCACTCACCTAACAGAGAAGAACCTTCCTTTTGACAGAGCAGTTTTGATACACTCTTTTTGTAGAATCTGCAAGTGGATATTTGGATAGCTGTGAAGATTTCGTTGGAAACGGGAATATCTTCCTATAAAATGTAGACAGAAGCATTCTCAGAAACTGCTCTGTGATGTCTGCATTCAAGTCACAGAGTTGAACATTGCCTTTCATAGAGCAGGTTTGAAACGCTCTTTTTGTAGCATATGGAAGTGGACGTTTCGGACGGTTTGAGGCCCATGGTGATAAAGGGAATATCTTCCCCTACAAGCTAGAAAGAAGCATTCTGTGAAACTTGTTTGTGATGTGTGTACTCAACTAACAGAGTTGAACCTTTCTTTTTACAGAGCAGTTTTGAAACACTCTTTTTGTAGAATCTGCGAGGGGATATTTGGATAGATTTCAGGATTTCGTTGGAAACGGGCATATCTTCATATAAAATCTCGACAGAAGCATTCTCAGAAACTTCTTTGTGATATGTGCATTCAAGTCACAGAGTTGAATATTCCCTTTGACAGAGTAGGTTTGAAACACTCTTTTTGTAGTATCTGGAAGTGGACATTTGGAGCGCCTTGACACCTACGGTGAAAAGGGAAATATCTTCCCATAAAAACTAGACAGAAGCAATCTCAGAAACTTCTTTGGGATATATGCACGCAGCTAACAGAGTTGAACCTTTCTATTGACAGAGCAGTTTTGAAACAGTCTTTCTGTGGAATCTGCAAGTGGATATTTGGATAGCTTGGAGGATTTCGTTGGAAACGGGATTACGTATAAAAAGTAGACAGCAGCATCCTCAGAAACTTCTTTGTGATGTGTGCATTCAAGTCACAGAGTTGAATATTCCCTTTCACAGAGTAGGTTTGAAACACTCTTTTTGTAGTATCTGGAAGTGGACATTTGGAGCGCCTTGACGCCTACGGTGAAAAGGGAAATATCTTCCCATAAAAACTAGACAGAAGCATTCTCATAAACTTGTTTGTGATGTGTGAACTCAGCTAACAGAGGTGGATCTTTCTTTTGATAGAGCAGTTCTGAAAAACACTTTTTCTTGAATCTGCAAGTGGACATTTGGATAGATTTGAAGATTTCGTTGGAAACGGGAATATCTTCATATCAAATCTAGACAGAAGCATTCTCGGAAACGTCTTTGTCATGTTTGCATTCAACTCATGGAGTTGAACATTCCGTTTCAGAGAGCAGCTTTGAAGCACTCTTTTTGTAGTATGTGCAAGGGGATATTTGGAGCGCTCTGAGGCCTAAGGTGAAAAAGCAAATATCTTCCCATAACCACTAAACAGAAACAATCTCAGAAACTTCTTTATGACGTATGTACTCAACTAGCAGAGAAGAACTTTCCTTTTGACAGAGCATTTTTGATACACTCTTTTTGTAGTATCTGTAAGTGGATATTTGGATAGCTGTGAAGATTTCGTTGGAAACGGGAATATCTTCCTATAAAGTCTGGACAGAAGCATTCTCAGAAACTGCTCTGTGATGTCTGCATTCAACTCACAGAGTTGAACATTGCCTTTCATGGAGCAGGTTTGAAATGCTCTTTTTGTAGTATATGGAAGTGGACGTTTCAGACGGTTTGAGGCCCATGGTGATAAAGGGAATATCTTCCCCTACAAGCTAGAAAGAAGCATTCTGTGAAACTTGTTTGTGATGTGTGTACTGAACTAACAGAGTTGAACCTTTCTTTTTACAGAGCAGTTTTGAAACACTCTTTTTGTAGAATCTGCGAGGGGATATTTGGATAGATTTCAGGATTTCGTTGGAAACGGGAATATCTTCACATAAAATCTCGACAGAGGCATTCTCAGAAGCTTCTTTGTGATATGTGCATTCAAGTCACAGAGTTGAATATTCCCTTTCACAGAGTAGGTTTGAAACACTCTTTTTCTAGTATCTGGAAGTGGACATTTGGAGCGCCTTGACACCTACGGTGAAAAGGGAAATATCTTCTCATAAAAAGTAGACAGAAGCAATCTCAGAATCTTCTTTGGGATATATGCACGCAGCTAACAGAGTTGAACCTTTCTATTGACAGAGCAGTTTTGAAAGAGTCTTTCTGTGGAATCTGCAAGTGGATATTTGGATAGCTTGGAGGATTTCGTTGGAAACGGGATTACGTATAATAAGTAGACAGCAGCATCCTCCGAAACTTCTTTGTGATGTGTGCATTCAAGTCACAGAGTTGAACATTCCCTTTCGTACAGCAGTTTTGAAACACTCTTTCTGTAGTATCTGGAAGTGAACATTAGGACAGCTTTCAGCTCTATGGTGAGAAAGGAAATATCTTCAAATAAAAACTAGAGAGAAGCATTCTCATAAACTTGTTTGTGATGTCTGAACTCAGCTAACAGACGTGGATCTTTCTTTTGATAGAGCAGTTCTGAAAAACACGTTTTGTTGAATCTGCAAGTGGACATTTGGATAGATTTGAAGATTTCGTTGGAAACGGGAATATCTTCATATCAAATCTAGACAGAAGCATTCTCAGAAACGTCTTTGTGATGTTTGCATTCAACTCATAGAGTTGAACATTCCGTTTCAGAGAGCAGCTTTGAAGCACTCTTTTTGTAGCATGTGCAAGTGGATATTTGGAGCGCTCTGAGGCCTACGGTGAAAAAGCAAATATCTTCCCATAACCACTAGACAGAAACATTCTCAGAAACTCCTTTATGACGTGTGCACTCACCTAACAGAGAAGAACCTTCCTTTTTACAGAGCAGTTTTGATACACTCTTTTTGTAGAATCTGCAAGTGGATATTGGGATAGCTGTGAAGATTTCGTTGGAAACGGTAATATCTTCCTATAAAATCTAGACAGAAGCATTCTCAGAAACTGCTCTGTGATGTCTGCATTCAAGTCACAGAGTTGAACATTGCCTTTCATAGAGCAGGTTTGAAACGCTCTTTTTGTAGTATATGGAAGTGGATGTTTCGGACGGTTGGAGGCCCATGGTGATAAAGGGAATATCTTCCCCTCCAAGCTAGAAAGAAGCATTGTGTGAAACTTGTTTGTGATGTGTGTACTCAACTAACAGAGTTGAACCTTTCTTTTTACAGAGCAGTTTTGAAACACTCTTTTTGTAGAATCTGCGAGGGGATATTTGGATAGATTTCAGGATTTCGTTGGAAACGGGAATATCTTCATATAAAATCTCGACAGAAGCATTCTCAGAAACTTCTTTGTGATATGTGCATTCAAGTCACAGAGTTGAATATTCCCTTTCACAGAGTAGGTTTGAAACACTCTTTTTGTAGTATCTGGAAGTGGACATTTGGAGCGCCATGACACCTACAGTGAAAAGGGAAATATCTTCCCATAAAAACTAGACAGAAGTAATCTCAGAATCTTCTTTGGGATATATGCACGCAGCTAACAGAGTTGAACCTTTCTATTGACAGAGCAGTTTTGAAACAGTCTTTCTGTGGAATCTGCAAGTGGATATTTGGATAGCTTGGAGGATTTCGTTGGAAACGGGATTACGTATAAAAAGTAGACAGCAGCATCCTCAGAAACTTCTTTGTGATGTGTGCATTCAAGTCACAGAGTTGAACATTCCCTTTCGTACAGCAGTTTTGAAACACTCTTTCTGTAGTATCTGGAAGTGAACATTAGGACAGCTTTCAGGTCTATGGTGAGAAAGGAAATATCTTCAAATAAAAACTAGACACAAGAATTCTGATAAACTTGTTTGTGAAGTGTGAACTCCGCTAACAGAGTTTGATCTTTCTTTTGATACAGCAGTTTTGAAAAACACTTTGTTGAATCTGCAAGTGGACATTTGGATAAATTTGAAGATTTCGTTGGAAACGGGAATATCTTCATATCAAATGTAGACAGAAACATTCTCAGAAACGTCTTTGTGATGTTTGCATTCAACTCATAGAGTTGAACATTCACTTTCAGAGAGCAGCTTTAAAGCACTCTTTTTGTAGTATGTGCAAGTGGATATTTGGAGCGCTCTGAGGCCTACGGGGAAAAAGCAAATATCTTCCCATAACCACTAGACAGAAACATTCTCAGAAACTCCTTTATGACGTATGTACTCAACTAACAGAGAAGAACCTTCCTTTTGACAGAGCAGTTTTGATACACTCTTTTTGTAGAATCTGCAAGTGGATATTTGGATAGCTGTGAAGATTTCGTTGGAAATGGGAATATCTTCCTATAAAATCTAGACAGAAGCATTCTCAGAAACTGCTCTGTGATGTCTGCATTCAAGTCACAGAGTTGAACATTGCCTTTCATAGAGCAGGTTTGAAACGCTCTTTTTGTAGTATATGGAAGTAGACGTTTCGGACGGTTTGAGGCCCATGGTGATAAAGGGAATATCTGCCCCTACAAGCTAGAAAGAAGCATTCTGTGAAACTTGTTTGTGATGTGTGTACTCAACTAACAGAGTTGAACCTTTCTTTTTACAGAGCAGTTTTGAAACACTCTTTTTGTAGAATCTGCGAGGGGATATTTGGATAGATTTCAGGATTTCGTTGGAAACGCGAATATCTTCATCGAAAATCTCGACAGAAGCATTCTCAGAAACTTCCTTGTGATATGTGCATTCAAGTCACAGAGTTGAATATTCCCTTTCACAGAGTAGGTTTGAAACACTCTTTTTGTAGTATCTGGAAGTGGACATTTGGAGCGCCTTGACGCCTACGGTGAAAAGGAAAATATCTTCCCATAAAAACTAGACAGAAGCAATCTCAGAATCTTCTTTGGGATATATGCACACAGCTAACAGAGTTGAACCTTTCTATTGACAGAGCAGTTTTGAAACAGTCTTTCTGTGGAATCTGCAAGTGGATATTTGGATAGATTGGAGGATTTCGTTGGAAACGGGATTACGTATAAAAAGTAGACAGCAGCATCCTCAGAAACTTCCTTGTGATTTGTGCATTCCAGTCACAGAGTTGAACTTTCCCTTTCGTACAGTAGTTTTGAAACACTCTTTCTGTAGTATCTGGAAGTGAACATTAGGAGAGCTTTCAGGTCTATAGTGAGAAAGGATATATCTTCAAATAAAAATTAGACAGAAGAATACTGATAAACTTGTTTGTGAAGTGTGAACTCAGCTAACACAGGTGGATCTTTCTTTTGATACAGCAGTTTTGAAAAACACTTTGTTGAATCTGCAAGTGGACATTTGTATAGATTTGAAGATTTCGTTGGAAACGGGAATATCTTCATATCAAATCTAGACAGAAGCAGTCTCAGAAACGTCTTTGTGATGTTTGCATTCAACTCATAGAGTTGAACATTCCCTTCCAGAGAGTAGCTTTGAAGCACTCTTTTTGTAGCATGTGCAAGTGGACATTTGGAGCGCCCTGAGGCCTACGGGGAAAAAGCAAATATCTTCCCATAACCACTAGACAGAAACATTCTCAGAAACTCCTTTATGATGTATGCACTCAACTAACAGAAAAGAACCTTCCTTTTGACAGAGCAGTTTTGATACACTCTTTTTGTAGAATCTGCAAGTGGATATTTGGGTAGCTGTGAAGATTTCGTTGGAAACGGGAATATCTTCCTATAAAATCTAGACAGAAGCATTCTCAGAAACCGCTCTGTGATGTCTGCATTCAAGTCACAGAGTTGAACATTGCCTTTCATAGAGCAGGTTTGAAACGCTCTTTTTGTAGTATATGGAAGTGGACGTTTCGGACGGTTTGAGGCCCATGGTGATAAAGGGAATATCTTCCCCTACAAGCTAGAAAGAAGCATTCTGTGAAACTTGTTTGTGATGTGTGTACTCAACTAACAGAGTTGAACCTTTCTTTTTACAGAGCAGTTTTGAAACACTCTTTCTGTAGAATCTGCGAGGGGATATTTGGATACATTTCAGGATTTCGTTGGAAACGGGAATATCTTCATATAAAATCTCGACAGAAGCATTCTCAGAAACTTCATTGTGATATCTGCATTCAAGTCACAGAGCGGAATATTCCCTTTCACAGAGTAGGTTTCAAACACTCTTTTTGTAGTATCTGGAAGTGGACATTTGGAGCGCATTGACACCTACGGTGAAAAGGGAAATATCTTCCCGTAAAAACTAGACAGAAGCAATCTCAGAATCTTCTTTGGGATATATGCACGCAGCTAACAGAGTTGAACCTTTCTATTGACTGAGCAGATTTGAAACAGTCTTTCTGTGGAATCTGCAAGTGGATATTTGGATAGATTGGAGGATTTCGTTGGAAACGGGATTACGTATCAAAAGTAGACAGCAGCATCCTCAGAAACTTCTTTGTGATGTGTGCATTCAAGTCACAGAGTTGAACATTCCCTTTCCTACAGCAGTTTTGAAACACTCTTTCTGTAGTATCTGGAAGTGAACATTAGGACAGCTTTCAGCTCTATGGTGAGAAAGGAAATATCTTCAAATAAAAACTAGACAGAAGCATTCTCAGAAACTTGTTTGTGATGTGTGAACTCAGCTAACAGAGGTGGATCTTTCTTTTGATAGAGCAGTTCTGAAAAACACTTTTTGTTGAATCTGCAAGTGGGCATTTGGATAGATTTGAAGATTTCGTTGGAAACGGGAATATCTTCATATCAAATCTAGACAGAAGCATTCTCAGAAACGTCTTTGTGATGTTTGCATTCAACTTATAGAGTTGAACATTCCGTTTCAGAGAGCAGGTTTGAAGCACTCTTTTTGTAGTATGTGCAAGTGGATATTTGGAGCGATCTGAGGCCTACGGTGAAAAAGCAAATATCTTCCCATAACCACTAGACAGAAACATTCTCAGAAACTTCTTTATGATGTATGTACTCAAGTAGCAGAGAAGAACTTTCCTTTTGACAGAGCACTTTGGATACACACTTTTTGTAGTATCTGCAAGTGGATATGTGGATAGCTGTGAAGATTTCGTTGGAAACGGGAATATCTTCCTATAAAGTCTGGACAGAAGCATTCTCAGAAACTGCTCTGTGATGTCTGGATTCAAGTCACAGAGTTGAACATTGCCTTTCATAGAGCAGGTTTCAAACACTCTTTTTTTAGTATATGGAAGTGGACGATTCGGACGGTTTGAGGACCATGGTGATAAAGGAAATATCTTCCCCTACAAGCTAGAAAGAAGCATTCTGTGAAACTTGTTTGTGATGTGTGTACTCAAGTAACAGAGTTGAACCTTTCTTTTTACAGAGCAGTTTTGAAACACTCTTTTTGTAGAATCTGCGAGGGGATATTTGGATACATTTCAGGATTTCGTTGGAAACGGGAATATCTTCATATAAAATCTCGACAGAAGCATTCTCAGAAACTTCTTTGTGATATGTGCATTCAAGTCACAGAGTTGAATATTCCCTTTCACAGAGTAGGTTTGAAACACTCTTTTTGTAGTATCTGGAAGTGGACATTTGGAGCGCCTTGACACCTACGGTGAAAAGGGAAATAACTTCTCATAAAAAGTAGACAGAAGCAATCTCAGAATCTTCTTTGGGATATATGCACGCAGCTAACAGAGTTGAGCCTTTCTATTGACAGAGCAGTTTTGAAACAGTCTTTCTGTGGAATCTGCAAGTGGATATTTAGATAGCTTGGAGGATTTCATTGGAAACGGGATTACGTATAAAAAGTAGACAGCAGCATCCTCAGAAACTTCTTTGTGATGTGTGCATTCAAGTCACAGAGTTGAACATTCCCTTTCATACAGCAGTTTTGAAACACTGTTTCTGTAGTATCTGGAAGTGAACATTAGGACAGCTTTCAGGTCTATGGTGAGAAAGGAAATATCTTCAAATAAAAACTAGACAGAAGCATTCTCATAAACTTGTTCGTGATGCGTGAACTCAGCTAACACACGTGGATCTTTCTTTTGATAGAGCAGTTCTGAAAAACACTTTTTGTTGAATATGCAAGAGGACATTTGGATAGATTTGAAGATTTCGTTGGAAACGGGAATATCTTCATATCAAATCTAGACAGAAGCATTCTCAGAAACGTCTTTGTGATGTTAGCATTCAACTCATAGAGTTGAACATTCCCTTTCAGAGAGCAGCTTTGAAGCACTCTTTTTGTAGTATGTGCAAGTGGATATATGGAGCCCTCTGAGGCCTATGGTGAAAAAGCAAATATCTTCCCATAACCACTAGACAGAAACATTCTCAGAAACTCCTTTATGACGTATGCACTCACCTAACAGAGAAGAACCTTCCTTTTGACAGAGCAGTTTTGATACACTCTTTTTGTAGAATCTGCAAGTGGATATTTGGATAGCTGTGAAGATTTCGTTGGAAACGGGAAATTCTTCCTATAAAATCTAGACAGAAGCATTCTCAGAAACTGCTCTGTGATGTCTGCATTCAAGTCACAGAGTTGAACATTGCCTTTCCTAGAGCAGGTTTGAAACGCTCTTTTTGTACTATATGGAAGTGGACGTTTCGGACGGTTTGAGGCCCATGGTGATAAAGGGAATATCTTCCCCTACAAGCTAGAAAGAAGCATTCTGTGAAACTTGTTTGTGATGTGTGTACTGAAGTAACAGAGTTGAACCTTTCTTTTTACAGAGCAGTTTTGAAACACTCTTTTTGTAGAATCTGCGAGGGGATATTTGGATAGATTTCAGGATTTCGTTGGAAACGGGAATATCTTCATATAAAATCTCGACAGAAGCATTCTCAGAAACTTCTTTGTGATATGTGCATTCAAGTCACAGAGTTGAATATTCCCTTTCACAGAGTAGGTTTGAAACACTCTTTTTGTAGTATCTGGAAGTGGACATTTGTAGCGCCTTGACGCCTACGGTGAAAAGGGAAATATCTCCCCATAAAAACTAGACAGAAGCAATCTCAGAATCTTCTTTGGGATATATGCACGCAGCTAACAGAGTTGAACCTTTCTATTGACAGAGCAGTTTTGAAACAGTCTTTCTGTGGAATCTGGAAGTGGATATTTGGATAGCTTGGAGGATTTCGTTGGAAACGGGATTATGTATAAAAAGTAGACAGCAGCATCCTCAGAAACTTCTTTGTGATGTGTGCATTCAAGTCACAGAGTTGAACATTCCCTTTCGTACAGCAGTTTTGAAACACTCTTTCTGTAGTATCTGGAAGTGAACATTAGGACAGCTTTCGGGTCTATGGTGAGAAAGGCAATATCTTCAAATAAAAACTAGACAGAAGCATTCTCATAAACTTGTTTGTGATGTGTGAACTCAGCTAACAGAGGTGGATCTTTCTTTTGATAGAGCAGTTCTGAAAAACACTTTTTGTTGAATCTGCAAGTGGACATTTGGATAGATTTGAAGATTTCGTTGGAAACGGGAATATCTTCATATAAAATCTAGACAGAAGCATTCTCAGAAACGTCTTTGTCCTGTTTGCATTCAACTCATAGAGTTGAACATTCCCTTTCAGAGAGCAGCTTTGAAACACTCTTTTTGTAGTATGTGCAAGTGGATATTTGGAGCGCTCTGAGGCCTACGGTGAAAAAGAAAATATCTTCCCATAACCACTAGACAGAAACATTCTCAGAAACTCCTTTATGACGTATGTACTCAACTAACAGAGAAGAACCTTCCTTTAGACAGAGCAGTTTTGATACACTCTTTTTGTAGAATCTGCAAGTGGATATTTGGATAGCTGTGAAGATTTCGTTGGATACGGGAATATCTTCCTATAAAATCTAGACAGAAGCATTCTCAGAAACTGCTCTGTGATGTCTGCATTCAAGTCACAGAGTTGAACATTGCCTTTCATAGAGCAGGTTTGAAACGCTCTTTTTGTAGTATATGGAAGTGGACTTTTCGGAAGGTTTGAGGCCCATGGTGATAAAGGGAATATCTTCCCCTACAAGCTAGAAAGAAGCATTCTGTGAAACTTGTTTGTGATGTGTGTACTCAACTAACAGAGTTGAACCTTTCTTTTTACAGAGCAGTTTTGAAACACTCTTTTTGTAGAATCTGCGAGGGGATATTTTGATAGATTTCAGGGTTTCGTTGGAAACGGGAATATCTTCATATAAAATCTCGACAGAAGCATTCTCAGAAACTTCTTTGTGATATCTGCATTCCAGGCACAGAGTTGAATATTCCCTTTCACAGAGTAGGTTTGAAACACTCTTTTTGCAGTATCTGGAAGTGGACATTTGGAGCGCCTTGACGCCTACGGTGAAAAGGGAAATATCTTCCCATCAAAACTAGACAGAAGCAATCTCAGAATCTTCTTTGGGATATATGCGCGCAGCTAGCAGAGTTGATCCTTTCTATTGGCAGAGTAGTTTTGAAACAGTCTTTCTGTGGAATCTGCAAGTGGATATTTGGATAGCTTGGAGGATTTCGTTGGAAACGGGATTACGTATAAAAATTAGACAGCAGCATCCTCAGAAACTTCTTTGTGATGTGTGCATTCAAGTCACAGAGTTGAACATTCCCTTTCGTACAGCAGTTTTGAAACACTCTTTCTGTAGTATCTGGAAGTGAACATTAGGACAGCTTTCAGGTCTATGGTGAGAAAGGTAATATCTTCAAATAAAAACTAGACAGAAGCATTCTCATAAACTTGTTTGTGATGTGTGAACTCAGCTAACAGATGTGGATCTTTCTTTTGATAGAGCAGTTCGGAAAAACACTTTTTGTTGAATCTGCAAGTGGACATTTGGATAGATTTGAAGATTTCGTTGGAAACGGGAATATCTTCATATCAAATCTAGACAGAAGCATTCCCAGATACGTCTTTGTGATGTTTGCATTCAACTCATAGATTTGAACATTCCGTTTCAGGGAGCAGCTTTGAAACACTCTTTTTGTAGTATGTGCAAAAGGATATTTGGAGCACTCTGAGGCGTAAGGTGAAAAAGCAAATATCTTCCCATAACCACTAGACAGAAACATTCTCAGAAACTCCTTTATGACGTATGCACTCACCTAACAGAGAAGAACCTTCCTTTTGACAGAGCAGTTTTGATACACTGTTTTTGTAGAATCTGCAAGTGGATATTTGGATAGCTGTGAAGATTTCGTTGGAAACGGGAATATCTTCCTATAAAATCTAGACAGAAGCATTCTCAGAAACTGCTCTGTGATGGCTGCATTCAAGTCACAGAGTTGAACATTGCCTTTCATAGAGCAGGTTTGAAATGCTCTTTTTGTAGTATATGGAAGTGGACTTTTCGGACGGTTTGAGGCCCATGGTGATAAAGGGAATATCTTCCCCTACAAGCTAGAAAGAAGCATTCTGTGAAACTTGTTTGTGATGTGTTTACTCAACTAACAGAGTTGAACCTTTCTTTTTACAGAGCAGTTTTGAAACACTCTTTTTGTAGAATCTGCGAGGGGATATTTGGATAGATTTCAGGATTTCGTTGGAAAGGGGAATATCTTCATATAAAATCTCGACAGAAGCATTCTCAGAAACTTCTTTGTGATATGTGCATTCAAGTCACAGAGTTGAATATTCGCTTTCACAGAGTATGTTTGAAACACTCTTTTTGTAGTATCTGGAAGTGGACATTTGGAGCGCCTTGACGCCTACGGTGAAAAGGGAAATATCTTCCCATAAAAACTAGACAGAAGCAATCTCAGAATCTTCTTTGGGATATATGTACGCAGCTAATAGAGTTGAACCTTTCTATTGACAGAGCAGTTTTGAAACAGTCTTTCTGTGGAATCTGCAAGTGGATATTTGGATAGCTTGGGGGATTTCGTTGGAAACGGGATTACGTATAAAAAGTAGACAGCAGCATCCTCAGAAACATCCTTGTGATGTGTGCATTCAAGTCACAGAGTTGAACATTCCCTTTCGTACAGCAGTTTTGAAACACTCTTTCTGTAGTATCTGGAAGTGAACTTTAGGACAGATTTCAGGTCTATAGTGAGAAAGGATATATCTTCAAATAAAAACTAGACAGAAGCATTCTCATAAATTGTTTGTGATGTGTGAACTCAGCTAACAGAGGTGGATCTTTCTTTTGATAGAGCAGTTCTGAAAAACACTTTTTGTTGAATCTGCAAGTGGACATTTGGATAGATTTGAAGATTTCGTTGGAAACGGGAATATCTTCATATCAAATCTAGACAGAAGCATTCTCAGAAACGTCTTTGTGATGTTTGCATTCAACTCATAGAGTTGAACATTCCGTTTCAGAGACCAGATTTGAAGCACTCTTTTTGTAGTATGTGCAAGTGGATATTTGGAGCGCTCTGAGGCCTACGGTGAAAAAGCAAATATCTTCCCATAACCACTAGACAGAAACATTCTCAGAAACTCCTTTATGACGTATGCATTCACCTAACAGAGAAGAACCTTCCTTTTGACAGAGCAGTTTTGATACACTCTTTTTGTAGAATCTGCAAGTGGATATTTGGATAGCTGTGAAGATTTCGTTGGAAACGGGAATATCTTCCTATAAAATCTAGAGAGAAGCATTCTCAGAAACTGCTCTGTGATGTCTGCATTCAAGTCACAGAGTTGAACATTGCCTTTCATAGAGCAGGTTTGAAACGCTCTTTTTGTAGTATATGGAAGTGGATGTTTCGGACGGTTGGAGGCCCATGGTAATAAAGGGAATATCTTCCCCTACAAGCTAGAAAGAAGCATTCTGTGAAACTTGTTTGTGATGTGTGTACTCAACTAACAGAGTTGAACCTCTCTTTTTACAGAGCAGTTTTGAAACACTCTTTTTGTAGAATCTGCGAGGGGATATTTGATACATTTCAGCATTTCGTTGGAAACGGGAATATCTTCATATAAAATCTCGACAGAAGCATTCTCAGAAACTTCTTTGTAATATGTGCATTCAAGTCACAGAGTTGAATATTCCCTTTCACAGAGTAGGTTTGAAACACTCTTTTTGTAGTATCTGGAAGTGGACATTTGGAGCGCCTTGACACCTACGGTGAAAAGGGAAATATCTTCCCATAAAAACTAGACAGAAGCAATCTCAGAATCTTCTTTGGGATATATGCATGCAGCTAACAGAGTTGAACCTTTCTATTGACAGAGCAGTTTTGAAACAGTCTTTCTGTGGAATCTGCAAGTGGATATTTGGATAGCTTGGAGGATTTCCGTTGGAAACGGGATTACGTATAAAAAGTAGACAGCAGCATCCTCAGAAACTACTTTGTGATGTGTGCATTCAAGTCACAGAGTTGAACATTCCCTTTCGTACAGCAGTTTTGAAACACTCTTTCTGTAGTATCTGGAAGTGAACATTAGGACAGCTTTCAGGTCTATGGTGAGAAAGGCAATATCTTCAAATAAAAACTAGACAGAAGCATTCTCATAAACTTGTTTGCGAAGTGTGAACTCAGGTAACAGAGGTGGATCTTTCTTTTGATACAGCAGTTTTGAGAAACACTTTGTTGAATCTGCAAGTGGACATTTGGATAGATTTGAAGATTTCGTTGGAAACGGGAATATCTTCATATCAAATCTAGACAGAAGCATTCCCAGAAACGTCTTTGTGATGTTTGCATTCAACTCATAGATTTGAACATTCCGTTTCAGAGAGCAGCTTTGAAGCACTCTTTTTGTAGTATGTGCAAGGGGATATTTGGAGCGCTCTGAGGCCTACGGTGAAAAAGCAAATATCTTCCCATAACCACTAGACAGAAACATTCTCAGAAACTCCTTTATGACGGTATGCACTCACCTAACAGAGAAGAACCTTCCTTTTGACAGAGCAGTTTTGATACACTCTTTTTGTAGAATCTGCAAGTGGATATTGGGATAGCTGTGAAGATATCGTTGGAAACGGGAATATCTTCCTATAAAATCTAGACAGAAGCATTCTCAGAAACTGCTCTGTGATGTCTGTATTCAAGTCACAGAGTTGAACATTGCCTTTCATAGAGCAGGTTTGAAATGCTCTTTTTGTAGTATATGGAAGTGGACGTTTCAGACGGTTTGAGGCCCATGGTGATAAAGGGAATATCTTCCCCTACAAGCTAGAAAGAAGCATTCTGTGAAACTTCTTTGTGATGTGTGTACTCAACTAACAGAGTTGAACCTTTCTTTTTACAGAGCAGTTTTGAAACACTCTTTTTGTAGAATCTGCGAGGGGATATTTGGATAGATTTCAGGATTTCGTTGGAAAGGGGAATATCTTCATATAAAATCTCGACAGAAGCATTCTCAGCAAACTTCTTTGTGATATCTGCATTCAAGTCACAGGAGTTGAATATTCCCTTTCACAGAGTAGGTTTGAAACACTCTTTTTGTAGTATCTGGAAGTGGACATTTGGAGCGCCTTGACGCCTACAGTGAAAAGGGAAATATCTTCCCATAAAAACTAGACAGAAGCAATCTCAGAATCTTCTTTGGGATATATGCACGCAGCTAACGGAGTTGAACCTTTCTATTGACAGAGCAGTTTTGAAACAGTCTTTCTGTGGAATCTGCAAGTGGATATTTGGATAGCTTGGAGGATTTTGTTGGAAACGGGATTACGTATAAAAAGTAGACAGCAGCATCCTCAGAAACTTCTTTGTGATGTGTGCATTCAAGTCACAGAGTTGAACATTCCCTTTCGTAGAGCAGTTTTGAAACACTCTTTCTGTAGTATCTGGAAGTGAACATTAGGACAGCTTTCAGGTCTATGGTGAGAAAGGAAATATCTTCAAATAAAAACTAGACAGAAGCATTCTCATAAACTTGTTTTTGATGTGTGAACTCAGCTAACAGAGGTGGATATTTCTTTTGATAGAGCAGTTCTGAAAAACACTTTTTGTTGAATCTGCAAGTGGACATTTGGATAGATTTGAAGATTTCGTTGGAAACGGGAATATCTTCCTATCAAATCTAGACAGAAGCATTCTCAGAAACGTCTTTGTGATGTTTGAATTCAACTCATAGAGTTGAACATTCCGTTTCAGAGAGCAGCTTTGAGGCACTCTTTTTGTAGTATGTGCAAGTGGATATTTGGAGCGCTCTGAGGCCTACGGTGAAAAAGCAAATATCTTCCCATAACCACTAGACAGAAACATTCTCAGAAACTCCTTTATGACGTATGTACTCAACTAACAGAGAAGAACCTTCCTTTTGACAGAGCAGTTTTGATACACACTTTTTGTAGAATCTGCAAGTGGATATTTGGATAGCTGTGAAGATTTCGTTGGAAACGGGAATATCTTCCTATAAAACCTAGACAGAAGCATTCTCAGAAACTGCTCTGTGATGTCTGCATTCAAGTCACAGAGTTGAACATTGCCTTTCCTAGAGCAGGTTTGAAACGCTCTTTTTGTAGTATATGGAAGTGGACGTTTCGGACGGTTTGAGGCCCATGGTGATAAAGGGAATACCTTCCCCTACAAGCTAGAAAGAAGCATTCTGTGAAACTTGTTTGTGATGTGTGTACTCAACTAACAGAGTTGAACCGTTCTTTTTACAGAGCAGTTTTGAAACACTCTTTTTGTAGAATCTGCGAGGCGATATTTGGATAGATTTCAGGATTTCGTTGGAAACGGGAATATCTTCATATAAAATCTCGACAGAAGCATTCTCAGAATCTTCTTTGTGATATCTGCATTCAAGTCACAGAGTTGAATATTCCCTTTCACAGAGTAGGTTTGAAACACTCCTTTTGTAGTATCTGGAAGTGGACATTTGGAGCGCCTTGACACCTACGGTGAAAAGGGAAATATCTTCCCATAAAAACTAGACAGAAGCAATCTCAGAATCTTCTTTGGGATATATGTACGCAGCTAATAGAGTTGAACCTTTCTATTGACAGAGCAGTTTTGAAACAGTCTTTCTGTGGAATCTGCAGGTGGATATTTGGATAGCTTGGAGGATTTCGTTGGAAACGGGATTACGTATAAAAAGTAGACAGCAGCATCCTCAGAAACTTCTTTGTGATGTGTGCATTCAAGTCACAGAGTTGAACATTCCCTTTCGTACAGCAGTTTTGAAACACTCTTTCTGTAGTATCTGGAAGTGAATATTAGGACAGCTTTCAGCTCTATGGTGAGAAAGGAAATATCTTTAAATAAAAACTAGACAGAAGCATTCTCATAAACTTGTTTGTGATGTGTGAACTCAGCTAACAGAGGTGGATCTTTCCTTTTGATAGAGCAGTTCTGAAAAACACTTTTTGTTGAATCTGCAAGTGGACATTTGGATAGATTTGAAGATTTCGTTGGAAACGGGAATATCTTCATATCAAATCTAGACAGAAGCATTCTCAGAAACGTCTTTGTGATGTTTGCATTCAACTCAGAGTTGAACATTCCGTTTCAGAGAGCAGGTTTGAAGCACTCTTTTTGTAGTATGTGCAAGTGGATATTTGGAGGGCTCTGAGGCCTACGGTGAAAAAGCAAATATCTTCCCATAACCACTAGACAGAAACATTCTCAGAAATTCCTTTATGACGTATGCACTCACCTAAAAGAGAAGAACCTTCCTTTTGACAGAGCAGTTTTGATACACTCTTTTTGTAGAATCTGCAAGTGGATATTTGGATAGCTGTGAAGATTTCGTTGGAAACGGGAATATCTTCCTGTAAAATCTAGACAGAAGCATTCTCAGAAACTGCTCTGTGATGTCTGCATTCAAGTCACAGAGTTGAACATTGTCTTTCATAGAGCAGGTTTGAAGCGTTCTTTTTGTATTATATGGAAGTGGACGTTTCGGACGGTTTGAGGCCCATGGTGATAAAGGGAATATCTTCCCCTACAAGCTAGAAAGAAGCATTCTGTGAAACTTGTTTGTGATGTGTGTACTCAACTAACAGAGTTGAACCTTTCTTTTTACAGAGCACTTTTGAAACACTCTTTTTGTAGAATCTGCGAGGGGATATTTGGATAGATTTCAGGATTTCGTTGGAAACGTGAATATATTCATATAAAATCCCGACAGAAGCATTCTCAGAAACTTCTTTGTGATATGTGCATTCAAGTCACAGAGTTGAATATTCCCTTTCACAGAGTAGGTTTGAAACACTCTTTTTGTAGTATCTGGAAGTGGACATTTGGAGCGCCTTGACACCTACCGTGAAAAGGGAAATATCTTCTCATAAAAAGTAGACAGAAGCAATCTCAGAATCCTCTTTGAGATATATGGACGCAGCTAACAGAGTTGAACCTTTCTATTGACAGAGCAGTTTTGAAACAGTCTTTCTGTGGTATCTGCAAGTGGATATTTGGATAGCTTGGAGGATTTCTTTGGAAACGGGATTACGTATAAAAAGTAGACAGCAGCATCCTCAGAAACTTCTTTGTGATGTGTGCATTCAAGTCACAGAGTTGAACATTCCCTTTCGTACAGCAGTTTTGAAACACTCTTTCTGTAGTATCTGGAAGTGAACATTAGGACAGCTTTCAGCTCTATGGTGAGAAAGGAAATATCTACAAATAAAAACTAGACAGAAGCATTCTCATAAACTTTTTTGTGATGTGTGAACTCAGCTAACAGAGGTGGATCTTTCTTTTGATAGAGCAGTTCTGAAAAACACGTTTTGTTGAATCTGCAAGTGGACATTTGGATAGATTTGAAGATGTCATTGGAAACGGGAATATCTTCATATCAAATCTAGACAGAAGCATTCTCAGAAACGTCTTTGTCATGTTTGCATTCAACTCATAGAGTTGAACATTCCGTTTCAGAGAGCAGCTTTGAAGCACTCTTTTTGTAGTATGTGCAAGCGGATATTTGCAGCGCTCTGAGGCCTACGGTGAAAAAGCAAATATCTTCCCATAACCACTAGACAGAAACATTCTCAGAAACTCCTTTATGACGTATGTACTCAACTAACAGAGAAGAACCTTCCTTTTGACAGAGCAGTTTTGATACACTCTTTTTGTAGAATCTGCCAGTGGATATTTGGATAGCTGTGAAGATTTCGTTGGAAACGGGAATATCTTCCTATAAAATCTAGACAGAAGCATTCTCAGAAACTGCTATGTGATGTCTGCATTCAAGTCACAGAGTTGAACATTGCCTTTCCTAGAGCAGGTTTGAAACGCTCTTTTTGTAGTATATGGAAGTGGACGTTTCGGACGGTTTGAGGCCCATGGTGATAAAGGGAATATCTTCCCCTACAAGCTAGAAAGAAACATTCTGTGAAACTTGTTTGTGATGTGTGTACTCAACTAACAGAGTTGAACCTTTCTTTTTACAGAGCAGTTTTGAAACACTCTTTTTGTAGAATCTGCGAGGGGATATTTGGATAGATTTCAGGATTTCGTTGGAAACGGGAATATCTTCATATAAAATCTCGACAGAAGCATTCTCAGAAACTTCTTTGTGATATGTGCATTCAAGTCACAGAGTTGAATATTCCCTTTCACAGAGTAGGTTTGAAACACTCTTTTTGTAGTATTTGGAAGTGGACATTTGGAGCGCCTTGACGCCTACGGTGAAAAGGGAAATATCTTCCCATAAAAACTAGACAGAAGCAATCTCAGAATCTTCTTTGGGATATATGCACGCAGCTAACAGAGTTGAACCTTCCTATTGACAGAGCAGTTTTGACACAGTCTTTCTGTGGAATCTGCAAGTGGATATTTGGATAGCTTGGAGGATTTCGTTGGAAACGGGATTACGTATAAAAAGTAGACAGCAGCATCCTCAGAAACTTCTTTGTGATGTGTGCATTCAAGTCACAGAGTTGAACATTCCCTTTCGTACAGCAGTTTTGAAGCACTCTTTCTGTAGTATCTGGAAGTGAACATTAGGACAGCTTTCAGGTCTATGGTGAGAAAGGAAATATCTTCAAATAAAAACTAGACAGAAGCATTCTCATAAACTTGTTTGTGATGTGTGAACTCAGCTAACAGAGGTGGATCTTTCTTTTGATACAGCAGTTTTGAAAAACACTTTTCGTTGAATCTGCAAGTGGACATTTGGATAGATTTGAAGATTTCATTGGAAACGGGAATATCTTCATATCAAATCTAGACAGAAGCATTCTCAGAAACGTCTTTGTGATGTTTGCATTCAACTCATAGAGTTGAACATTCCGTTTCAGAGAGCAGCTTTGAAGCACTCTTTTTGTAGTATGTGCAAGTGGATATTTGGAGCGCTCTGAGGCCTACGGGGAAAAAGCAAATATCTTCCCATAACCACTACACAGAAACATTCTCAGAAACTCCTTTATGACGTATGCACTCATCTAACAGAGAAGAACCTTCCTTTTGACAGAGCAGTTTTGATACACTCTTTTTGTAGAATCTGCAAGTGGATATTTGGATAGCTGTGAAGATTTCGTTGGAAACGGGAATATCCTCCTATAATATCTAGACAGAAGCATTCTCAGAAACTACTCTGTGATGTCTGCATTCAAGTCACAGAGTTGAACATTGCCTTTCCTAGAGCAGGTTTGAAACGCTCTTTTTGTAGTATATGGAAGTGGACGTTTCGGACGCTTTGAGGCCCATGGTGATAAAGGGAATATCTTTCCCTACAAGCTAGAAAGAAGCATTCTGTGAAACTTGTTTGTGGTGTGTGTACTCATCTTACAGAGTTGAACCTTTCTTTTTACAGAGCAGTTTTGAAACACTCTTTTTGTAGAATCTGCGAGGGGTTATTTGGATAGATTTCAGGATTTCGTTGGAAACGGGAATATCTTCCTATAAAATCTCGACAGAAGCATTTTCAGAAACTTCTTTGTGATATCTGCATTCAAGTCACAGAGTTCAATATTCCCTTCCATAGAGAAGGTTTGAAACACTCTTTTTGTAGTATCTGGAAGTGGACATTTGGAGCGCCTTGACACCTACGGTGAAAAGGGAAATATCTTCCCATAAAAACTAGACAGAAGCAATCTCAGAATCTTCTTTGGGATATATGCATGCAGCTAACAGAGTTGAACCTTTCTATTGACAGAGCAGTTTTGAAACAGTCTTTCTGTGGAATCTGCAAGTGGATATTTGGATAGCTTGGAGGATTTCGTTGGAAATGGGATTACGTATAAAAAGTAGACAGCAGTATCCTCAGAAACTTCTTTGTGATGTGTGCATTCAAGTCACAGAGTTGAACATTCCCTTTCGTACAGCAGTTTTGAAACACTCTTTCTGTAGTATCTGGAAGTGAACATTAGGACAGCTTTCAGGTCTATGGTGAGAAAGGAAATATCTTCAAATAAAAACTAGACAGAAGCATTCTCATAAACTTGTTTGTGATGTGTGAACTCAGCTAACAGAGGTGGATCTTTCTTTTGATAGAGCAGTTCTGAAAAACACTTTTTGTTGAATCTGCAAGTGGACATTTGGATAGATTTGAAGATTTCGTTGGAAACGGGAATATCTTCATATCAAACCTAGACAGAAGCATTCTCAGAAACGTCTTTGTGATGTTTGCATTCAACTCATAGAGTTGAACATTCCCTTCCAGAGAGTAGCTTTGAAGCACTCTTTTTGTAGCATGTGCAAGTGGACATTTGGAGTGCCCTGAGGCCTACGGGGAAAAAGCAAATATCTTCCCATAACCACTAGACAGAAACATTCTCAGAAACTCCTTTATGACGTATGCACTCACCTAACAGAAAAGAACCTTCCTTTTGACAGAGCAGTTTTGATACACTCTTTTTATAGAATCTGCAAGTGGATATTTGGATAGCTGTGAAGATTTCGTTGGAAACGGGAATATCTTCCTATAAAATCTAGACAGAAGCATTCTCAGAAACTGCTCTGTGATGTCTGCATTCAAGTCACAGAGTTGAACGTTGTCTTTCATAGAGCAGGTTTGAAACGCTCTTTTTGTAGTATATGGAAGTGGACTTATCGGACGGTTTGAGGCCCATGGTGATAAAGGGAATATCTTCCCCTACAAGCTAGAAAGAAGCATTCTGTGAAACTTGTTTGTGATGTGTGTACTCAACTAACAGAGTTGAACCTTTCTTTTTAAAGAGCAGTTTTGAAACACTCTTTTTGTAGAATCTGCGAGGGGATATTTGGATAGATTTCAGGATTTCGTTGGAAACGGGAATATCTTCATATAAAATCTCGACAGAAGCATTCTCAGAAACTTCTTTGTGATATCTACATTCAAGTCACAGAGTTGAATATTCCCTTTCACAGAGTAGGTTTGAAACACTCTTTTTGTAGTATCTGGAATTGGACATTTGGAGCACCTTGACACCTACGGTGAAAAGGGAAATATCTTCCCATAAAAACTAGACAGAAGCAATCTCAGAATCTTCTTTGGGATATATGCACACAGCTAACAGAGTTGAACTTTTCTATTGACATAGCAGTTTTGAAACAGTCTTTCTGTGGAACCTGCAAGTGGATATTTGGATAGCTTGGAGGATTTCGTTGGAAACGGGATTACGTATAAAAAGTAGACAGCAGCATCCTCAGAAACTTCTTTGTGATGTGTGCATTCAAGTCACAGAGTTGAACATTCCCTTTCATACAGCAGTTTTGAAACACTCTTTCTGTAGTATCTGAAAGTGAATATTAGGACAGCTTTCAGGTCTATATTGAGAAAGGAAATATCTTCAAATAAAAACTAGACAGAAGCATTCTCATAAACTTGTTTGTGATGTGTGAACTCAGCTAACAGAGGCGGATCTTTCTTTTGATAGAGCAGTTCGGAAAAACACATTTTGTTGAATCTGCAAGTGGACATTTGGATAGATTTGAAGATTTCGTTGGAAACGGGAATATCTTCATATCAAATCTAGACAGAAGCATTCTCAGAAACGTCTTTGTGATGTTTGCATTCAACTCATAGAGTTGAACATTCCGTTTCAGAGAGCAGCTTTGAAGCACTCTTTTTGTAGTATGTGCAAGTGGATATTTGGAGCGTTCTGAGGCCTACGGGGAAGAAGCAAATATCTTCCCATAACCACTAGACAAAAGCATTCTCAGAAAATCCTTTATGACGTATGCACTCACCTAACAGAAAAGAACCTTCCTTTTGACAGAGCAGTTTTGATACACTCTTTTTGTAGAATCTGCAAGTGGATATTTGGATAGCTGTGAAGATTTCGTTGGAAACGGGAATATCTTCCTATAAAATCTATACAGAAGCATTCTCAGAAACTGCTCTGTGATGTCTGCATTCAAGTCACAGAGTTGAACATTGCCTTTCATAGAGCAGGTTTGAAACGCTCTTTTTGGAGTATATGGAAGTGGATGTTTCGGACGGTTGGAGGCCCATGGTGATAAAGGGAATATCTTCCCCTACAAGCTAGAAAGAAACATTCTCAGAAACTTCTTTATGACGTATGTACTCAACTAGCAGAGAAGAACTTTCCTTTTGACAGAGCATTTTTGATACACTCTTTTTGTACTATCTGCAAGTGGATATTTGTATAGCTGTGAAGATTTCGTTGGAAACGGGAATATCTTCCTATAAAATCTAGACAGAAGCATTCTCAGAAACTTCTTTGTGATATGTGCATTCAAGTCACAGAGTTGAATATTCCCTTTCACAGAGTAGGTTTGAAACACTCTTTTTGTAGTATCTGGAAGTGGACATTTGGAGCGCCTTGACGTCTACGGTGAAAAGGGAAATATCTTCCCATAAAAACTAGACAGAAGCAATCTCAGAATCTTCTTTGGGATACATGCACGCAGCTAACAGAGTTGAACCTTTCTATTGACAGAGCAGTTTTGAAACAGTCTTTCTGTGGAATCTGCAAGTGGATATTTGGATAGCTTGGAGGATTTCGTTGGAAACGGGATTACGTATAAAAAGTAGACAGCAGCATCCTCAGAATCTTCTTTGTGATGTGTGCATTCAAGTCACAGAGTTGAACATTCCCTTTCGTACAGCAGTTTTGAAACACTCTTTCTGTAGTATCTGGAAGTGAACATTAGGACAGCTTTCAGGTCTATGGTGAGAAAGGAAATATCTTCAAATATAAACTAGACAGAAGCATTCTCATAAACTTGTTTGTGATGTGTGAACTCAGCTAACAGAGGTGGATCTTTCTTTTGATAGAGCAGTTCTGAAAAACATTTTTTGTTGAATCTGCAAGTGGACATTTGGATAGATTTGAAGATTTCGTTGGAAACGGGAATATCTTCATATCAAATCTAGACAGAAGCATTCTCAGAAACGTCTTTGTGATGTTTGCATTCAACTCATAGAGTTGAACATTCCCTTTCAGAGAGCAGCTTTGAAGCACTCTTTTTGTAGTATGTGCAAGTGGACATTTGGAGCGCTTTGAGGCCTACGGGGAAAAAGCAAATATCTCCCATAACCACTAGACAGAAACATTCTCAGAAACTCCTTTATGACGTATGCACTCACCTAACACAGAAGAACCTTCCTTTTGACAGAGCAGTTTTGATACACTCTTTTTGTAGAATCTGCAAGTGGATATTTGGATAGCTGTGAAGATTTCGTTGGAAACGGGAATATCTTCCTATAAAATCTAGACAGAAGAATTCTCAGAAACTGCTCTGTGATGTCTGCATTCAAGTCACAGAGTTGAACATTGCCTTTCATAGAGCAGGTTTGAAACCCTCTTTTTGTAGTATATGGAAGTGGACGTTTCGGGCGGTTTGAGGCCCATGGTGATAAAGGGAATATCTTCCCCTACAAGCTAGAAAGAAGCATTCTGTGAAACTTGTTTGTGATGTGTGTACTCAACTAACAGAGTTGAACCTTCCTTTTTACAGAGCAGTTTTGAAACACTCTTTTTGTAGAATCTGCGAGGGGATATTTGGATAGATTTCAGCATTTCGTTGGAAACGGGAATATCTTCATATAAAATCTCGACAGAAGCATTCTCAGAAACTTCATTGTGATATCTGCATTCAAGTCACAGAGTTGAATATTCCCTTTCAGAGAGTAGGTTTGAAACACTCTTTTTGTAATATCTGGAAGTGGACATTTGGAGCGCCTTGACACCTACGGTGAAAAGGGAAATATCTTCCCATAAAAACTAGACAGAAGCAATCTCAGAATCTTCTTTGGGATATATGCACACAGCTAACAGAGTTGAACTTTTCTATTGACATAGCAGTTTTGAAACAGTCTTTCTGTGGAATCTGCAAGTGGATATTTGGATAGCTTGGAGGATTTCGTTGGAAACAGGATTACGTATAAAAAGTAGACAGCAGCATTCTCAGAAACTTCTTTGTGATGTGTGCATTCAAGTCAAAGAGTTGAACATTCCCTTTCGTACAGCAGGTTTGAAACACTCTTTCTCTAGTACCTGGAAGTGAACGGGACGAGAGCTTTCAGGTCTATTGTGAGAAAGGAAATATCTTCAAATAAAAACTAGACAGAAGCATTCTCATAAACTTGTTTTGATGTGTGAACTCAACTAACAGAGGTGGATCTTTCTTTTTATACAGCCCTTTTGAAAAACACTTTTTGTTGAATCTGCAAGTGGACACTTGAATAGATTTGAAGATTTCATTGGAAACGGAAATATCTTCATATCAAATCTAGACAGAAGCATTCTCAGAAAACGTCTTTGTGATGTTTGCATTCAACTCACAGAGTTGAACATTCCCTTTCAGAGCGCAGCTTTGAAGCACTCTTTTTGTAGTATGTGCAAGGGGATATTTGGAGCGCTCTGAGGCCTACGGTGAAAAAGCAAATATCTTCCCATAACCACTAGACAGAAACATTCTCAGAAACTCCTTTATGACGTATGTACTCAACTAACAGAGAAGAACCCTCCTTTTGACAGAGCAGTTTTGATACACTCTTTTTGTAGAATCTGCAAGTGGATATTTGGATAGCTGTGAAGATTTCGTTGGAAACGGGAATATCTTCCTATAAAATCTAGACAGAAGCATTCTCAGAAACTGCTCTGTGATGTCTGCATTCAAGTCACAGAGTTGAACATTGCCTTTGATAGAGCAGGTTTGAAACGCTCTTTTTGTAGTATATGGAAGTGGACGTTTCGGACGGTTTGAGGCCCATGATGATAAAGGGAATATCTTCCCCTACAAGCTAGAAAGAAGCATTCTGTGAAACTTGTTTGTGAGGTGTGTACTCAACTAACAGAGTTGAACCTTTCTTTTTACAGAGCAGTTTTGAAACACTCTTTTTGTAGAATCTGCGAGGGGATATTTGGATAGATTTCAGGATGTCGTTGGAAACGGGAATATCTTCATATAAAATCTCGACAGAAGCATTCTCAGAAACTTCTTTGTGATATCTGCCTTCAAGTCACAGGAGTTGAATATTCCCTTTCACAGAGTAGGTTTGAAACACTCTTTTTGTAGTATCTGGAAGTGGACATTTGGAGCGCCTTGACGCCTACGGTGAAAAGGGAAATATCTTCCCATAAAAACTAGACAGAAGGAATCTCAGAATCTTCTTTGGGATATATGCACGCAGCTAACAGAGTTGAACCTTTCTATTGACAGAGCAGTTTAGAAACAGTCTTTCTGTGGAATCTGCAAGTGGATATTTGGATAGCTTGGAGGATTTCGTTGGAAACGGGATTACGTATAAAAAGTAGACAGCAGCATCCTCAGAAACTTCTTTGTGATGTGTGCATTAAAGTCACAGAGTTGAACATTCCCTTTCGTACAGCAGTTTTGAAACACTCTTTCTGTAGTATCTGGAAGTGAACATTAGGACAGATTTCAGCTCTATGGTGAGAAAGGAAATATCTTCAAATAAAAACTACACAGAAGCATTCTCATAAAGTTGTTTGTGATGTGTGAACTCAGCTAACAGATGTGGATCTTTCTTTTGATAGAGCAGTTCTGAAAAACACTTTTTGTTGAATCTGCAAGTGGACATTTGGATAGATTTGAAGATTTCGTTGGAAACGGGAATATCTTCATATCAAATCTAGACAGAAGCATTCTCAGAAACGTCTTTGTGATGTTTGCATTCAACTCATAGAGTTGAACATTCCCTTTCAGAGAGCAGCTTTGAAGCACTCTTTTTGTAGTATGTGCAAGGGGATATTTGGAGCACTCTGAGGCCTAAGGTGAAAAAGCAAATATCTTCCCATAACCACTAGACAGAAACATTCTCAGAAACTCCTTTATGACGTATGCACTCACCTAACAGAGAAGAACCTTCCTTTTGACAGAGCAGTTTTGATACACTCTTTTTGTAGAATCTGCAAGTGGATATTTGGATAGCTGTGAAGATTTCGTTGGAAACGGGAATATCTTCCTATACAATCTAGACAGAAGCATTCTCAGAAACTGCTCTGTGATGTCTGCATTCAAGTCACAGAGTTGAACATTGCCTTTCCTAGAACAGGTTTGAAACGCTCTTTTTGTAGTATATGGAAGTGGACGTTTCGGACGGTTTGAGGCCCATGGTGATAAAGGGAATATCTTCCCCTACAAGCTAGAAAGAAGCATTCTGTGAAACTTGTTTGTGATATGTGCACTCAACTAACAGAGTTGAACCTTTCTTTTTACAGAGCAGTTTTGAAACACTCTTTTTGTAGAATCTGCGAGGGGATATTTGGATAGATTTCAGGATTTCGTTGGAAACGGGAATATCTTCATATAAAATCTCGACAGAAGCATTCTCAGAAAACTTCCTTGTGATATGTGCATTCAAGTCACAGAGTTGAATATTCCCTTTCACAGAGTAGGTTTGAAACACTCTTTTTGTAGTATCTGGAAGTGGACATTTGGAGCGCCTTGACGCCCACGGTGAAAAGGGAAATATCTTCCCATAAAAACTAGACAGAAGCAATCTCAGAATCTTCTTTGGGATATATGCACGCAGCTAACAGAATTGAACCTTTCTATTGACAGAGCAGTTTTGAAACAGTCTTTCTGTGGAATCTGCAAGTGGATATTTGGATAGCTTGGAGGATTTCGTTGGAAACGGGATTAAGTATAAAAAGTAGACAGCAGCATCCTCAGAAACTTCTTTGTGATGTGTGCATTCAAGTCACAGAAGTTGAACATTCCCTTTCGTACAGCAGTTTTGAAACACTCTTTCTGTAGTAACTGGAAGTGAACATTAGGACAGCTTTCAGGTCTATGGTGAGAAAGGAAATATCTTCAAATAAAAACTAGACAGAAGCATTCTCATAAACTTGTTTGTGATGTGTGAACTCAGCTAACAGAGGTGGATCTTTCTTTTGATAGAGCAGTTCTGAAAAACACTTTTTGTTGAATCTGCAAGTGGACATTTGGATAGATTTGAAGATTTCGTTGGAAACGGGAATATCTTCATATCAAATCTAGAGAGAAGCATTCTCAGAAACGTCTTTGTGATGTTTGCATTCAACTCATACAGTTGAACATTCCGTTTCAGAGAGCAGCTTTGAAGCACTCTTTTTGTAGTATGTGCAAGGGGATATTTGGAGCGCTGTGAGGCCTAAGGTGAAAAAGCAAATATCTTCCCCTAACCACTAGACAGAAACATTCTCAGAAACTCCTGTATGACGTATGCACTCACCTAACAGAGAAGAACCTTCCTTTTGACAGAGCAGTTTTGATACACTCTTTTTGTAGAATCTGCAAGTGGATATTTGGATAGCTGTGAAGCTTTCGTTGGAAACGGGAATATCTTCCTATAAAATCTAGACAGAAGCATTCTCAGAAACTGCTCTGTGATGTCTCCATTCAAGTCACAGAGTTGAACATTGCCTTTCATAGAGCAGGTTGGAAACGCTCTTTTTGTAGTATATGGAAGTGGATGTTTCGGACGGTTTGAGGCCCATGGTGATAAAGGGAATATCTTCCCCTACAAGCTAGAAAGAAGCATTCTGTGAAACTTGTTTGTGATGTGTGTACTCAACTAACAGAGATGAACCTTTCTTTTTACAGAGCAGTTTTGAAACACTCTTTTTGTAGAATCTGCGAGGGGATATTTGGATACATTTCAGCATTTCGTTGGAAACGGGAATATCTTCATATAAAATCTCGACAGAAGCATTCTCATAAACTTCTTTGTGATATCTGCATTCAAGTCACAGAGTTGAATATTCCCTTTCACAGAGTAGGTTTGAAACACTCTTTTTGTAGTATCTGGAAGTGGACATTTGGAGCGCCTTGACGCCTACGGTGAAAAGGGAAATATCTTCCCATAAAAACTAGACAGAAGCAATCTCAGAATCTTCTTTGGGATATATGCACGCAGCTAACAGAGTTGAACCTTTCTATTGACAGAGCAGTTTTGAAACAGTCTTTCTGTGGAATCTGCAAGTGGATATTTGGATAGCTTGGAGGATTTCGTTGGAAACGGCATTACGTATAAAAAGTAGACAGCAGCATCCTCAGAAACTTCTTTGTGATGTGTGCATTCAAGTCACACAGTTGAACATTCCCTTTCGTACAGCAGTTTTGAAACACTCTTTCTGTAGTATCTGGAAGTGAACATTAGGACAGCTTTCAGGTCTATGGTGAGAAAGGAAATATCTTCAAATAAAAACTAGACAGAAGCATTCTCATAAACTTGTTTGTGATGTGTGAACTGAGCTAACAGACGTGGATCTTTCTTTTGATACAGCAGTTTTGAAAAACACTTTTTGTTGAATCTGCAAGTAGACATTTGGATAGATTTGAAGATTTCGTTGGAAACGGGAATATCTTCATATCAAATCTAGACAGAAGCATTCTCGGAAACGTCTTTGTGATGTTTGCATTCAACTCATAGAGTTGAACATTCACTTTCAGAGAGCAGCTTTGAAGCACTCTTTTTGTAGTATGTGCAAGTGGATATTTGGATCGCTCTGAGGCCTAAGGTGAAAAAGCAAATATCTTCCCATAACCACTAGACAGAAACATTCTCAGAAACTCCTTTCTGACGTATGCACTCACCCAACAGAGAAGAACCTTCCTTTTGACAGAGCAGTTTTGATACACTCTTTTTGTAGAATCTGCAAGTGGATATTTGGATAGCTGTGAAGATTTCGTTGGAAACGGGAATATCTTCCTATAAAATCTAGACAGAAGCATTCTCAGAAACTGCTCTGTGATGTCTGCATTCAAGTCACAGAGTTGAACATTGCCTTTCATAGAGCAGGTTTGAAACGCTCTTTTTGTAGTATATGGAAGTGGATGTTTCGGACGGTTGGAGGCCCATGGTGATAAAGGGAATATATTCCCCTACAAGCTAGAAAGAAGCATTCTGTGAAACTTGTTTGTGATGTGTGTACTCAACTAACAGAGTTGAACCTTTCTTTTTACAGAGCAGTTTTGAAACACTCTTTTTGTAGAATCTGCGAGGAGATATTTGGAAAGATTTCAGGATTTTGTTGGAAACGGGAATATCTTCATATAAAATCGCGACAGAAGCATTCTCAGAAACTTCTTTGTGATATGTGCATTCAATCACAGAGTTGAATATTCCCTTTCACAGAGTAGGTTTGAAACACTCTTTTTGTAGTATCTGGAAGTGGACATTTGGAGCGCCTTGACACCTACGGTGAAAAGGGAAATATCTTCCCATAAAAACTAGACAGAAGCAATCTCAGAATCTTCTTTGGGATATATGCACGCAGCTAACAGAGTTGAACCTTTCTATTGACTGAGCAGATTTGAAACAGTCTTTCTGTGGAATCTGCAAGTGGATATTTGGATAGATTGGAGGATTTCGTTGGAAACGGGATTACGTATAAAAAGTAGACAGCAGCATCCTCAGAAACTTCTTTGTGATGTGTGCATTCAAGTCACAGAGTTGAACATTACCTTTCGTACAGCAGTTTTGAAACACTCTTTCTGTAGTATCTGGAAGTGAACATTAGGACAGCTTTCAGGTCTATGGTGAGAAAGGAAATATCTTCAAATAAAAACTAGACAGAAGCATTCTCATAAACTTGTTCGTGATGTGTGAACTCAGCTAAGAGCCGTGGATCTTTCTTTTGATAGAGCAGTTTTGAAAAACACTTTTTGTTGAATCTGCAAGTGGACATTTGGATAGATTTGAAGATTTCTTTGGAAACGGGAATATCTTCATATCAAATCTAGACAGAAGCATTCTCAGAAACGTCTTTGTGATGTTTGCATTCAACTCATAGAGTTGAACATTCCCTTTCAGAGAGCAGCTTTGAAGCACTCTTTTTGTAGTATGTGCAAGGGGATATATGGAGCCGCTCTGAGGCCTAAGGTGAAAAAGCAAATATCTTCCCATAACCACTAGACAGAAAACATTCTCAGAAACTCCTTTATGACGTATGTACTCAACTAACAGAGAAGAACCTTCCTTTTGACAG
Source organism: Homo sapiens (assembly GCF_000001405.40). NCBI lineage: Eukaryota > Metazoa > Chordata > Mammalia > Primates > Hominidae > Homo > Homo sapiens. Next base: position 16,684,924 of record NC_000013.11, read on the forward strand.
AGCACTTTTGATACACTCTTTTTGTAGAATCTGCAAGTGCATATTTGGATAGCTGTGAAGATTTCGTTGGAAACGGGAATATCTTCCTATAAAGTCTAGACAGAAGCATTCTCAGAAACTGCTCTGTGATGTCTGCATTCAAGTCAAAGAGTTGAACATTGCCTTTCATAGAGCAGGTTTGAAACGCTCTTTTTGTAGTATATGGAAGTGGACGTTTCGGACGGTTTGAGGCCCATGGTGATAAAGGGAATATCTTCCCCTACAAGCTAGAAAGAAGCATTCTGTGAAACTTGTTTGTGATGTGTGTACTGAAGTAACAGAGTTGAACCTTTCTTTTTACAGAGCAGTTTTGAAACACTCTTTTTGTAGAATCTGCGAGGGGATATTTGGATAGATTTCAGGATTTCGTTGGAAACGGGAATATCTTCATAGAAAATTCTCGACAGAAAGCATTCTCAGAAACTTCTTTGTGATATGTGCATTCAAGTCACAGAGTTGAATATTCCCTTTCACAGAGTAGGTTTGAAACACTCTTTTTGTAGTATCTGGAAGTGGACATTTGGAGCGCCTTGACACCTACGGTGAAAAGGGAAATAACTTCTCATAAAAAGTAGACAGAAGCAATCTCAGAATCTTCTTTGGGATATATGCACGCAGCTCACAGAGTTGAACCTTTCTATTGACAGAGCAGTTTAGAAACAGTCCTTCTGTGGAATCTGCAAGTGGATATTTGGATAGCTTGGAGGATCTCTTTGGAAACGGGATTACGTATAAAAAGTAGACAGCAGCATCCTCAGAAACTTCTTTGTGATGTGTGCATTCAAGTCACAGAGTTGAACATTCCCTTTCGTACAGCAGTTTTGAAACACTCTTTCTGTAGTATCTGGAAGTGAACAATAGGACAGCTTTCAGGTCTATGGTGAGAAAGGAAATATCTTCAAATAAAAACTAGACAGAAGCATTCTCATAAACTTGTTTGTGATGTGTGAACTCAGCTAACGGACGTGGATCTTTCTTTTGATACAGCAGTTTTGAAAAACACTTTTTGTTGAATCTGCAAGTGGACATTTGGATAGATATGAAGATTCCGTTGGAAACGGGAATATCTTCATATCAAATCTAGACAGAAGCATTCCCAGAAACGTCTTTGTGATGTTTGCATTCAACTCATAGAGTTGAACATTCCCTTTCAGAGAGCAGCTTTGAAGCACTCTTTTTGTAGTATGTGCAAGGGGATATTTGGAGCGCTCTGAGGCCTAAGGTGAAAAAGCAAATATCTTCCCATAACCACTAGACAGAAACATTCTCAGAAACTCCTTTATGACGTATGCACTCACCTAACAGAAAAGAACCTTCCTTTTGACAGAGCAGTTTTGATACACTCTTTTTGTAGAATCTGCAAGTGGATATTTGGATAGCTGTGAAGATTTCGTTGGAAACGGGAATATCTTCCTATAAAATATAGACAGAAGCATTCTCAGAAATTGCTCTGTGATGTCTGCATTCAAGTCACAGAGTTGAACATTGCCTTTCCTAGAGCAGGTTTGAAACGCTCTTTTTGTAGTATATGGAAGTGGACGTTTCGGACGGTTTGAGGCCCATGGTGATAAAGGGAATATCTTCCCCTACAAGCTAGAAAGAAGCATTCTGTGAAACTTGTTTGTGATGTGTGTACTCAACTAACAGAGTTGAACCTTTCTTTTTACAGAGCAGTTTTGAAACACTCTTTTTGTAGAATCTGAGAGGGGATATTTGGATAGATTTCAGGATTTCGTTGGAAATGGGAATATCTTCATATAAAATCTCGACAGAAGCATTCTCAGAAAGCTTCTTTGTGATATGTGCATTCAAGTCACAGAGTTGAATATTCCCTTTCACAGAGTAGGTTTGAAACACTCTTTTTGTAGTATCTGGAAGTGGACATTTGGAGCGCCTTGACGCCTACGGTGAAAAGGGAAATATCTTCTCATAAAAAGTAGACAGAAGCAATCTCAGAATCTTCTTTGGGATATATGCACGCAGCTAACAGAGTTGAACCTTTCTATTGACAGAGCAGTTTTGAAACAGTCTTTCTGTGGAATCTGCAAGTGGATATTTGTATAGATTGGAGGATTTCGTTGGAAACGGGATTACGTATAAAAAGTAGACAGCAGCATCCTCCGAAACTTCTTTGTGATGTGTGCATTCAAGTCACAGAGTTGAACATTCCCTTTGGTACAGCAGTTTTGAAACACTCTTTCTGTAGTATCTGGAAGTGAACATTAGGACAGCTTTCAGCTCTATGGTGAGAAAGGAAATATCTTCAAATAAAAACTAGACAGAAGCATTTTCATAAACTTGTTTGTGATGTGTGAACTCAGCTAAGAGAGGTGGATCTTTCTTTTGATAGAGCAGTTCTGAAAAACACTTTTTGTTGAATCTGCAAGTGGACATTTGGATAGATTTGAAGATTTCGTTGGAAACGGGAATATCTTCATATCAAATCTAGACAGAAGCATTCTCAGAAACGTCTTTGTGATGTTTGCATTCAACTCATAGAGTTGAACATTCCGTTTCAGAGAGCAGCTTTGAAGTACTCTTTTTGTAGTATGTGCAAGTGGATATTTGGAGCGCTCTGAGGCCTACGGGGAAAAAGCAAATATCTTCCCATAACCACTACACTGAAACATTCTCAGAAACTCCTTTATGACGTGTGCACTCACCTAACGGAGAAGAACCTTCCTTTTGACAGAGCAGTTTTGATACACTCTTTTTGTAGAATCTGCAAGTGGATATTTGGATAGCTGTGAAGATTTCGTTGGAAACGGGAATATCTTCCTATAAAATCTAGACAGAAGCATTCTCAGAAACTGCTCTGTGATGTCTGCATTCAAGTCACAGAGTTGAACATTGCCTTTCATAGAGCAGGTTTGAAATGCTTTTTTGTAGTATATGGAAGAGAATGTTTCGGACGGTTGGAGGCCCATGGTGATAAAGGGAATATCTTCCCCTACAAGCTAGAAAGAAGCATTCTGTGAAAGTTGTTTTTGATGTGTGTACTCAACTAACAGAGTTGAACCTTTCTTTTTACAGAGCAGTTTTGAAACACTCTTTTTGTAGAATCTGCGAGAGGATATTTGGATAGATTTCAGGATTTCGTTGGAAACGGGAATATCTTCATATAAAATCTCGACAGAAAGCATTCTCAGAAACTTCTTTGTGATATCTGCCTTCAAGTCACAGTAGTTGAATATTCCCTTTCACAGAGTAGGTTTGAAACACTCTTTTTGTAGTATCTGGAAGTGGACATTTGGAGCGCCTTGACGCCTACGGTGAAAAGGGAAATATCTTCCCATAAAAACTAGACAGAAGCAATCTCAGCATCTTCTTTGGGATATATGCACGCAGCTAACAGAGTTGAACCTTTCTATTGACAGAGCAGTTTTGAAACAGTCTTTCTGTGGAATCTGCAAGTGGATATTTGGATAGCTTGGAGGATTTCGTTGGAAACGGGATTACGTATAAAAAGTAGACAGCAGCATCCTCAGAAACTTCTTTGTGATGTGTGCATTCAAGTCACAGAGTTGAACATTCCCTTTCGTACAGCAGTTTTGAAACACTCTTTCTGTAGTACATGGAAGTGAACATTAGGACAGCTTTCAGGTCTATGGTGAGAAAGGAAATATCTTCAAATAAAAACTAGACAGAAGCATTCTCATAAACCTCTTTGTGATGTGTGAACTCAGCTAACAGAGGTGGATCTTTCTTTTGATAGAGCAGTTCTGAAAAACACTTTTTGTTGAATCTGCCAGTGGACATTTGGATAGATTTGAAGATTTCGTTGGAAACGGGAATATCTTCATATCAAATCTAGACAGAAGCATTCCCAGAAACGTCTTTGTGATGTTTGCATTCAACTCATAGAGTTGAACATTCCGTTTCAGAGAGCAGCTTTGAAGCACTCTTTTTGTAGTATGTGCAAAAGGATATTTGGAGCACTCTGAGGCCTAAGGTGAAAAAGCAAATATCTTCCCATAACCACTAGACAGAAACATTCTCAGAAACTCCTTTATGACGTATGCACTCACCTAACAGAGAAGAACCTTCCTTTTGCCAGAGCAGTTTGGATACACTCTTTTTGTAGAATCTGCAAGTGGATATTTGGATAGCTGTGAAGATTTCGTTGGAAACGGGAATATCATCCTATAAAATCTAGACAGAAGCATTCTCAGAAACAGCTCTGTGATGTCTGCATTCAAGTCACAGAGTTGAACATTGCCTTTCATAGAGCAGGTTTGAACCGCTCTTTTTGTAGTATATGGAAGTGGACGTTTCGGACGGTTTGAGACCCATGGTGATAAAGGGAATATATTCCCCTACAAGCTAGAAAGAAGCATTCTGTGAAACTTGTTGTGATGTGTGTACTCAACTAACAGAGTTGAACCTTTCTTTTTACAGAGCAGTTTTGAAACACTCTTTTTGTAGAATCTGCGAGGGGATATTTGGATAGATTTCAGGATTTCGTTGGAAACGGGAATATCTTCATATAAAATACTCGACAGAAGCATTCTCAGAAACTTCCTTGTGATATGTGCATTCAAGTCACAGAGTTGAATATTCCCTTTCACAGAGTAGGTTTGAAACACTCTTTTTGTAGTATCTGGAAGTGGACATTTGGAGCGCCTTGATGCCCACGGTGAAAAGGGAAATATCTTCCCATAAAAACTAGACAGAAGCAATCTCAGAATCTTCTTTGGGATATATGCACGCAGCTAACAGAGTTAAACCTTTCTATTGACAGAGCAGTTTTGAAACAGTCTTTCTGTGGAATCTGCAAGTGGATATTTGGATAGCTTGGAGGATTTCGTTGGAAACGGGATTACGTATAAAAAGTAGACAGCAGCATCCTCAGGAAACTTCTTTGTGATGTGTTCATTCAAGTCACAGAGTTGAACATTCCCTTTCGTACAGCAGTTTTGAAACACTCTTTCTGTAGTATCTGGAAGTGAACATTAGGACAGCTTTCAGGTCTATGGTGAGAAAGGCAATATCTTCAAATAAAAACTAGACAGAAACATTTTCATAAACTTGTTTGTGATGTGTGAACTCAGCTAACAGAGGTGGATCTTTCTTTTGATAGAGCAGTTCTGAAAAACACTTTTTGTTGAATCTGCAAGTGGACATTTGGATAGATTTGAAGATTTCGTTGGAAACGGGAATATCTTCATATCAAATCTAGACAGAAGCATTCTCAGAAACGTCTTTGTGATGTTTGCATTCAACTCATAGAGTTGAACATTCCGTTTCAAAGAGCAGCTTTGAGGCACTCTTTTTGTAGTATGTGCAAGTGGATATTTGGAGCGCTCTGAGGCCTACGGTGAAAAAGCAAATATCTTCCCATAACCACTAGACAGAAAACATTCTCAGAAACTCCTTTATGACGTATGCACTCACCTAACAGAGAAGAACCTTCCTTTTGACAGAGCAGTTTTGATACACTCTTTTTGTAGAATCTGCAAGTGGATATTTGGATAGCTGTGAAGATTTCGTTGGAAACGGGAATATCTTCCTATAAAATCTAGACAGAAGCATTCTCAGAAACTGCCTCTGTGATGTCTGCATTCAAGTCACAGAGTTGAACATTGCCTTTCATAGAGCAGGTTTGAAACGCTCTTTTTGTAGTATATGGAAGTGGACTTTTCGGACGGTTTGAGGCCCATGGTGATAAAGGGAATATCTTCCCCTACAAGCTAGAAAGAAGCATTCTGTGAAACTTGTTTGTGATGTGTGTACTCAACTAACAGAGTTGAACCTTTCTTTTCACAGAGCAGTTTTGAAACACTCTTTTTGTATAATCTGCGAGGGGAAATTTGGATAGATTTCAGGATTTCGTTGGAAACGGGAATATCTTCATACAAAATCTCGACAGAAGCATTCTCAGAAACTTCCTTGTGATATGTGCATTCAAGTCACAGAGTTGAATATTCCCTTTCACAGAGTAGGTTTGAAACACTCTTTTTGTAGTATCTGGAAGTAGACATTTGGAGCGCCTTGACACCTACGGTGAAAAGGGAAATATCTTCCCATAAAAACTAGACAGAAGCAATCTCAGAATCTTCTTTGGGATATATGCACGCAGCTAACAGAGTTGAACCTTTCTATTGACAGAGCAGTTTTGAAACAGTCTTTCTGTGGAATCTGCAAGTGGATATTGGGATAGCTTGGAGGATTTCGTTGGAAACGGGATTACGCATAAAAAGTAGACAGCAGCATCCTCAGAAACTTCTTTGTGATGTGTGCATTCAAGTCACAGAGTTGAACATTCCCTTTCGTACAGCAGTTTTGAAACACTCTTTCTGTAGTATCTGGAAGTGAACATTAGGACAGCTTTCAGGTCTATGGTGAGAAAGAAAATATCTTCAAATAAAAACTAGACAGAAGCATTCTCATAAACTTGTTTGTGATGTGTGAACTCAGCTAACAGAGGTGGATCTTTCTTTTGATAGAGCAGTTCTGAAAAACACTTTTTGTTGAATCTGCAAGTGGACATTTGGATAAATTTGAAGATTTCGTTGGAAACGGGAATATCTTCATATCAAATCTAGACAGAAGCATTCTCAGAAACGTCTTTGCGATGTTTGCATTCAACTCATAGAGTTGAACATTCCCTTTCAGAGAGCAGCTTTGAGGCACTCTTTTTGTAGTATGTGCAAGTGGATATTTGGAGCGCTCTGTGGCCTACGGTGAAAAAGCAAATGTCTTCCCATAACCACTAGACAGAAACATTCTCAGAAACTCCTTTATGACGTATGCACTCACCTAACAGAGAAGAACCTTCCTTTTGACAGAGCAGTTTTGATACACTCTTTTTGTAGAATCTGCAAGTGGATATTTTGATACCTGTGAAGATTTCGTTGGAAACGGGAATATCTTCGTATAAAATCTAGACAGAAGCATTCTCAGAAACTGCTCTGTGATGTCTGCATTCAAGTCACAGAGTTGAACATTGCCTTTCATAGAGCAGGTTTGAAACGCTCTTTTTGTAGTATATGGAAGTGGACTTTTCGGACGGTTTGAGGCCCATGGTGATAAAGGGAATATCTTCCCCTACAAGCTAGAAAGAAAGCATTCTGTGAAACTTGTTTGTGATGTGTGTACTCAACTAACAGAGTTGAACCTTTCTTTTTACAGAGCAGTTTTGAAACACTCTTTTTGTAGAATCTGCGAGGGGATATTTGGATACATTTCAGCATTTCGTTGGAAACGGGAATATCTTCATATAAAATCTCGACAGGAAGCATTCTCAGAAACTTCCTTGTGATATGTGCATTCAAGTCACAGAGTTGAATATTCCCTTTCACAGAGTAGGTTTGAAACACTCTTTTTGTAGTATCTGGAAGTGGACATTTGGAGCGCCTTGACGCCTACGGTGAAAAGGGAAATATCTTCCCATAAAAACAAGACAGAAGCAATCTCAGAATTTTCTTTGAGATATATGCACACAGCTAACAGAGTTGAACCTTTCTATTGACAGAGCAGTTTTGAAACAGTCTTTCTGTGGAATCTGCAAGTGGATATTTGGATAGCATGGAGGATTTCGTTGGAAACGGGATTACGTATAAAAAGTAGACAGCAGCATCCTCAGAAACTTCTTTGTGATGTGTGCATTCAAGTCACAGAGTTGAACATTCCCTTTCATACAGCAGTTTTGAAACACTCTTTCTGTAGTATCTGGAAGTGAACATTAGGAGAGCTTTCAGGTCTATGGTGAGAAAGGAAATATCTTCAAATAAAAACTAGACAGAAGCATTCTCATAAACTTGTTTGTGATGTGTGAACTCAGCTAACAGAGGTGGATCTTTCTTTTGATAGAGCAGTTCTGAAAAACTCTTTTGTTGAATCTGCAAGTGGACATTTGGATAGATTTGAAGATTTCGTTGGAAACGGGAATATCTTCATATCAAATCTAGACAGAAGCATTCTCAGAAACGTCTTTGTGATGGTTGCATTCAACTCATAGAGTTGAACATTCCGTTTCAGAGAGCAGCTTTGAATCACTCTTTTTGTAGTATGTTCAAGTGGATATTTGGAGCGCTCTGAGGCCTACGGTGAAAAAGCAAATATCTTCCCATAACCACTAGACAGAAACATTCTCAGAAACTCCTTTATGACGTATGTACTCAACTAACAGAGAAGAACATTCTTTTTCACAGAGCAGTTTTGATACACTCTTTTTGTAGAATCTGCAAGTGCATATTTGGATAGCTGTGAAGATTTCGTTGGAAACGGGAATATCTTCCTATAAAATCTAGACAGAAGCATTCTCAGAAACTGCTCTGTGATGTGTGCATTCAAGTCACAGAGTTGAACATTGCCTTTCATAGAGCAGGTTTGAAATGCTCTTTTTGTAGTATATGGAAGTGGACGTTTCAGACGGTTTGAGGCCCATGGTGATAAAGGGAATATCTTCCCCTACAAGCTAGAAAGAAGCATTCTGTGAAACTTGTTTTTGATGTGTGTACTCAACTAACAGAGTTGAACCTTTCTTTTTACAGAGCAGTTTTGAAACACTCTTTTTGTAGAATCTGCGAGGGGATATTTGGAGAGATTTCAGGATTTCGTTGGAAACGGGAATATCTTCATATAAAATCTCGACAGAAGCATTCTCAGAAACTTCTTTGTGATATCTGCATTCAAGTCACAGAGTTGAATATTCCCTTTCACAGAGTAGGTTTGAAACACTCTTTTTGCAGTATCTGGAAGTGGACATTTGGAGCGCCTTGACGCCTACGGTGAAAAGGGAAATATCTTCCCATAAAAACTAGATAGAAGTAATCTCAGAATCTTCTTTGGGATATATGCACGCAGCTAACAGAGTTGAACCTTTCTATTGACAGAGCAGTTTTGAAACAGTCTTTCTGTGGAATCTGCAATTGGATATTTGGATAGCTTGGAGGATTTCGTTGGAAACGGGATTACGTATAAAAAGTAGACAGCAGCATCCTCAGAAACTTCTTTGTGATGTGTGCATTCAAGTCACAGAGTTGAACATTCCCTTTCGTACAGCAGTTTTGAAACACTCTTTCTGTAGTATCTGGAAGTGAACATTAGGACAGCTTTCAGGTCTATGGTGAGAAAGGAAATACCTTCAAATAAAAACTAGACAGAAGCATTCTCATAAATTTGTTTGTGATGTGTGAACTCAGCTAACAGAGGTGGATCTTTCGATAGAGCAGTTCTGAAAAACACTTTTTGTTGAATCTGCAAGTGGACATTTGGATAGATTTGAAGATTTCGTTGGAAACGGGAATATCTTCATATCAAATCTAGACAGAAGCATTCTCAGAAACGTCTTTGTGATGTTTGCATTCAACTCATAGAGTTGAACATTCCCTTCCAGTGAGTAGCTTTGAAGCACTCTTTTTGTAGCATGTGCAAGTGGACATTTGGAGCGCCCTGAGGCCTACGGGGAAAAAGCAAATATCTTCCCATAACCACTAGACAGAAACATTCTCAGAAACTCCTTTATGACGTATGCACTCACCTAACAGAGAAGAACCTTCCTTTTGACAGAGCAGTTTTGATACACTCTTTTTGTAGAATCTGCAGGTGGATATTTGGATACCTGTGAAGATTTCGTTGGAAACGGGAATATCTTCCTATAAAATCTAGACAGAAGCATTCTCAGAAACTGCTCTGTGATGTCTGCATTCAAGTCACAGAGCTGAACATTGCCTTTCATAGAGCAGGTTTGAAACGCTCTTTTTGTAGTATATGGAAGTAGACGTTTCGGACAGTTTGAGGCCCATGGTGATAAAGGAATATCTTCCCCTACAAGCTAGAAAGAAGCATTCTGTGAAACTTGTTTGTGAGGTGTGTACTCAACTAACAGAGTTGAACCTTTCTTTTTACAGAGCAGTTTTGAAACACTCTTTTTGTAGAATCTGCGAGGGGATATTTGGATAGATTTCAGGATTTCGTTGGAAACGGGAATATCTTCATATAAAATCTCGACAGAAGCATTCTCAGAAACTTCTTTGTGATATGTGCATTCAAGTCACAGAGTTGAATATTCCCTTTCACAGAATAGGTTTGAAACACTCTTTTTGTAGTATCTGGAAGTGGACATTTGGAGCGCCTTGACGCCTACGGTGAAAAGGGAAATATCTTCCCATAAAAACTAGACAGAAGCAATCTCAGAATCTTCTTTGGGATATATGGACGCAGCTAACAGAGTTGAACCTTTCTATTGACAGAGCAGTTTTGAAACAGTCTTTCTGTGGAATCTGCAAGTGGATATTTGGATAACTTGGAGGATTTCGTTGGAAACGGGATTACGTATAAAAAGTAGACAGCAGCATCCTCAGAAACTTCTTTGTGATGTGTGCATTCAAGTCACAGAGTTGAACATTCCCTTTCGTACAGCAGTTTTGAAACACTCTTTCTGTAGTATCTGGAAGTGAACATTAGGACACCTTTCAGGTCTATGGTGAGAAAGGAAATATCTTCAAATAAAAACTAGACAGAAGCATTCTCATAAACTTGTTTGTGATGTGTGAACTCAGCTAACAGAGGCGGATCTTTCTTTTGTTACAGCAGTTTTGAAAAACACTTTTTGTTGAATCTGCAAGTGGACATTTGGATAGATTTGAAGATTTCGTTGGAAACGGGAATATCTTCATATCAAATCTAGACAGAAGCATTCTCAGAAACGTCTTTGCGATGTTTGCATTCAACTCATAGAGTTGAACATTCCCTTTGAGAGAGCAGCTTTTAAGCACTCTTTTTGTAGCATGTGCAAGAGAAAATTTGGAGCGCCCTGAGGCCTACGGTGAAAAAGCAAATATCTTCCCATAACCACTAGACAGAAACATTCTCAGAAACTCCTGTATGACGTATGTACTCAACTAACAGAGAAGAACCTTCCTTTTGACAGAGCAGTTTTGATACACTCTTTTTGTAGAATCTGCAAGTGGATATTTGGATAGCTGTGAAGATTTCGTTGGAAACGGGAATATCTTCCTATAAAATCTCGACAGAGGCATTCTCAGAAACTGCTCTGTGATGTCTGTATTCAAGTCACAGAGTTGAACATTGCCTTTCATAGAGCAGGTTTGAAACGCTCTTTTTGTAGTATATGGAAGTGGATGTTTCGGACGGTTGGAGGCCCATGGTGATAAAGGGAATATCTTCCCCTACAAGCTAGAAAGAAGCATTCTGTGAAACTTGTTTGTGATGTGTGTACTCAAGTAACAGAGTAGAACCTTTCTTTTTACAGAGCAGTTTTGAAACTCTCTTTCTGTAGAATCTGCGAGGGGATATTTGGATAGATTTCAGGATTTCGTTGGAAACGGGAATATCTTCATATAAAATCTCGACAGAAGCATTCTCAGAAACTTCTTTGTGATATGTGCATTCAAGTCACAGAGTTGAATATTCCCTTTCACAGAGTAGGTTTGAAACACTCTTGTTGTAGTATCTGGAAGTGGACATTTGGAGCGCCTTGACGCCTACGGTGAAAAGGGAAATATCTTCCCATAAAAACTAGACAGAAGCAATCTCAGAATCTTCTTTGGGATATATTCACGCAGCTAAAAGAGTTGAACCTTTCTATTGACAGAGCAGTTTTGAAACAGTCTTTCTGTGGAATCTGCAAGTGGATATTTGGATAGCTTGGAGGATTTCGTTGGAAACGGGATTACGTATAAAAAGTAGACAGCAGCATCCTCAGAAACTTCTTTGTGATGTGTGCATTCAAGTCACAGAGTTGAACATTCCCTTTCGTACAGCAGTTTTGAAACACTCTTTCTGTAGTATCTGGACGTGAACATTAGGACAGCTTTCAGGTCTATGGTGAGAAAGGAAATATCTTCAAATAAAAACTAGACAGAAGCATTCTCATAAACTTGTTTGTGATGTGTCAACTCAGCTAAGAGAGGTGGATCTTTCTTTTGATAGAGCAGTTCTGAAAAACACTTTTTGTTGAATCTGCAAGTGGACATTTCGATAGATTTGAAGATTTCGTTGGAAACGGGAATATCTTCATATCAAATCTAGACAGAAGCATTCTCAGAAACGTCTTTGTGATGTTTGCATTCAACTCATACAGTTGAACATTCCCTTTCAGAGAGCAGCTTTGAAGCACTCTTTTTGTAGTATGTGCAAGTGGACAATTGGAGCGCTTTGAGGCCTACGGGGAAAAAGCAAATATCTTCTCATAACCACTAGACAGGAACATTCTCAGAAACTCCTTTATGACGTATGCACTCACCTAACAGAAAAGAACCTTCCTTTTGACAGAGCAGTTTTGATACACTCTTTTTGTGGAATCTGCAAGTGGATATTTGGATAGCTGTGAAGATTTCGTTGGAAACGGGAATATATTCCTATAAAATCTAGACAGAAGCATTCTCAGAAACTGCTCTGTGATGTCTGCATTCAAGTCACAGAGCTGAACATTGCCTTTCATAGAGCAGGTTTGAAACGCTCTTTTTGTAGTATATGGAAGTGGACGTTTCGGACAGTTTGAGGCCCATGGTGATAAAGGGAATATCTTCCCCTACAAGCTAGAAAGAAGCATTCTCAGGAACTTCTTTGTGATGTGTGTACTCAACTAATGGAGTTGAACCTTTCTTTTACAGAACAGTTTTGAAAAACTCTTTTTGTAGAACCTGCAAGTGGATATTTGGATAGATTTAAAGATTTCGTCGGAAACGGGGATGTCTTAATATAAAATCTAGACCGAAGCATTCTCAGAAACTTCTTTGTGATATCTGCATTCAAGTCACAGAGTTGAATATTCCCTTTCACAGAGTAGGTTTGAAACACTCTTTTTGTAGTATCTGGAAGTGGACATTTGGAGCGCCTTGACGCCTACGGTGAAAAGGGAAATATCTTCCCATAAAAACTTGACAGAAGCAATCTCAGAATCTTCTTTGGGATATATGCACGCAGCTAACAGAGTTGAACCTTTCTATTGACAGAGCAGTTTTGAAACAGTCTTTCTGTGGAATCTGCAAGTGGATATTTGGATAGCTTGGAGGATTTCTTTGGAAACGGGACTACGTGTAAAAAGTAGACAGCAGCATCCTCAGAAACATCCTTGTGATGTGTGCATTCAAGTCACAGAGTTGAACATTCCCTTTCGTACAGCAGTTTTGAAACACTCTTTCTGTAGTATCTGGAAGTGAACATTAGGACAGCTTTCAGGTCTATAGTGAGAAAGGATATATCTTCAAATAAAAACTAGACAGAAGCATTCTGATAAACTTGTTTGTGAAGTGTGAACTCAGCTAACAGAGGTGGATCTTTCCTTTGATAGAGCAGTTCTGAAAAACACTTTTTGTTGAATCTGCAAGTGGACATTTGGATAGATTTGAAGATTTCGTTGGAAACGGGAATATCTTCATATCAAATCTAGACAGAAGCATTCTCAGAAACGTCTTTGCGATGTTTGCATTCAACTCATAGAGTTGAACATTCCGTTTCAGAGTGCAGCTTTGAGGCACTCTTTTTGTAGTATGTGCAAGTGGATATTTGGAGCGCTCTGAGGCCTTCGGTGAAAAAGCAAATATCTTCCCATAACCACTAGATGGAAACATTCTCAGAAACTCCTTTATGACGTATGCACTCACCTAACAGAGAAGAACCTTCCTTTTGACAGAGCAGTTTTGATACACTCTTTTTGTAGAATCTGCGAGGGGATATTTGGATAGATTTCAGGATTTCGTTGGAAACGGGAATATCTTCATATAAAATCTCGACAGAAGCATTGCTCAGAAACTGCTCTTTGATGTTTGCATTCAAGTCACAGAGTTGAACATTGCCTTTCATAGAGCAGGTTTCAAGCACTCTTTTTTTAGTATATGGAAGTGGACGTTTCGGACGGTTTGAGGCCCATGGTGATAAAGGAAATATCTTCCCCTACAAGCTAGAAAGAAGCATTCTGTGAAACTTGTTTGTGATGTGTGTACTCAACTAACAGAGTTGAACCTTTCTTTTTACAGAGCAGTTTTGAAACACTCTTTTTGTAGAATCTGCGAGGGGATATTTGGATAGATTTCAGGATTCCGTTGGAAACGGGAATATCTTCATATAAAATCTCGACAGAAGCATTCTCAGAAACTTCTTTTGTGATATCTGCATTCAAGTCACAGAGTTGAATATTCCCTTTCACAGAGTAGGTTTGAAACACTCTTTTTGTAGTATCTGGAAGTGGACATTTGGAGCGCCTTGACACCTACGGTGAAAAGGGAAATATCTTCCCATAAAAACTAGACAGAAGCAATCTCAGAATCTTCTTTGGGATATATGCACGCAGCTAACAGAGTTGAACCTTTCTATTGACAGAGCAGTTTTGAAACAGTCTTTCTGTGGAATCTGTCAAGTGGATATTTGGATAGCTTGGAGGATTTCGTTGGAAACGGGATTACTTATAAAAAGTAGACAGCAGCATCCTCAGAAACTTCTTTGTGATGTGTGCATTCAAGTCACAGAGTTGAACATTCCCTTTCGTACAGCAGTTTTGAAACACTCTTTCTGTAGTATCTGGAAGTGAACATTAGGACAGCTTTCAGGTCTATGGTGAGAAAGGAAATATCTTCAAATAAAAACTAGACAAAAGCATTCTCATAAACTTGTTTGTGATGTGTGAACTCAGCTAACAGAGGTGGATCTTTCTTTTGGTAGACCAGTTCTGAAAAACACTTTTTGTTGAATCTGCAAGTGGACATTTGGATAGATTTGAAGATTTCGTTGGAAACGGGAATATCTTCATATCAAATCTAGACAGAAGCATTCTCAGAAACGTCTTTGTGATATTTGCATTCAACTCATAGAGTTGAACATTCCCTTTCAGAGAGCAGCTTTGAAGCACTCTTTTTGTAGTATGTGCAAGTGGAGATTTGGAGCGCTTTGAGGCCTACGGTGAAAAAGCAAATATCTTCCCATAACCACTAGACAGAAACATTCTCAGAAACTCCTTTATGACGTGTGCACTCACCTAACAGAGAAGAACCTTCCTTTTGACAGAGCAGTTTTGATACACTCTTTTTGTAGAATCTGCAAGTGGATATTTGGATAGCTGTGAAGATTTCGTTGGAAACGGGAATATCTTCCTATAAAATCTAGACAGAAGCATTCTCAGAAACTGCTCTGTGATGTCTGCATTCAAGTCACAGAGTTGAACATTGCCTTTCATAGAGCAGGTTTGAAACGCTCTTTTTGTACTATATGGAAGAGGACGTTTCGAACGGTTTGAGGACCATGGTGATAAAGGGTATATCTTCCCCTACAAGCTAGAAAGAAGCATTCTGTGAAACTTGTTTGTGATGTGTGTACTCAACTAACAGAGTTGAACCTTTCTTTTTACAGAGCAGTTTTGAAACACTCTTTTTGTAGAATCTGCGAGGGGATATTTGGATAGATTTCAAGATTTCGTTGGAAACGGGAATATCTTCATATAAAATCTCGACAGAAGCATTCTCAGAAACTTCTTTGTGATATGTGCATTCAAGTCACAGAGTTGAATATTCCCTTTTACAGAGTAGGTTTGAAACACTCTTTTTGTAGTATCTGGAAGTGAACATTTGGAGCGCCTTGACGCCTACGGTGAAAAGGGAAATATCTTCTCATAAAAAGTAGACAGAAGCAATCTCAGAATCTTCTTTGGGATATATGCACGCAGCTAACAGAGTTGAACCTTTCTATTGACAGAGCAGTTTTGAAACAGTCTTTCTGTGGAATCTGCAAGTGGATATCTGGATAGCTTGGAGGATTTCTTTGGAAACGGGATTACGTATAAAAAGTAGACAGCAGCATCCTCAGAAACTTCTTTGTGATGTGTGCATTCAAGTCACAGAGTTGAACATTCCCTTTCGTACAGCAGTTTTGAAACACTCTTTCTGTAGTATCTGGAAGTGAACATTAGGACAGCTTTCAGGTCTATGGTGAGAAAGGAAACATCTTCAAATAAAAACTAGACAGAAGCATTCTCATAAACTTGTTTGTGATGTGTGAACTCAGCTAACAGAGTTGGATCTTTCTTTTGATAGAGCAGTTCTTAAAAACACGTTTTGTTGAATCTGCAAGTGGACATTTGGATAGATTTGAAGATTTCGTTGGAAACGGGAATATCTTCATGTAAAATCTAGACAGAAGCATTCTCAGAAACGTCTTTGTGATGTTTGCATTCAACTCATAGAGTTGAACATTCCGTTTCAGAGAGCAGCTTTGAGGCACTCTTTTTGTAGTATGTGCAAGGGGATATTTGGAGCGCTGTGAGGCCTACGGTGAAAAAGCAAATATCTTCCCATAACCACTAGACAGAAACATTCTCAGAAACTCCTTTATGACGTATGCACTCACCTAACAGAAAAGAACCTTCCTTTTGACAGAGCAGTTTTGATACACTCTTTTTGTAGAATCTGCAAGTGGATATTTGGATAGCTGTGAAGATTTCGTTGGAAACGGGAATATCTTCCTATAAAATCTAGACAGGAAGCATTCTCAGAAACTGCTCTGTGATGTCTGCATTCAAGTCACAGAGTTGAACATTGCCTTTCCTAGAGCAGGTTTGAAACACTCTTTTTGTAGTATATGAAAGTGGACGTTTCGGACGGTTTGAGGACCATGGTGATAAAGGGAATATCTTCCCCTACAAGCTAGAAAGAAGCATTCTGTGAAACTTGTTTGTGATGTGTGTACTCAACTAACAGAGTTAAACCTTTCTTTTTACAGAACAGTTTTGAAACACTCTTTTTGTAGAATCTGCGAGGGGATATTTGGATAGATTTCAGGATTTCGTTGGAAACGGGAATATCTTCATATAAAATCTCGACAGAAACATTCTCAGAAACTTCTTTGTGATATCTGCATTCAAGTCACAGAGTTGAATATTCCCTTTCACAGAGTAGGTTTGAAACACTCCTTTTGTAGTATCTGGAAGTGGACATTTGGAGCACCTTGACGCCTACGGTGAAAAGGGAAATATCTTCCCATAAAAACTAGACAGAAGCAATCTCAGAATCTTCTTTGGGATATATGCACGCAGCTAACAGAGTTGAACCTTTCTATTGACAGAGCAGTTTTGAAACAGTCTTTCTGTGGAATCTGCAAGTGGATATTTTGATAGCTTGGAGGATTTCGTTGGAAACGGGATTACGTATAAAAAGTAGACAGCAGCATCCTCAGAAACTTCTTTGTGATATGTGCATTCAAGTAACAGAGTTGTTTCGTACAGCATTTTTGAAACACTCTTTCTGTAGTATCTGGGAGTGAACATTAGGACAGCTTTCAGGTCTATGGTGAGAAAGGAAATATCTTCAAATAAAAACTAGACAGAAGCATTCTCATAAACTTGTTTGTAATGTGTGAACTCAGCTAACACACGTGGATCTTTCTTTTGATAGAGCAGTTCTGAAAAACACTTTTTGTTTAATCTGCAAGTGGACATTTGGATAGATTTGAAGATTTCGTTGGAAACGGGAATATCTTCATATCAAATCTAGACAGAAGCATTCTCAGAGACGTCTTTGTGATGTTTGCATTCAACTCATAGAGTTGAACATTCCCTTTCAGAGAGCAGCTTTGAAGCACTCTTTTTGTAGTATGTGCAAGTGGATATTTTGAGCGCTCTGAGGCCTACGGTGAAAAAGCAAATATCTTCCCATAACCACTAGACAGAAACATTCTCAGAAACTCCTTTATGACGTATGTACTCAACTAGCAGAGAAGAACTTTCCTTTTGACAGAGCATTTTTGATACACTCTTTTTGTACTATCTGCAAGTGGATATTTGGATAGCTGTGAAGATTTCGTTGGAAACGGGAATATCTTCCTATAAATTCTGGACAGAAGCATTCTCAGAAACTGCTCTGTGATGTCTGCATTCAAGTCACAGAGTTGAACATTGCCTTTCATAGAGCAGGTTTGAAACACTCTTTTTTTAGTATATGGAAGTGGACGTTTCGGACGGTTTGAGGCCCATGGTGATAAAGGGAATATCTTCCCCTACAAGCTAGAAAGAAGCATTCTGTGAAACTTGTTTGTGATGTGTGTACTCAACTAACAGAGTTGAACCTTTCTTTTTACAGAGCAGTTTTGAAACACTCTTTTTGTAGAATCTGCGAGGGGATATTTGGATAGATTTCAGGATTTCGTTGGAAACGGGAGTATCTTCATATAAAATCTCGACAGAAGCATTCTGAGAAACTTCTTTGTGATATCTGCCTTCAAGTCACAGAGTTGAATATTCCCTTTCACAGAGTAGGTTTGAAACACTCTTTTTGTAGTATCTGGAAGTGGACATTTGGAGCGCCTTGACGCCTACGGTGAAAAGGGAAATATCTTCCCATAAAAACTAGACAGAAGGAATCTCAGAATCAGCTTTGGGATATATGCACGCAGCTAACAGAGTTGAACCTTTCTATTGACAGAGCAGTTTTGAAACAGTCTTTCTGTGGAATCTGCAAGTGGATATTTGGATAGCTTGGAGGATTTCGTTGGAAACGGGATTACGTATAAATAGTAGACAGCCAGCATCCTCAGAAACTTCTTTGTGATGTGTGCATTCAAGTCACAGAGTTGAACATTCCCTTTCGTACAGCAGTTTTGAAACACTCTTTCTGTAGTATCTGGAAGTGAACATTAGGACAGCTTTCAGCTCTATGGTGAGAAAGGAAATATCTTCAAATAAAAACTAGACAGAAGCATTCTCATAAACTTGTTTGTGATGTGTGAACTCAGGCTAACAGAGGTGGATCTTTCTTTTGATAGAGCAGTTCTGAAAAACACTTTTTGTTGAATCTGCAAGTGGACATTTGGATAGATTTGAAGATTTCGTTGGAAACGGGAATATCTTCATATCAAATCTAGACAGAAGCATTCTCAGAAACGTCTTTGTGATGTTAGCATTCAACTCATAGAGTTGAACATTCCCTTTCAGAGAGCAGCTTTGAAGCACTCTTTTTGTAGTATGTGCAAGTGGATATTTGGAGCGCTCTGAGGCCTATGGTGAAAAAGCAAATATCTTCCCATAACCACTAGACAGAAACATTCTCAGAAACTCCTTCATGACGTATGCACTCACCTAACAGAGAAGAACCTTCCTTTTGACAGAGCACTTTTGATACACTCTTTTTGTAGAATCTGCAAGTGGATATTTGGATAGCTGTGAAGATTTCGTTGGAAACGGGAATATCTTCCTATAAAATCTATACAGAAGCATTCTCTGAAACTGCTCTGTGATGTCTGCATTCAAGTCACAGAGTTGAACGTTGCCTTTCATAGAGCAGGTTTCAAACACTCTTTTTTTAGTATATGGAAGTGGACGTTTCGGACGGTTTGAGGACCATGGTGATAAAGGAAATATCTTCCCCTACAAGCTAGAAAGAAGCATTCTGTGAAACTTGTTTATGATGTGTGTACTCAACTAACAGAGTTGAACCTTTCTTTTCACAGAGCAGTTTTGAAACACTCTTTTTGTAGAATCTGCGAGGGGAAATTTGGATAGATTTCAGGATTTCGTTGGAATCGGGAATATCTTCATACAAAATCTCGACAGAAGCATTCTCAGAAACTTCTTTGTGATATGTGCATTCAAGTCACAGAGTTGAATATTCCCTTTCACAGAGTAGGTTTGAAACACTCTTTTTGTAGTATCTGGAAGTGGACATTTGGAGCGCCTTGACACCTACGGTGAAAATGGAAATATCTTCCCATAAAAACTAGACAGAAGCAATCTCAGAATCCTCTTTGAGATATATGGACGCAGCTAACAGTGTTGAACCTTTCTATTGACAGAGCAGTTTTGAAACAGTCTTTCTGTGGTATCTGCAAGTGGATATTTGGATAGCTTGGAGGATTTCTTTGGAAACGGGATTACGTATAAAAAGTAGACAGCAGCATCCTCAGAAACATCCCTTGTGATGTGTGCATTCAAGTCACAGAGTTGAACATTCCCTTTCGTACAGCAGTTTTGAAACACTCTTTCTGTAGTATCTGGAAGTGAACTTTAGGACAGCTTTCAGGTCTATAGTGAGAAAGGATATATCTTCAAATAAAAACTAGACAGAAAGCATTCTCATAAACTTGTTTGTGATGTCTGAACTCAGCTAACAGAGGTGGATCTTTCTTTTGATAGAGCAGTTCTGAAAAACACTTTTTGTTGAATCTGCAAGTGGACATTTGGATAGATTTGAAGATTTCGTTGGAAACGGGAATATCTTCATATCAAATCTAGACAGAGCATTCTCGGAAACGTCTTTGTGATGTTTGCATTCAACTCATAGAGTTGAACATTCCGTTTCAGAGAGCAGCTTTGAGGCACTCTTTTTGTAGTATGTGCAAGTGGATATTTGGAGCGCTCTGAGGCCTTCGGTGAAAAAGCAAATATCTTCCCATAACCACTAGACAGAAACATTCTCAGAAACTCCTTTATGACGTATGCACTCACCTAACAGAGAAGAACCTTCCTTTTGACAGAGCAGTTTTGAGATACTCTTTTTGTAGAATCTGCAAGTGGATATTGGGATAGCTGTGAAGCTTTCGTTGGAAACGGGAATATCTTCCTATAAAATCTAGACAGAAGCATTCTCAGAAACTGCTCTGTGATGTCTGCATTCAAGTCACAGAGTTGAACATTGCCTTTCATAGAGCAGGTTTGAAACGCTCTTTTTGTAGTATATGGAAGTGGAAGTTTCGGACGGTTTGAGGCCCATGGTGATAAAGGGAATATCTTCCCCTACAAGCTAGAAAGAAGCATTCTGTGAAACTTGTTTGTGATGTGTGTACTCAACTAACAGAGTTGAACCTTTCTTTTTACAGAGCAGTTTTGAAACACTCTTTTTGTAGAATCTGCGAGGGGATATTTGGATAGATTTCAGGATTTCATTGGAAACGAGAATATCTTCATATAAAATCTCGACAGAAGCATTCTCAGAAGCTTCTTTGTGATATGTGCATTCAAGTCACAGAGTTGAATATTCCCTTTCACAGAGTAGGTTTGAAACAATCTTTTTGTAGTATCTGGAAGTGGACATTTAGAGCGCCTTGACGCCTACGGTGAAAAGGGAAATATCTTCTCATAAAAAGTAGACAGAAGCAATCTCAGAATCTTCTTTGGGATATATGCACGCAGCTAACAGATTTGAACCTTTCTATTGACAGAGCAGTTTTGAAACAGTCTTTCTGTGGAATCTGCAAGTGGATATTTGGATAGCTTGGAGGATTTCGTTGGAAACGGGATTACGCATAAAAAGTAGACAGCAGCATCCTCCGAAACTTCTTTGTGATGTGTGCATTCAAGTCACAGAGTTGAACATTCCCTTTCGTACAGCAGTTTTCAAACACTCTTTCTGTAGTATCTGGAAGTGAACATTAGGACAGCTTTCAGCTCTATGGTGAGAAAGGAAATATCTTCAAATAAAAACTAGACAGAAGCATTCTCATAAACTTCTTTGTGATGTGTGAACTCAGCTAACAGAGGTGGATCTTTCTTTTGATAGAGCAGTTCTGAAAAACACTTTTTGTTGAATCTGCAAGTGGACATTTGGATAGATTTGAAGATTTCGTTGGAAACGGGAATATCTTCATATCAAATCTAGACAGAAGCATTCTCAGAAAAGTCTTTGTGATGTTTGCATTCAACTCACAGAGTTGAACATTCCCTTTCAGAGAGCAGCTTTGAAGCACTCTTTTTGTAGTATGTGCAAGGGGATATTTGGAGCGCTCTGAGGCCTACGGTGAAAAAGCAAATATCTTCCCATAACCACTAGACAGAAAACATTATCAGAAACTCCTTTATGACGTATGCACT
The DNA here is from genome assembly GCF_000001405.40 of Homo sapiens. Classification (NCBI taxonomy): domain Eukaryota; kingdom Metazoa; phylum Chordata; class Mammalia; order Primates; family Hominidae; genus Homo; species Homo sapiens. The sequence goes on from NC_000013.11 coordinate 16,706,717, forward strand.
CACCTAACAGAAAAGAACCTTCCTTTTGACAGAGCAGTTTTGATACACTCTTTTTGTAGAATCTGCAAGAGGATATTTGGATAGCTGTGAAGATTTCGTTGGAAACGGGAATATCTTCCTATAAAATCTAGACAGAAGCATTCTCAGAAACTGCTCTGTGATGTCTGCATTCAAGTCACAGAGTTGAACATTGTCTTTCATAGAGCAGGTTTGAAGCGTTCTTTTTGTAGTATATGGAAGTGGACGTTTCGGACGGTTTGAGGCCCATGGTGATAAAGGGAATATCTTCCCCTACAAGCTAGAAAGAAGCATTCTGTGAAACTTGTTTGTGATGTGTGTACTCAACTAACAGAGTTGAACCTTTCTTTTTACAGAGCAGTTTTGAAACACTCTTTTTGTAGAATCTGCGAGGGGATATTTGGATGGATTTCAGGATTTCGTTGGAACGGGAATATCTTCATATAAAATCTCGACAGAAGCATTCTCAGAAACTTCTTTGTGATATGTGCATTCAAGTCACAGAGTTGAATATTCCCTTTCAGAGAGTAGGTTTGAAACACTCTTTTTGTAGTATCTGGAAGTGGACATTTGGAGCGCCTTGACACCTACGGTGAAAAGGGAAATATCTTCCCATAAAAACTAGACAGAAGCAATCTCAGAATCTTCTTTGGGATATATGCACGCAGCTAACAGAGTTGAACCTTTCTATTGACGGAGCAGTTTTGAAACAGTCTTTCTGTGGAATCTGCAAGTGGATATTTGGATAGCTTGGAGGATTTCGTTGGAAACGGGATTACGTATAAAAAGTAGACAGCAGCATCCTCAGAAACTTCTTTGTGATGTGTGCATTCAAGTCACAGAGTTGAACATTCCCTTTCGTACAGCAGTTTTGAAACACTCTTTCTGTAGTATCTGGAAGTGAACATTAGGACAGCTTTCGGGTCTATGGTGAGAAAGGAAATATCTTCAAATAAAAACTAGACAGAAAGCATTCTCATAAACTTGTTTGTGATGTGTGAACTCAGCTAACAGCAGGTGGATCTTTCTTTTGATACAGCAGTTCTGAAAAACACTTTTTGTTGAATCTGCAAGTGGACATTAGGATAGATTTGAAGATTTCGTTGGAAACGGGAATATCTTCATATCAAATCTAGACAGAAGCATTCCCAGAAACGTCTTTGTGATGTTTGCATTCAACTCATAGAGTTGAACATTCCGTTTCAGAGAGCAGCTTTGAAGCACTCTTTTTGTAGTATGTGCAAGGGGATATTTGGAGCACTCTGAGGCCTAAGGTGAAAAAGCAAATATCTTCCCATAACCACTAGACAGAAACATTCTCAGAAACTCCTTTATGACGTATGCACTCAGCTAACAGAGAAGAACCTTCCTTTTGACAGAGCAGTTTTGATACACTCTTTTTGTAGAATCTGCAAGTGGATATTTGGATAGCTGTGAAGATTTCTTTGGAAACGGGAATATCTTCCTATAAAATCTATACAGAAGCATTCTCAGAAACTGCTCTGTGATGTCTGCATTCAAGTCACAGAGTTGAACATTGCCTTTCATAGAGCAGGTTTGAAACGCTCTTTTTGTAGTATATGGAAGTGGACGTTTCGTACGGTTTGAGGCCCATGATGATAAAGGGAATATCTTCCCCTACAAGCTAGAAAGAAGCATTCTGTGAAACTTGTTTGTGATGTGTGTACTCAACTAACAGAGTTGAACCTTTCTTTTCACAGAGCAGTTTTGAAACACTCTTTTTGTAGAATCTGCGAGCGGAAATTTGGATAGATTTCAGGATTTCGTTGGAAACGGGAATATCTTCATACAAAATCTCGACAGAAGCATTCTCAGAAACTTCTTTGTGATATGTGCATTCAAGTCACAGAGTTGAATATTCCCTTTCACAGAGTAGGTTTGAAACACTCTTTTTGTAGTATCTGGAAGTGGACATTTGGAGCGCCTTGACGCCTACGGTGAAAAGGGAAATATCTTCCATAAAAACTAGACAGAAGCAATCTCAGAATCTTCTTTGGGATATATGCATGCAGCTAACAGAGTTGAACCTTTCTATTGACAGAGCAGTTTTGAAACAGTCTTTCTGTGGAATCTGCAAGTGGATATTTGGATAGCTTAGAGGATTTCGTTGGAAACGGGATTACGTATAAAAAGTAGACAGCAGCATCCTCAGAAACTTCTTTGTGATGTGTGCATTCAAGTCACAGAGTTGAACATTCCCTTTCGTACAGCAGTTTTGAAACACTCTTTCTGTAGTATCTGAAAGTGAATATTAGGACAGCTTTCAGGTCTATATTGAGAAAGGAAATATCTTCAAATAAAAACTAGACAGAAGCATTCTCATAAACTTGTTTGTGATGTGTGAACTCAGCTAACCGAGGTGGATCTTTCTTTTGATAGAGCAGTTCTGAAAAACACTTTTTGTTGAATCTGCAAGTGGACATTTGGATAGATTTGAAGATGTCGTTGGAAACGGGAATATCTTCATATCAAATCTAGACGGAAGCATTCTCAGAAACGTCTTTGTGATGTTTGCATTCAACTCATAGAGTTGAACATTCCCTTCCAGAGAGTAGCTTTGAAGCACTCATTTTGTAGCATGTGCAAGTGGACATTTGGAGCGCCCTGAGGCCTACGGGGAAAAAGCAAATATCTTCCCATAACCACTAGACAGAAACATTCTCAGAAACTCCTTTATGACGTATGCACTCACCTAACAGAGAAGAACCTTCCTTTTGACAGAGCAGTTTTGATACACTCTTTTTGTAGAATCTGCAAGTGGATATTTGGATAGGTGTGAAGATTTCGTTGGAAACGGGAATATCTTCCTATAAAATCTAGACAGAAGCATTCTCTGAAACTGCTCTGGGATGTCTGCATTCAAGTCACGGAGTTGAACATTGCCTTTCCTAGAGCAGGTTTGAAACGCTCTTTTTGTAGTATATGGAAGTGGACGTTTCGGACTGTTTGAGGCCCATGGTGATAAAGGGAATATCTTCCCCTACAAGCTAGAAAGAAGCATTCTGTGAAACTTGTTTGTGATGTGTGTACTCAACTAACAGAGTTGAACCTTTCCTTTTACAGAGTAGTTTTGAAACACTCTTTTTGTAGAATCTGCGAGGGGATATTTGGATAGATTTCAGGATTTCGTTGGAAACGGGAGTATCTTCATATAAAATCTCGACAGAAGCATTCTCAGAAACTTCTTTGTGATATCTGCATTCAAGTCACAGAGTTGAATATTCCCTTTCACAGAGTAGGTTTGAAACACTCTTTTTGTAGTATCTGGAAGTGGACATTTTGAGCGCCTTGACGCCTACGGTGAAAAGGGAAATATCTTCTCATAAAAAGTAGACAGAAGCAATCTCAGAATCTTCTTTGGGATATATGCACGCAGCTAACAGAGTTGAACCTTTCTATTGACAGAGCCGTTTTGAAACAGTCTTTCTGTGGAATCTGCAAGTGGATATTTGGATAGCTTGGAGGATTTCGTTGGAAACGGGATTACGTATAAAAAGTAGACAGCAGCATCCTCAGAAACTACTTTGTGATGTGTGCATTCAAGTCACAGAGTTGAACATTCCCTTTCGTACAGCAGTTTTGAAACACTCTTTCTGTAGTATCTGGAAGTGAACATTAGGACAGATTTCAGCTCTATGGTGAGAAAGGAAATATCTTCAAATAAAAACTAGACAGAAGCATTCTCATAAACTTGTTTGTGATGTGTGAACTCAGCTAACAGAGATGGATCTTTCTTTTGATAGAGCGGTTCTGAAAAACACTTTTTGTTGAATCTGCAAGTGGACATTTGGATAGATTTGAAGATTTCGTTGGAAACGGGAATATCTTCATATCAAATCTAGACAGAAGCATTCTCAGAAACGTCTTTGTGATGTTTACATTCAACTCATAGAGTTGAACATTCCCTTGCAGAGAGCAGCTTTGAAGCACTCTTTTTGTAGCATGTGCAAGTGGACATTTGGAGCGCTCTGAGGCCTACGGGGAAAAAGCAAATATCTTCCCATAACCAATAGACAGAAACATTCTCAGAAACTTCTTTATGACGTATGTACTCAACTAGCAGAGAAGAACTTTCCTTTTGACAGAGCATTTTTGATACATTCTTTTTGTAGTATCTGCAAGTGGATATTTGGATAGCTGTGAAGATTTCGTTGGAAACCGGAATATCTTCCTATAAAGTCTGGACAGAAGCATCCTCAGAAACTTCTTTGTGATGTGTGCATTCAAGTCACAGAGTTGAACATTGCCTTTCATAGAGCAGGTTTCAAACACTCTTTTTTTACTATATGGAAGTGGACGTTTCGGACGGTTTGAGGACCATGGTGATAAAGGAAATATCTTCCCCTACAAGCTAGAAAGAAGCATTCTGTGAAACTTGTTTGTGATGTGTGTACTCAACTAATAGATTTGAACCTTTCTTTTTACAGAGCAGTTTTGAAACACTCTTTTTGTAGAATCTGCGAGGGGATATTTGGATAGATTTCAGGATTTCGTTGGAAACGGGAATATCTTCATATAAAATCTCGACAGAAGCATTCTCAGAAACTTCTTTGTGATATGTGCATTCAAGTCACAGAGTTCAATGTTCCCTTTCACAGAGTAGGTTTGAAACACTCTTTTTGTAGTATCTGGAAGTGGACATTTGGAGCGCCTTGACGCCTACGGTGAAAAGGGCAAATATCTTCTCATAAAAAGTAGACAGAAGCAATCTCAGAATCTTCTTTGGGATATATGTACGCAGCTAACAGAGTTGAACCTTTCTATTGACAGAGCAGTTTTGAAACAGTCTTTCTGTGGAAACTGCAAGTGGATATTTGGATAGCTTGGAGGATTTCGTTGGAAACGGGATTACGTATAAAAAGTAGACAGCAGCATCCTCAGTAAACTTCTTTGTGATGTGTGCATTCAAGTCACAGAGTTGAACATTCCCTTTCGTACAGCAGTTTTGAAACACTCTTTCTGTAGTATCTGGAAGTGAACATTAGGACAGCTTTCAGGACTATGGTGAGAAAGGAAATATCTTCAAATAAAAACTAGACAGAAGCATTCTCATAAACTTGTTTGTGATGTGTGAACTCAGCTAACAGAGGTGGATCTTTGTTTTGATAGAGCAGTTCTGAAAAACACTTTTTGTTGAATCTGCAAGTGGACATTTGGATAGATTTGAAGATTTCGTTGGAAACGGGAATATCTTCATATCAAATCTAGACAGAAGCATTCTCAGAAACGGCTTTGTGATGTTTGCATTCAACTCATAGAGTTGAACATTCCCTTTCAGAGTGCAGCTTTGAAGAACTCTTTTTGTGGTATGTGCAAGTGGACAATTGGAGCGCTTTGAGGCCTACGGGGAAAAAGCAAATATCTCCCATAACCACTAGACAGAAACATTCTCAGAAACTCCTTTATGACGTATGCACTCACCTAACAGAAAAGAACCTTCCTTTTCACAGAGCAGTTTTGATACACTCTTTTTGTAGAATCTGCAAGTGGATATTTGGATAGCTGTGAAGATTTCGTTGGAAACGGGAATATCTTCCTATAAAATCTAGACAGAAGCATTCTCAGAAACTGCTCTGTGATGTCTGCATTCAAGTCACAGAGTTGAACATTGCCTTTCATAGAGCAGGTTTGGAACGCTCTTTTTGTAGTATATGGAACCGGATGTTTCCGACGGTTGGAGGCCCATGGTGATAAAGGGAATATCTTCCCCTACAAGCTAGAAAGAAGCATTGTGTGAAACTTATTTGTGATGTGTGTACTCAACTAACAGAGTTGAACCTTTCTTTTTACAGAGCAGTTTTGAAACACTCTTTTTGTAGAATCTGCGAGGGGATATTTGGATACATTTCAGGATTTCGTTGGAAACGGGAATATCTTCATATAAAATCCTCGACAGAAGCATTCTCAGAAACTTCTTTGTGATATGTGCATTCAAGTCACAGAGTTGAATATTCGCTTTCACAGAGTAGGTTTGAAACACTCTTTTTGTAGTATCTGGAAGTGGACATTTGGAGCGCCTTGATGCCTACGGTGAAAAGGGAAATATCTTCCCATAAAAACTAGACAGAAGCAATCTCAGAATCTTCTTTGGGATATATGCACGCAGCTAACAGAGTTGAACCTTTCTATTGACAGAGCAGTTTTGAAACAGTCTTTCTGTGGAATCTGCAAGTGAATATTTGGATAGCTTGGAGGATTTCGTTGGAAACGGGATTAAGTATAAAAAGTAGACAGCAGCATCCTCAGAAACATCCTTGTGATGTGTGCATTCAAGTCACAGAGTTGAACATTCCCTTTCGTACAGCAGTTTTGAAACACTCTTTCTGTAGTATCTGGAAGTGAAATTTAGGAGAGCTTTCAGGTCTATAGTGAGAAAGGATATATCTTCAAATAAAAACTAGACAGAAGCATTCTCATAAACTTGTTTGTGATGTGTGAACTCAGCTAACAGAGGTGGATCTTTCTTTTGATAGAGCACTTCTGAAAAACACTTTTTGTTGAATCTGCAAGTGGACATTTGGATAGATTTGAAGATTTCGTTGGAAACGGGAATATCTTCATATCAAATCTAGACAGAAGCATTCTCAGAAACGTCTTTGTGATGTTTGCATTCAACTCATAGAGTTGAACATTCTCTTTCAGAGAGCAGCTTTGAAGCACTCTTTTTGTAGTATGTGCAAGTGGATATTTGGAGCGCTCTGAGGCCTACGGTGGAAAAGCAAATATCTTCCCATAACCACTAGACAGAAACATTCTCAGAAACTCCTTTATGACGTATGCACTCACCTAACAGAGAAGAACCTTCCTTTTGACAGAGCGGTTTTGATACACTCTTTTTGTAGAATCTGCAAGTGGATATTTGGATAGCTGTGAAGATTTCGTTGGAAACGAGAATATCTTCCTATAAAATCTAGACAGAAGCATTCTCAGAAACTGCTCTGTGATGTCTGCATTCAAGTCACAGAGTTGAACATTGCCGTTCATAGAGCAGGTTTGAAACACTCTTTTTGTAGTATATGGAAGTGGACGTTTCGGACGGTTTGAGGCCCATGGTGATAAAGGGAATATCTTCCCCTACAAGCTAGAAAAGAAGCATTCTGTGAAACTTGTTTGTGATGTGTGTACTCAACTAACAGAGTTGAACCTTTCTTTTTACAGAGCAGTTTTGAAACCCTCTTTTTGTAGAATCTGCGAGGGGATATTTGGATAGATTTCAGGATTTCGTTGGAAACGGGAATATCTTCATATAAAATCTCGACAGAAGCATTCTCAGAAACTTCTTTGTGATATGTGCATTCAAGTCACAGAGTTGAATATTCCCTTTCACAGACTAGGTTTGAAAAACCCTTTTTGTAGTAGTCTGGAAGTGGACATTTGGAGCGCCTTGATGCCTACGGTGAAAAGGGAAATATCTTCCCATAAAAACTAGACAGAAGCAATCTCAGAATCTTCTTTGGGATATATGCACGCAGCTAACAGAGTTGAACCTTTCTATTCACAGAGCAGTTTTGAAACAGTCTTTCTGTGGAATCTGCAAGTGGATATTTGGATAGCTTGGAGGATTTCGTTGGAAACGGGATTACGTATAAAAAGTAGACAGCAGCATCCTCAGAAACTTCTTTGTGATCTGTGCATTCAAGTCACAGAGTTGAACATTCCCTTTCGTACAGCAGTTTTGAAACACTCTTTCTGTAGTAACTGGAAGTGAACATTAGGACAGCTTTCAGGTCTATGGTGAGAAAGGAAATATCTTCAAATAAAAACTAGACAGAAGCATTCTCATAAACTTGTTTGTGATGTGTGAACTCAGCTAACAGAGGTGGATCTTTCTTTTGATAGAGCAGTTCTGAAAAACACTTTTTGTTGAATCTGCAAGTGGACATTTGAATAGATTTGAAGATTTCGTTGGAAACGGGAATATCTTCATATCAAATCTAGTCAGAAGCATTCTCAGAAACGTCGTTGTGATGTTTGCATTCAACTCATAGAGTTGAACATTCCGATTCAGAGAGCAGCTTTGAGGCACTCTTTTTGTAGTATGTGCAAGTGGATATTTGGAGCGCTCTGAGGCCTTCGGTGAAAAAGCAAATATCTTCCCATAACCACTAGATGGAAACATTCTCAGAAACTCGTTTATGACGTATGCACTCACCTAACAGAGAAGAACCTTCCATTTGACAGAGCAGTTTTGATACACTCTTTTTGTAGAATCTGCAAGTGGATATTTGGATAGCTGTGAAGATTTTGCTGGAAACGGGAATATCTTCCTATAAAATACTAGACAGAAGCATTCTCAGAAACTGCTCTGTGATGTCTGCATTCAAGTCACAGAGTTGAACATTGCCTTTCCTAGAGCAGGTTTGAAACGCTCTTTTTGTAGTATATGGAAGTGGACGTTTCGGACGGTTTGAGGACCATGGTGATAAAGGGAATATCTTCCCCTACAAGCTAGAAAGAAGCATTCTGTGAAACATGTTTGTGATGCGTGTACTCAACTAACAGAGTTGAACCTTTCTTTTTACAGAGCAGTTTTGAAACACTCTTTTTGTAGAATCTGCGAGGGGATATTTGGATAGATTTCAGGATTTCGTTGGAAACGGGAATATCTTCATATAAAATCTCGACAGAAGCATTCTCAGAAACTTCTTTGTGATATGTGCATTCAAGTCACAGAGTTGAATATTCCGTTTCACAGAGTAGGTTTGAAACACTCTTTTTGTAGTATCTGGAAGTGGACATTTGGAGCGCCTTGACACCTACGGTGAAAAGGGAAATATCTTCCCATAAAAACTAGACAGAAGCAATCTCAGAATCTTCTTTGGGATATATGCACGCAGCTAATAGAGTTGAACCTTTCTATTGACAGAGCAGTTTTGAAACAGTCTTTCTGTGGAATCTGCAAGTGGATATTTGGATAGCTTGGAGGATTTCGTAGGAAACGGGATTACGTATAGAAAGTAGACAGCAGCATCCTCAGAAACTTCTTTGTGATGTGTGCATTCAAGTCACAGAGTTGAACATTCCCTTTCGTACAGCAGTTTTGAAACACTCTTTCTGTAATATCTGGAAGTGAACATTAGGACAGCTTTCAGCTCTATGGTGAGAAAGGAAATATCTTCAAATAAAAACTAGACAGAAAGCATTCTCAAGAACTTGTTTGTGATGTGTGAACTCAGCTAACAGAGGTGGATGTTTCTTTTGATAGAGCAGTTCTGAAAAACACGTTTTGTTGAATCTGCAAGTGGACATTTGGATAGATATGAAGATTTCGTTGGAAACGGGAATATCTTCATATCAAATCTAGACAGAGCATTCTCAGAAACGTCTTTGTGATGTTTGCATTCAACTCATAGAGTTGAACATTCCCTTTCAGAGAGCAGCTTTGAAGCACTCTTTTTGTAGTATGTGCAAGGGGGTATTTGGAGCGCTCTGAGGCCTAAGGTGAAAAAGCAAATATCTTCCCATAACCACTAGACAGAAACATTCTCAGAAACTCCTTTATGACGTGTGCACTCACCTAACAGAGAAGAACCTTCCTTTTGACAGAGCATTTTTGATACACACTTTTTGTAGAATCTGCAAGTGGATATTTGGATAGCTGTGAAGATTTCGTTGGAAACGGGAATATCTTCCTATAAAATCTAGACAGAAGCATTCTCAGAAACTGCTCTGTGATGTCTGCATTCAAGTCACAGAGTTGAACTCTGCCTTTCCTAGAGCAGGTTTGAAACGCTCTTTTTGTAGTATATGGAAGTGGACGTTTCGGACGGTTTGAGGCCCATGGTGATAAAGGGAATATCTTCCCCTACAAGCTAGAAAGAAGCATTCTGTGAAACTTGTTTGTGATGTGTGTACTCAACTAACAGAGTTGAACCTTTCTTTTTACAGAGCAGTTTTGAAACACTCTTTTTGTAGAATATGCGAGGGGATATTTGGATAGATTTCAGGATTTCGTTGGAAACGGGAATATCTTCATATAAAATCTCGACAGAAGACCGAAGCATTCTCAGAAACTTCATTGTGATATCTGCATTGAAGTCACAGACTTGAATACTCCCTTTCACAGAGTAGGTTTGAAACACTCTTTTTGTAGTATCTGGAATTGGACATTTGGATCGCTTTGACGCCTATTGTGAAAAAGGAAATATCTTCCCCTAAAAACTAGACAGAAGCAATCTCAGAATCTTCTTTGGGATATATGCACGCAGCTAACAGAGTTGAACCTTTCTATTGACAGAGCAGTTTAGAAACAGTCTTTCTGTGGAATCTGCAAGTGGATATTTGGATAGATTGGAGGATTTCTTTGGAAACGGGATTACGTATAAAAAGTAGACAGCAGCATCCTCAGAAACTTCTTTGTGATGTGTGCATTCAAGTCACAGAGTTGAACATTCCCTTTCGTACAGCAGTTTTGAAACGCTCTTTCTGTAGTATCTGGAAGTGAACATTAGGACAGCTTTCAGGTCTATGGTGAGAAAGGAAATATCTTCAAATAAAAACTAGACAGAAGCATTCTCATAAACTTGTTTGTGATGTGTGAACTCAGCTAACAGAGGTGGATCTTTCTTTTGATAGAGCAGTTCTGAAAAACACTTTTTGTTGAATCTGCAGTGGACATTTGGATAGATTTGAAGATTTCGTTGGAAACGGGAATATCTTCATATCAAATCTAGACAGAAGCATTCTCAGAAACGTCTTTGTGATGTTGGCATTCAACTCATAGAGTTGAACATTCCGTTTCAGAGAGCAGCTTTGAGGCACTCTTTTTGTAGTATGTGCAAGGGGATATATGGAGCGCTCTGAGGCCTAAGGTGAAAAAGCAAATATCTTCCCATAACCACTAGACAGAAACATTCTCAGAAACTCCTTTATGACGTTTGTACTCAACTAACAGAGAAGAACCTTCCTTTTGACAGAGCAGTTTTGATACACTCTTTTTGTAGAATCTGCAAGTGGATATTTGGATAGCTGTGAAGATTTCGTTGGAAACGGGAATATCTTCCTATAAAATCTAGACAGAAGCATTCTCAGAAACTGCTCTGTGATGTCTGCATTCAAGTCACAGAGTTGAACATTGCCTTTCATAGAGCAGTTTTGAAATGCTCTTTTTGTAGTATATGGAAGTGGACGTTTCGGACGGTTTGAGGCCCATGGTGATAAAGGAAATATCTTCGCTACAAGCTAGAAAGAAGCATTCTGTGAAACTTGTTTGTGATGTGTGTACTCAACTAACAGAGTTGAACCTTTCTTTTTACAGAGCAGTTTTGAGACACTCTTTTTGTAGAATCTGCGAGGGGATATTTGGATAGATTTCAGGATTTCGTTGGAACGGGAATATCTTCATATAAAATCTCGACAGAAGCATTCTCAGAAACTTCTTTGTGATATCTGCCTTTAAGTCACAGAGTTGAATATTCCCTTTCACAGAGTAGGTTTGAAACACTCTTTTTGTAGTATCTGGAAGTGGACATTTGGAGCCCCTTGAGACCTACGGTGAAAAGGGAAATATCTTCCCATAAAAACAAGACAGAAGCAATCTCAGAATTTTCTTTGGGATATATGCACACAGCTAACAGAGTTGAACTTTTCTATTGACATAGCAGTTTTGAAACAGTCTTTCTGTGGAATATGCAAGTGGATATTTGGATAGCTTGGAGGATTTCGTTGGAAACGGGATTATGTATAAAAAGTAGACAGCAGCATCCTCAGAAACATCTTTGTGATGTGTGCATTCAAGTCACAGAGTTGAACATTCCCTTTCGTACAGCAGTTTTGAAACACTCTTTCTGTAGTATCTGGAAGTGAACATTAGGACAGCTTTCAGGTCTATGGTGAGAAAGGAAATATCTTCAAATAAAAACTAGACAGAAGCATTCTCATAAACTTGTTTGTGATGTGTGAACTCAGCTAACAGAGGTGGATCTTTCTTTTGATAGAGCAGTTCTGAAAAACACTTTTTGTTGAATCTGCAAGTCGACATTTGGATAGATTTGAAGATTTCGTTGGAAACGGGAATATCTTCATATCAAATCTAGACAGAAGCATTCTCAGAAACGTCTTTGCGATGTTTGCATTCAACTCATAGAGTTGAACATTCCGTTTCAGAGAGCAGCTGTGAGGCACTCTTTTTGTAGTATGTGCAAGTGGATATTTGGAGCGCTCTGAGGCCTACGGTGAAAAAGCAAATATCTTCCCATAACCACTACACAGAAACATTCTCAGAAACTCCTTTATGACGTATGTACTCAACTAACAGAGAAGAACCTTCCTTTTGACAGAGTAGTTTTGATACACTCTTTTTGTAGAATCTGCAAGTGGATATTTGGATAGCTGTGAAGATTTCGTTGGAAACGGGAATATCTTCCTATAAAATCTAGACAGAAGCATTCTCAGAAACTGCTATCTGATGTCTGCATTCAAGTCACAGAGTTGAACATTGCTTTTCATAGAGCAGGTTTGAAACGCTCTTTTTGTAGTATATGGAAGTAGACGTTTCGGACGGTTTGAGGCCCATGGTGATAAAGGGAATATCTTCCCCTACAAGCTAGAAAGAAGCATTCTGTGAAACTTGTTTGTGATGTGTGTACTCAACTAACAGAGTTGAACCTTTCTTTTTATAGAGCAGTTTTGAAACACTCTTTTTGTAGAATCTGCGAGGGGATATTTGGATAGATTTCAGGATTTCGTTGGAAAGGGGAATATCTTCATATAAAATCTCGACAGAAGCATTCTCAGAAAGCTTCTTTGTGATATGTGCATTCAAGTCACAGAGTTCAATATTCCCTTTCACAGAGTAGGTTTGAAACACTCTTTTTGTAGTATCTGGAAGTGGACATTTGGAGCGCCTTGACGCCTACGGTGAAAAGGGAAATATCTTCTCATAAAAAGTAGACAGAAGCAATCTCAGAATCTTCTTTGGGATATATGCACGCAGCTAACAGAGTTGAACCTTTCTATTGACAGAGCAGTTTTGAAACAGTCTTTCTGTGGAATCTGCAAGTGGATATTTGGATAGCTTGGAGGATTTCGTTGGAAATGGGATTAAGTATAAAAAGTAGACAGCAGCATCCTCAGAATCTTCTTTGTGATGTGTGCATTCAAGTCACAGAGTTGAACATTCCCTTTCGTACAGCAGTTTTGAAACACTCTTTCTGTAGTATCTGGGAGTGAACATTAGGACAGCTTTCAGGTCTATGGTTAGAAAGGAAATATCTTCAAATAAAAACTAGACAGAAGCATTCTCATAAACTTGTTTGTGATGTCTGAACTCAGCTAACAGAGGTGGATCTTTCTTTTGATAGAGCAGTTCTGAAAAACACTTTTTGTTGAATCTGCAAGTGGACATTTGGATAGATTTGAAGATTTCGTTGGAAACGGGAATATCTTCATATCACATCTAGACAGAAGCATTCTCAGAAACGTCTTTGCGATGTTTGCATTCAACTCATAGAGTTGAACATTCCCTTTGAGAGAGCAGATTTGAAGCACTCTTTTTGTAGCATGTGCAAGTGGACATTTGGAGCGCCCTGAGGCCTACGGGGAAAAAGCAAATATCTTCCCATAACCACTAGACAGAAACATTCTCAGAAACTTCTTTATGACGTATGTACTCAACTAGCAGAGAAGAACTTTCCTTTTGACAGAGCATTTTTGATACACTCTTTTTGTACTATCTGCAAGTGGATATTTGGATATCTGTGAAGATTTCGTTGGAAACGGGAATATCTTCCTATAAAGTCTGGACAGAAGCATTCTCAGAAACTGCTCTGTGATGTCTGCATTCAAGTCACAGAGTTGAACATTGCCTTTCATAGAGCAGGTTTGAAACGCTCTTTTTGTAGTATATGGAAGTGGACGTTTCGGACGGTTTGAGGCACATGGTGATAAAGGGAATATCTTCCCCTACAAGCTAGAAAGAAGCATTCTGTGAAACTTGTTTGTGTGTACTCAACTAACAGAGTTGAACCTTTCTTTTCACAGAGCAGTTTTGAAACACTCTTTTTGTAGAATCTGCGAGGGGATATTTGGATACATTTCAGGATTTCGTTGGAAACGGGAATATCTTCATATAAAATCTCGACAGAAGCATTCTCAGAAACTTCCTTGTGATATGTGCATTCAAGTCACAGAGTTGAATATTCCCTTTCACAGAGGAGGTTTGAAACACTCTTTTTGTAGTATCTGGAAGTGGACATTTGGAGCGCCTTGACGCCCACGGTGAAAAGGGAAATATCTTCCCATAAAAACTAGACAGAAGCAATCTCAGAATCTTCTTCGGGATATATGCACGCAGCTAACAGAGTTGAACCTTTCTATTGACAGAGCAGTTTTGAAACAGTCTTTCTGTGGAATCTGCAAGTGGATATTTGGATAGCTTGGAGGATTTCGTTGGAAACGGGATTACGTATAAAAGTAGACAGCAGCATCCTCAGAAACTTCTTTGTGATGTGTGCATTCAAGTCACAAAGTTGAACATTCCCTTTCGTACAGCAGTTTTGAAACACTCTTTCTGTAGTATCTGGAAGTGAACATTAGGACAGCTTTCAGGTCTATGATGAGAAAGGAAATATCTTCAAATAAAAACTAGACAGAAGCATTCTCATAAACTTGTTTGTGATGTGTGAACTCATCTAACAGGGGTGGATCTTTCTTTTGATAGAGCAGTTCTGAAAAACACTTTTTGTTGAATCTGCAAGTGGACATTTGGATAGATTTGAAGATTTCGTTGGAAACGGGAATATCTTCATATCAAATCTAGACAGAAGCATTCTCAGAAACGTCTTTGTGATGTTTGCATTCAACTCATAGAGTTGAACATTCCGTTTCAGAGAGCAGCTTTGAAGCACTCTTTTTGTAGTATGTGCAAGTGGATATTTGGAGCGCTCTTAGGCCTACGGGGAAAAAGCAAATATCTTCCCATAACCACTAGACAGAAACATTCTGAGAAACTCCTTTATGACGTATGCACTCACCTAACCGAGAAGAACCTTCCTTTTGACAGAGCAGTTTTGATACACTCTTTTTGTAGAATCTGCAAGTGGATATTTGGATAGCTGTGAAGATTTCGTTGGAAACGGGAATATCTTCCTATAAAATCTAGACAGAAGCATTCTCAGAAACTGCTCTGTGATGTCTGCATTCAAGTCACAGAGTTGAACATTGCCTTTCATAGAGCAGGTTTGAAACCCTCTTTTTGTAGTATATGGAAGTGGACGTTTCGGAAGGTTTGAGGCCCATGTTGATAAAGGGAATATCTTCCCCTACAAGCTAGAAAGAAGCATTCTGTGAAACTTGTTTGTGATGTTTGTACTCAACTAACAGAGTTGAACCTTTCTTTTTACAGAGCAGTTTTGAAACACTCTTTTTGTAGAATCTGCGAGGGGATATTTGGATACATTTCAGGATTTCGTTGGAAACGGGAATATCTTCATATAAAATCTCGACAGAAGCATTCTCAGAAACTTCTTTGTGATATGTGCATTCAAGTCACAGAGTTGAATATTCCCTTTCACAGAGTAGGTTTGAAACACTGTTTTTGTAGTATCTGGAAGTGGACATTTGGAGCGCCTTGACACCTACGGTGAAAAGGGAAATATCTTCCCATAAAAACTAGACAGAAGCAATCTCAGAATCTTCTTTGGGATATATGCACGCAGCTAACAGAGTTGAACCTTTCTATTGACAGAGCAGTTTTGAAACAGTCTTTCTGTGGAATCTGTAAGTGGATATTTGGATAGCTTGGAGGATTTCGTTGGTAACGGGATTACGTATAAAAATTAGACAGCAGCATCCTCCGAAACTTCTTTGTGATGTGTGCATTGAAGTCACAGAGTTGAACATTCCCTTTCGTACAGCAGTTTTGAAACACTCTTTCTGTAGTATCTGGAAGTGAACATTAGGACAGCTTTCAGCTCTATGGTGAGAAAGGAAATATCTTCAAATAAAAACTAGACAGAAGCATTCTCATAAACTTGTTCGTGATGTGTGAACTCAGCTAACACACGTGGATCTTTCTTTTGATAGAGCAGTTCTGAAAAACACTTTTTGTTGAATCTGCAAGAGGACATTTGGATAGATTTGAAGATTTCGTTGGAAACGGGAGTATCTTCATATCAAATCTAGACAGAAGCATTCTCAGAAACGTCTTTGTGATGTTTGCATTCATCTCATAGAGTTGAACATTCCGTTTCAGAGAGCAGGTTTGAAGCACTCTTTTTGTAGTATGTGCAAGTGGATATTTGGAGCGCTCTGAGGCCTACGGTGAAAAAGCAAATATCTTCCCATAACCACTAGACAGAAACATTCTCAGAAACTCCTTTATGACGTATGTACTCAACTGACAGAGAAGAACTTTCCTTTTGACGGAGCATTTTTGATACACTCTTTTTGTACTGTCTGCAAGTGGATATTTGGATAGCTGTGAAGATTTCGTTGGAAACGGGAATATCTTCCTATAAAACCTAGACAGAAGCATTCTCAGAAACTGCTCTGTGATGTCTGCATTCAAGTCACAGAGTTGAACATTGCCTTTCATAGAGCAGGTTTGAAACGCTCTTTTTGTAGTATATTGAAGTGGACTTTTCGGACGGTTTGAGGCCCATGGTGATAAAGGGAATATCTTCCCCTACAAGCTAGAAAGAAGCATTCTGTGAAACTTGTTTGTGATGTGTGTACTCAACTAACAGAGTTGAACCTTTCTTTTTACAGAGCAGTTTTGAAACACTCTTTTTGTAGAATCTGCGAGGGGATATTTGGATAGATTTCAGGATTTCGTTGGAAATGGGAATATCTTCATATAAAATCTCGACAGAAAGCATTCTCAGAAACTTCCTTGTGATATGTGCATTCAAGTCACAGAGTTGAATATTCCCTTTCACAGAGTAGGTTTGAAACACTCTTTTTGTAGTATCTGGAAGTGGACATTTGGAGCGCCTTGACGCCTACGGTGAAAAGGGAAATATCTTCCCATAAAAATTAGACAGAAGCAATCTCAGAATCTTCTTTGGGATATATGCACGCAGCTAACAGAGTTGAACCTTTCTATTGACAGAACAGTTTTGAAACAGTCTTTCTGTGGAATCTGCAAGTGGATATTTGGATAGCTTGGAGGATTTCGTTGGAAACGGGATTACGTAGAAAAAGTAGACAGCAGCATCCTCAGAAACTTCTTTCTGATGTGTGCATTCAAGTCACAGAGTTGAACATTCCCTTTCGTACAGCAGTTTTGAAACACTCTTTCTGTAGTATCTGGAAGTGAACATTAGGACAGCTTTCAGCTCTATGGTGAGAAAGGAAATATCTTCAAATAAAAACTAGACAGAAGCATTCTCATAAACTTGTTTGTGATGTGTGAACTCAGCTAACAGAGGTGGATCTTTCTTTTGATAGAGCAGTTCTGAAAAACACTTTTTGTTGAATCTGCAAGTGGACATTTGGATAGATTTGAAGATTTCGTTGGAAACGGGAATATCTTCATATCCAATCTAGACAGAAGCATTCTCAGAAACGTCTTTGTGATGTTTGCATTCAACTCATAGAGTTGAACATTCCGTTTCAGAGAGCAGCTTTGAGGCACTCTTTTTGTAGTATGTGCAAGTGGATATTTGGAGCGCTCTGAGGCCTACGGTGAAAAAGCAAATATCTTCCCATAACCACTAGACAGAAAACATTCTCAGAAACTCCTTTATGACGTATGCACTCACCTAACAGAGAAGAACCTTCCTTTTGACAGAGCAGTTTTGATACACTCTTTTTGTAGAATCTGCAAGTGGATATTTGGATACCTGTGAAGATTTCATTGGAAACGGGAATATCTTCCTATAAAATCTAGACAGAAGCATTCTCAGAAACTGCTCTGTGATGTCTGCATTCAAGTCACAGAGTTGAACATTGCCTTTCATAGAGCAGGTTTGAAACGCTCTTTTTGTAGTATATGGAAGTGGATGTTTCG
Source organism: Homo sapiens (assembly GCF_000001405.40). Lineage (NCBI taxonomy): Eukaryota > Metazoa > Chordata > Mammalia > Primates > Hominidae > Homo > Homo sapiens. The sequence goes on from NC_000013.11 coordinate 16,724,706, forward strand.
GACGGTTGGAGGCCCATGGTGATAAAGGGAATATTCTTCCTCTACAAGCTAGAAAGAAGCATTCTGTGAAACTTGTTTGTGATGTGTGTACTCAACTAACAGAGTTGAACCTTTCTTTTACAGAGCAGTTTTGAAACACTCTTTTTGTAGAATCTGCGAGGGGATATTTGGATAGATTTCAGGATTTCGTTGGAAACGGGAATATCTTCATATAAAATCTCGACAGAAGCATTCTCAGAAGCTTCTTTGTGATATGTGCATTCAAGTCACAGAGTTGAATATTCCCTTTCACAGAGTAGGTTTGAAACACTCTTTTTGTAGTATCTGGAAGTGGACATTTGGAGCACCTTGACGCCTACGGTGAAAAGGGAAATATCTTCTCATGAAAAGTAGACAGAAGCAATCTCAGAATCTTCTTTGGGATATATGCACGCAGCTAACAGAGTTGAACCTTTCTATTGACAGAGCAGTTTTGAAACTGTCTTTCTGTGGAATCTGCAAGTGGATATTTGGATACCTTGGAGGATTTCGTTGGAAACGGGATTACGTATAAAAAGTAGACAGCAGCATCCTCAGAAACTTCTTTTTGATGTGTGCATTCAAGTCACAGAGTTGAACATTCCCTTTCATACAGCAGTTTTGAAACACTCTTTCTGTAGTATCTGGAAGTGAACATTAGGACAGCTTTCAGGTCTATGGTGAGAAAGGAAATATCTTCAAATAAAAACTAGACAGAAGCATTCTCATAAACTTGTTTGTTATGTGTGAACTCAGCTAACACACGTGGATCTTTCTTTTGATAGAGCAGTTCTGAAAAACAATTTTTGTTGAATCTGCAAGTGGACATTTGGATAGATTTGAAGATTTCGTTGGAAACGGGAATATCTTCATATCAAATCTAGACAGAAGCATTCTCAGAAACGTCTTTGTGATGTTTGCATTCAACTCATAGAGTTGAACATTCCCTTTCAGAGAGCAGCTTTGAAGCACTCTTTTTGTAGTATGTGCAAGTGGATATTTTGAGCGCTCTGAGGCCTACGGTGAAAAAGCAAATATCTTCCCATAACCACTAGACAGAAGCATTCTCAGAAACTGCTCTGTGATGTCTGCATTCAACTCACGGAGTTGAACATTGCCTTTCATAGAGCAGGTTTGAAACGCTCTTTTTGTAGTATATGGAAGTGGACGTTTCGGACGGTTTGAGGCCCATGGTGATAAAGGGAATATCTTCCCCTACAAGCTAGAAAGAAGCATTCTGTGAAACTTGTTTGTGATGTGTGTACTCAACTAACAGAGTTGAACCTTTCTTTTTACAGAGCAGTTTTGAAACACTCTTTTTGTAGAATCTGCGAGGGGATATTTGGATAGATTTCAGGATTTCGTTGGAAACGGGAATACCTTCATATAAAATCTCGACAGAAGCATTCTCAGAAACTTCCTTGTGATATGTGCATTCAAGTCACAGAGTTGAATATTCCCTTTCACAGAGTAGGTTTGAAACACTCTTTTTGTAGTATCTGGAAGTGGACATTTGGAGCGCCTTGATGCCTACGGTGAAAAGGGAAATATCTTCCCATAAAAACTAGACAGAAGCAACCTCAGAATGTTCTTTGGGATGTATGCACGCAGCTAACAGAGTTGAACCTTTCTATTGACAGAGCGGTTTTGAAACAGTCTTTTTGTGGAATCTGCAAGTGGATATTTGGATAGCTTGGAGGATTTCGTTGGAAACGGGATTACGTATAAAAAGTAGACAGCAGCATCCTCAGAACCTTCTTTGTGATGTGTGCATTCAAGTCACAGAGTTGAACATTCCCTTTCGTACAGCAGTTTTCAAACACTCTTTCTGTAGTATCTGGAAGTGAACATTAGGACAGCTTTCAGCTCTATGGTGAGAAAGGAAATATCTTCAAATAAAAACTAGACAGAAGCATTGTCATAAACATGTTTGTGATGTGTGAACTCAGCTAACAGAGGTGGATCTTTCTTTTGATAGAGCAGTTCTGAAAAACACTTTTTGTTGAATCTGGAAGTGGACATTTGGATAGATTTGAAGATTTCGTTGGAAACGGGAATATCTTCATATCAAATCTAGACAGAAGCATACTCAGAAACGTCTTTGTGATGTTTGCATTCAACTCATAGAGTTGAACATTCCGTTTCAGAGAGCAGCTTTGAAGCACTCTTTTTGTAGTATGTGCAAGTGGATATTTGGAGCGCTCTGAGGCCTACGGTGAAAAAGCAAATATCTTCCCATAACCACTAGACAGAAACATTCTCAGAAACTCCTTTATGACGTATGCACTCACCTAACAGAGAAGAACCTTCCTTTTGACAGAGCACTTTTGATACACTCTTTTTGTGGAATCTGACAGTGGATATTTGGATAGCTGTGAAGATTTCGTTGGAAACGGGAATATCTTCCTATAAAATCTAGACAGAAGGATTCTCAGAAACTGCTCTGTGATGTCTGCATTCAAGTCACAGAGTTGAACATTGCCTTTCATAGAGCATGTTTGAAAGGCTCTTTTTGTAGTATATGGAAGTGGACGTTTCGGACGGTTTGAGGCCCATGGTGATAAAGGGAATATCTTCCCCTACAAGCTAGAAAGAAGCATTCTGTGAAACTTGTTTGTGATGTGTGTACTCAACTAACAGAGTTGAACCTTTCTTTTTACAGAGCAGTTTTGAAACACTCTTTTTGTAGAATCTGCGAGGGGATATTTGGATAGATTTCAGGATTTCGTTGTAAACGGGAATATCTTCATATAAAATCTCGACAGAAGCATTCTCAGAAACTTCTTTGTGATATCTGCCTTCAAGTCACAGAGTTGAATATTCCCTTTCACAGAGTAGGTTTGAAACACTCTTTTTGTAGTATCTGGAAGTGGACATTTGGAGCGCCTTGACGCCTACGGTGAAAAGGGAAATATCTTCCCATAAAAACTAGACAAAAGCAATCTCAGAATCTTCTTTGGGATATATGCACGCAGCTAACAGAGTTGAACCTTTCTATTGACAGAGCAGTTTTGAAACAGTCTATCTGTGGAATCTGCAAGTGGATATTTGGATAGCTTGGAGGATTTCGTTGGAAACGGGATTACGTATAAAAAGTAGACAGCAGCATCCTCAGAAACTTCTTTGTGATGTGTGCATTCAAGTCACATAGTTGAACATTCCCTTTCATACAGCAGTTTTGAAACACTCTTTCTGTAGTATCTGGAAGTGAACATTAGGACAGCTTTCAGCTCTATGGTGAGAAAGGAAATATCTTCAAATAAAAACTAGACAGAAGCATTCTCATAAACTTGTTTGTGATGTGTGAACTCAGCTAACAGAGGTGGATCTTTCTTTTGATATAGCAGTTCTGAAAAACACTTTTTGTTGAATCTGCAAGTGGACATTTGGATAGATTTGAAGATTTCGTTGGAAACGGGAATATCTTCATATCAAATCTAGACAGAAGCATTCTCAGAAACGTCTTTGTGATGTTTGCATTCAACTCATAGAGTTGAACATTCCCTTTCAGAGAGCAGGTTTGAAGCACTCTTTTTGTAGTATGTGCAAGTGGACATTTGGAGCGCTCTGAGGCCTACGGTGAAAAAGCAAATATCTTCCCATAACCACTAGACAGAAACATTCTCAGAAACTCCTTTATGACGTATGCACTCACCTAACAGAGAAGAACCTTCCTTTTGACAGAGCAGTTTTGATAAACTCATTTTGTAGAATCTGCAAGTGGATATTTGGATAGCTGTGAAGATTTCGCTGGAAACGGGAATATCTTCCTATAAAATCTAGACAGAAGCATTCTCAGAAACTGCTCTGTGATGTCTGCATTCAAGTCACAGAGTTGAACATTGCCTTTCATAGAGCAGGTTTGAAACGCTCTTTTTGTAGTATATGGAAGTAGACGTTTCGGACGGTTTGAGGCCCAATGGTGATAAAGGGAATATCTTCCCCTACAAGCTAGAAAGAAGCATTCTGTGAAACTTGTTTGTGATGTGTGTACTCAACTAACAGAGTTGAACCTTTCTTTTTACAGAGCAGTTTTGAAACACTCTTTTTGTAGAATCTGCGAGGGGATATTTGGATAGATTTCAGGATTTCGTTGGCAACGGGAATATCTTCATATAAAATCTCGACAGAAGCATTCTCAGAAACTTCTTGGTGATATCTGCATTGAAGTCACAGAGTTGAATATTCCCTTTCACAGAGTAGGTTTGAAACACTCTTTTTGTAGTATCTAGAAGTGGACTTTTGGAGCGCCTTGACGCCTATGGTGAGAAGGGAAATATCTTCCCATAAAAACTAGACAGAAGCAATCTCAGAATCTTCTTTGGGATATATGCACGCAGCTAACAGAGTTGAACCTTTCCATTGACAGAGCAGTTTTGAAACAGTCTTTCTGTGGAATCTGCAAGTGGATATTTGGATAGCTTGGAGGATTTCGTTGGAAACGGGATTAAGTATAAAAAGTAGACAGCAGCATCCTCAGAAACTTCTTTGTGATGTGTGCATTCAAGTCACAGAGTTGAACATTCCCTTTCGTACAGCAGTTTTGAAAAACTCTTTCTGTAGTATCTGGAAGTGAACATTAGGACAGCTTTCAGCTCTATGGTGAGAAAGGAAATATCTTCAAATAAAAACTAGACAGAAGCATTCTGATAAACTTGTTTGTGAAGTGTGATCTCAGCTAACAGAGGTGGATCTTTCTTTTGATAGAGCAGTTCTGAAAAACACTTTGTTGAATCTGCAAGTAGACATTTGGATAGATTTGAAGATTTCGTTGGAAACGGGAATATCGTCATAAATCTAGACAGAAGCATTCTCAGAAACGTCTTTGTGATGTTTGCATTCAACTCATAGAGTTGAACATTCCGTTTCAGAGACCAGCTTTGAAGCACTCTTTTTGTAGTATGTGCAAGTGGATATTTGGAGCGCTCTGAGGCCTACGGTGAAAAAGCAAATATCTTCCGATAACCACTAGACAGAAACATTCTCAGAAACTCCTTTATGACGTATGTACTCAACTAACAGAGAAGAACCTTCCTTTTGACAGAGCAGTTTTGATAAACTCTTTTTGTAGAATCTGCAAGTGGATATTTGGATAGCTGTGAAGATTTCGTTGGAAACGGGAATATCTTCCTATAAAATCTAGACAGAAGCATTCTCAGAAACTGCTCTGTGATGTCTGCATTCAAGTTACAGAGTTGAACGTTGCCTTTCATAGAGCAGGTTTGAAACGCTCTTTTTGTAGTATATGGAAGTGGACTTATCGGACGGTTTGAGGCCCATGGTGATAAAGGGAATATCTTCCCCTACAAGCTAGAAAGAAGCATTCTGTGAAACTTGTTTGTGATGTGTGTACTCAACTAACAGAGTTGAACCTTTCTTTTTACAGAGCAGTTTTGAAACACTCTTTTTGTAGAATCTGCGGGGGGAAATTTGGATAGATTTCAGGATTTCGTTGGAAACGGGAATATCTTCATACAAAATCTCGACAGAAGCATTCTCAGAAACTTCTTTGTGATATGTGCATTCAAGTCACAGAGTTGAATATTCCCTTTCACAGGGTAGGTTTGAAACACTCTTTTTGTAGTATCTGGAAGTGGACATTTGGAGCGCCTTGACGCCTACGGTGAAAAGGGAAATATCTTCCCATAAAAACTAGACAGAAGCAATCTCAGAATCTTCTTTGGGATATATGCACGCAGCTAACAGAGTTGAACCTTTCTATTGACAGAGGAGTTTTGAAACAGTCTTTCTGTGGAATCTGGAAGTGGATATTTGGATAGCTTGGAGGATTTCGTTGGAAACGGGATTACATATAAAAAGTAGACAGCAGCATCCTCAGAAACTTCTTTGTGATGTGTGCATTCAAGTCACAGAGTTCAACATTCCCTTTCGTACAGCAGTTTTGAAACACTCTTTCTGTAGTATCTGGAAGTGAACATTAGGACAGCTTTCAGCTCTATGGTGAGAAAGGAAATATCTTCAAATAAAAACTAGACAGAAGCATTCTCATAAAGTTGTTTGTGAGGTGTGAACTCAGCTAACAGAGGTGGATCTTTCTTTTGATAGAGCAGTTCTGAAAAACACTTTTTGTTGAATCTGCAAGTGGACATTTGCATAGATTTGAAGATTTCGTTGGAAACGGGAATATCTTCATATCAAATCTAGACAGAAGCATTCTCAGAAACGTCTTTGCGATGTTTGCATTCAACCCATAGAGTTGAACATTCCGTTTCAGAGAGCAGCTGTGAGGCACTCTTTTTGTAGTATGTGCAAGTGGATATTTGGAGCGCTCTGAGGCCTACGGTGAAAAAGCAAATATCTTCCCATAACCACTAGACAGAAACATTCTCAGAAACTCCTTTATGAAGTATGCACTCACCTAACAGAGAAGAACCTTCCTTTTCACAGAGCAGTTTTGATACACTCTTTTTGTAGAATCTGCAAGTGGATATTTGGATAGCTGTGAAGATTTCGTTGGAAACGAGAATATCTTCCTATAAAATCTAGACAGAAGCATTCCCAGAAACTGCTCTGTGATGTCTGCATTCAAGTCACAGAGTTGAACATTGCCTTTCATAGAGCAGGTTTGAAACACTCTTTTTTTAGTATATGGAAGTGGACGTTTCGGACGGTTTGAGGACCATGGTGATAAAGGAAATATCTTCCCCTACAAGCTAGAAAGAAGCATTCTGTGAAACTTGTTTGTGATGTGTGTACTCAACTAACAGAGTTGAACCTTTCTTTTCACAGAGCAGTTTTGAAACACTCTTTTTGTAGAATCTGCGAGGGGAAATTTGGATAGATTTCAGGATTTCGTTGGAATCGGGAATATCTTCATACAAAATCTCGACAGAAGCATTCTCAGAAACTTCTTTGTGATATCTGCATTCAAGTCACAGAGTTGAATATTCCCTTTCACAGAGTAGGTTTGAAACACTCTTTTTGTATACCTGGAAGTGGACATTTGGAGCGCCTTGACGCCTATGGTGAAAAGGGAAATATCTTCCCATAAAAACTAGACAGAAGCAATCTCAGAATCTTCTTTGGAATATATGCACGCAGCTAACAGAGTTGAACCTTTCTATTGACAGAGCAGTTTTGAAACAGTCTTTCTGTGGAATCTGCAAGTGGATATTTGGATAGCTTGGAGGATTTCGTTGGAAACGGGATTACGTATAAAAAGAAGACAGCAGCATCCTCAGAAACTTCTTTGTGATGTGTGCATTCAAGTCACAGAGTTGAACATTCCCTTTCGTACAGCAGTTTTGAAACACTCTTTCTGTAGTATCTGTAAGTGAACATTAGGACAGCTTTCAGGTCTATGGTGAGAAAGGAAATATCTTCAAATAAAAACTAGACAGAAGCATTCTCATAAACTTGTTTGTGATGTGTGAACTCATCTAACAGAGGTGGATCTTTCTTTTGATAGAGCAGTTCTGAAAAACACTTTTTGTTGAATCTGCAAGTGGACATTTGGATAGATTTGAAGATTTCGTTGGAAACGGGAATATCTTCATATCAAATATAGACAGAAGCATTCTCAGAAACGTCTTTGTGATGTTTGCATTCAACTCATAGTGTTGAACATTCCCTTTCAGAGAGCAGATTTGAAGCACTCTTTTTGTAGTATGTGCAAGTGGATATTTGGAGCGCTCTGAGGCCTACGGTGAAAAAGCAAATATCTTCCCATAACCACTAGACAGAAACATTCTCAGAAACTCCTTTATGACGTATGCACTCACCTAACAGAAAAGAACCTTCCTTTTGACAGAGCAGTTTTGGTACACTCTTTTTGTAGAATCTGCAAGTGGATATTTGGATAGCTGTGAAGATTTCGTTGGAAACGGGAATATCTTCCTATAAAATCTAGACAGAAGCATTCTCAGAAACTGCTCTGTGATGTCTGCATTCAAGTCACAGAGTTGAACATTGCCTTTCATAGAGCAGGTTTGAAACACTCTTTTTGTAGTATATGGAAGTGGACATTTCGGACGGTTTGAGGCCCATGGTGATAAAGGGAATATCTTCCCCTACAAGGTAGAAAGAAGCATTCTGTGAAACTTGTTTGTGATGTGTGTACTCAACTAAAAGAGTTGAACCTTTCTTTTTACAGAGCAGTTTTGAAACACTCTTTTTGTAGAATCTGCGAGGGGATATTTGGATAGATTTCAGGATTTCGTTGCAAACGGGAATATCTTCACATAAAATCTCGACAGAAGCATTCTCAGAAACTTCCTTTGTGATATGTGCATTCAAGTCACAGAGTTGAATATTCCCTTTCACAGAGTAGGTTTGAAACACTCTTTTTGTAGTATCTGGAAGTGGACATTTGGAGCGCCTTGACGCCTACGGTGAAAAGGGAAATATCTTCCCATAAAAACTAGACAGAAGCAATCTCAGAATCTTCTTTGGGATATATGCACGCAGCTAACAGAGTTGAACCTTTCTATTGACAGAGCAGTTTTGAAACAGTCTTTCTGTGGAATCTGCAAGTGGATATTTGGATAGATTGGAGGATTTCGTTGGAAACGGGATTACGTATAAAAATTAGACAGCAGCATCCTCAGAAACTTCCTTGTGATGTGTGCATTCAAGTCACAGAGTTGAACATTCCCTTTCGTACAGCAGTTTTGAAACACTCTTTCTGTAGTATCTGGAAGTGAACTTTAGGAGAGCTTTCAGGTCTATAGTGAGAAAGGAAATATCTTCAAATAAAAACTAGACAGAAGCATTCTCATAAACTTGTTTGTGATGTGTGAACTCAGCTAACAGAGGCGGATCTTTCTTTTGATAGAGCAGTTCGGAAAAACACTTTTTGTTGAATCTGCAAGTGGACATTTCGATAGATTTGAAGATTTCGTTGGAAACGGGAATATCTTCATATCAAATCTAGACAGAAGCATTCTCAGAAACGTCTTTGTGATGTTTGCATTCAACTCATAGAGTTGAACATTCCCTTTCAGAGAGCAGCTTTGAAGCACTCTTTTTGTAGTCTGTGCAAGTGGATATTTGGAGCGCTGTGAGGCCTACGGTGAAAAAGCAAATATCTTCCCATAACCACTAGACAGAAACATTCTCAGAAACTCCTTTATGACGTATGCACTCACCTAACAGAGAAGAACCTTCCTTTTGACAGAGCAGTTTTGATACACTCTTTTTGTAGAATCTGCAAGTGGATATTTGGATAGCTGTGAAGATTTCATTGGAAACGGGAATATCTTCCTATAAAATCTAGACAGAAGCATTCTCAGAAACTGCTCTGTGATGTCTGCATTCAAGTCACAGAGTTGAACATTGCCTTTCATAGAGCAGGTTTGAAACACTCTTTTTGTAGTATATGGAAGTGGACGTTTCGGACAGTTTGAGGCCCATGGTGATAAAGGGAATATCTTCCCCTACAAGCTAGAAAGAAGCATTCTGTGAAACTTGCTTGTGATGTGTGTACTCAACTAACAGAGTTGAACCTTTCTTTTTACAGAGCAGTTTTGATACACTCTTTTTGTAGAATCTGAGAGGGGATATTTGGATAGATTTCAGGATTTCGTTGGAAACGGGAATATCTTCATATAAAATATCGACAGAAGCATTCTCAGAAACTTCTTTGTGATATCTGCCTTTAAGTCACAGAGTTGAATATTCCCTTTCACAGAGTAGGTTTGAAACACTCTTTTTGTAGTATCTGGAAGTGGACATTTGGAGCCCCTTGAGACCTACGGTGAAAAGGGAAATATCTTCCCATAAAAACTAGACAGAAGCAATCTCAGAATCTTCTTTGGGATATATGCACGCAGCTAACAGAGTTGAACCTTTCTATTGACAGAGCAGTTTTGAAACAGTCTTTCTGTGGAATCTGCAAGTAGATATTTGGATAGCTTGGAGGATTTCGTTGGAAACGGGATTACGTATGAAAAGTAGACAGCAGCATCCTCAGAAACTTCTTTGTGATGTGTGCATTCAAGTCACAGAGTTGAACATTCCCTTTCGTACAGCAGTTTTCAAACACTCTTTCTGTAGTAACTGGAAGTGAACATTAGGACAGCTTTCAGGTCTACGGTGAGAAAGGAAATATCTTCAAATAAAAACTAGACAAAAGCATTCTCATAAACTTGTTTGTGATGTGTGAACTCAGCTAACAGAGGTGGATCTTTCTTTTGATAGAGCAGTTCTGAAAAACACTTTTTGTTGAATCTGCAAGTGGACATTTGGATAGATTTGAAGATTTCGTTGGAAACGGGAATATCTTCATGTCAAATCTAGACAGAAGCATTCTCAGAAACGTCTTTGCGATGTTTGCATTCAACTCATAGAGTTGAACATTCCGTTTCAGAGAGCAGCTTTGAGGCACTCTTTTTGTAGTATGTGCAAGTGGATATTTGGAGCGCTCTGAGGCCTACGGTGAAAAAGCAAATATCTTCCCATAACCACTAGACGGAAACATTCTCAGAAACTCCTTTATGACGTATGCACTCACCTAACAGAGAAGAACCTTCCTTTTGACTGAGCAGTTTTTATACACTCTTTTTGCAGAATCTGCAAGTGGATATTTGGATAGCTGTGAAGATTTCGTTGGAAACGGGAATATCTTCCTATAAAATCTAGACAGAAGCATTCTCAGAAACTGCTCTGTGATGTCTGCATTCAAGTCACAGAGTTGAACATTGCCTTTCATAGAGCAGGTTTGAAACGCTCTTTTTGTAGTGTATGGAAGTGGATGTTTCGGACGGTTGGAGGCCCATGGTGATAAAGGGAATATCTTCCCCTACAAGCTAGAAAGAAGCATTCTGTGAAACTTGTTTGTGATGTGTGTACTCAACTAACAGAGTTGAACCTTTCTTTTTACATAGCAGTTTTGAAACACTCTTTTTGTAGAATCTGCGAGGGGATATTTGGATAGATTTCAGGATTCCGTTGGAAACGGGAATATCTTCATATAAAATCTCGACAGAAAGCATTCTCAGTAAACTTCTTTGTGATATCTGCATTCAAGTCACAGAGTTGAATATTCCCTTTCACAGAGTAGGTTTGAAACACTCTTTTTGTAGTATCTGGAAGTGGACATTTTGAGCGCCTTGACGCCTACGGTGAAAAGGGAAATATCTTCTCATAAAAAGTAGACAGAAGCAATCTCAGAATCTTCTTCGGGATATATGCACGCAGGTAACAGAGTTGAACCTTTCTATTGACAGAGCAGTTTTGAAACAGTCTTTCTGTGGAATCTGCAAGTGGATATTTGGATAGCTTGGAGGATTTCGTTGGAAACGGGATTACGTATAAAAAGTAGACAGCAGCCTCCTCAGAAACTTCTTTGTGATGTGTGCATTCAAGTCACACAGTTGAACATTCCCTTTCGTACAGCAGTTTTGAAACACTCTTTCTGTAGTATCTGGAAGTGAACATTAGGACAGCTTTCAGGTCTATGGTGAGAAAGGAAATATCTTCAAATAAAAACTAGACAGAAGCATTCTCATAAACTTGTTTGTGATGTCTGAACTCAGCTAACAGACGTGGATCTTTCTTTTGATAGAGCAGTTCTGAAAAACACGTTTTGTTGAATCTGCAAGTGGACATTTGGATAGATTTGAAGATTTCGTTGGAAACGGGAATATCGTCATATCAAATCTAGACAGATAAGCATTCTCAGAAACGTCTTTGCGATGTTTGCATTCAACTCATAGAGTTGAACATTCCGTTTCAGAGAGCAGCTTTGAGGCACTCTTTTTGTAGTATGTGCAAGTGGATATTTGGAGCGCTCTGAGGCCTACGGTGAAAAAGCAAATATCTTCCCATAACCACTAGACAGAAACATTCTCAGAAACTCCTTTATGACGTATGCACTCACCTAACAGAGAAGAACCTTCCTTTTGACAGAGCAGTTTTGATACACTCTTTTTGTAGAATCTGCAAGTGGATATTTGGATAGCTGTGAAGATTTCGTTGGAAACGGGAATATCTTCCTATAAAACCTAGACAGAAGCATTCTCAGAAACTGCTCTGTGATGTGTGCATTCAAGTCACAGAGTTGAACATTGGCTTTCATAGAGCAGGTTTGAAATGCTCTTTTTGTAGTATATGGAAGTGGACGTTTCAGACGGTTTGAGGCCCATGGTGATAAAGGGAATATCTTCCCCTGCAAGCTAGAAAGAAGCATTCTGTGAAACTAGTTTGTGATGTGTGTACTCAACTAACAGAGTTGAACCTTTCTTTTCACAGAGCAGTTTTGAAACACTCTTTTTGTAGAATCTGCGAGGGGATATTTGGATAGATTTCAGCATTTCGTTGGAAACGGGAATATCTTCATATAAAATCTCGACAGAAGCATTCTCTGAAACTTCTTTGTGATATGTGCATTCAAGTCACAGAGTTCAATATTCCCTTTCACAGAGTAGGTTTGAAACACTCTTTTTGTAGTATCTGAAGTGGACATTTGGAGCGCCTTGACGCCTACGGTGAAAAGGGAAATATCTTCTCATAAAAAGTAGACAGAAGCAATCTCAGAATCTTCTTTGGGATATATGCACGCAGCTAACAGAGTTGAACCTTTCTATTGACAGAGCTGTTTTGAAACACTCTTTCTGTGGAATCTGCAAGTGGATATTTGGATAGCTTGGAGGATTTCGTTGGAAACGGGATTACGTATAAAAAGTAGACAGCAGCATCCTCAGGAACTTCTTTGTGATGTGTGCATTCAAGTCACAGAGTTGAACATTCCCTTTCGTACAGCAGTTTTGAAACACTCTTTCTGTAGTATCTGGAAGTGAACATTAGGACAGCTTTCAGGTCTATGGTGAGAAAGGCAATATCTTCAAATAAAAACTAGACAGAAGAATTCTCATAAACTTGTTCGTGATGTGTGAACTCAGCTAACACACGTGGATCTTTCTTTTGATAGAGCAGTTCTGAAAAACACTTTTTGTTGAATCTGCAAGAGGACATTTGGATAGATTTGAAGATTTCGTTGGAAACGGGAATATCTTCATATCAAATCTAGACAGAAGCATTCTCGGAAACGTCTTTGTGATGTTTGCATTCAACTCATAGATTTGAACATTCCGTTTCAGAGAGCAGCTTTGAGGCACTCATTTTGTAGTATGTGCAAGTGGATATTGGGAGCGCTCTGAGGCCTTCGGTGAAAAAGCAAATATCTTCCCATAACCACTAGACAGAAACATTCTCAGAAACTCCTTTATGACGTATGCACTCACCTAACAGAGAAGAACCTTCCTTTTGACAGAGCAGTTTTGATACACTCTTTTTGTAGAATCTGCAAGTGGATATTGGGATAGCTGTGAAGATTTCGTTGGAAACGGTAATATCTTCCTATAAAATCTAGACAGAAGCATTCTCAGAAACTGCTCTGTGATGTCTGCATTCAAGTCACAGAGTTGAACATTGCCTTTCATAGAGCAGGTTTGAAACACTCTTTTTGTAGTATATGGAAGTGGACGTTTCGGACGGTTTCAGGCCCATGGTGATAAAGGGAATATCTTCCCCTACAAGCTAGAAAGAACAATTCTGTGAAACTTGTTTGTGATGTGTGTACTCAACTAACAGAGTTGAACCTTTCTTTTTACAGAGCAGTTTTGAAACACTCTTTTTGTAGAATCTGCGAGGGGATATTTGGATAGATTTCAGGATTTCGTTGGAAACGGGAATATCTTCATATAAAATCTCGACAGAAGCATTCTCAGAAACTTCTTTGTGATATCTGCATTCAAGTCACAGAGTTGAATATTCCCTTTCACAGAGTAGGTTTGAAACACTCTTTTTGTAGTATCTGGAAGTGGACATTTGGAGCGCCTTGACACCTACGGTGAAAAGGTAAATATCTTACCATAAAAACGAGACAGAAGCAATCTCAGAATCTTCTTTGGGATATATGCACGCAGCTAACAGAGTTGAACCTTTCTATTGAAAGAGCAGTTTAGAAACAGTCTTTCTGTGGAATCTGCAAGTGGATATTTAGATAGCTTGGAGGATTTCGTTGGAAACGGGATTACGTATAAAAAGTAGACAGCCAGCATCCTCAGAAACTTCTTTGTGATGTGTGCATTCAAGTCACAGTAGTTGAACATTCCCTTTCGTAAAGCAGTTTTGAAACACTCTTTCTGTAGTATCTGGAAGTGAACATTAGGACAGCTTTCAGGTCTATGGTGAGAAAGGAAATATCTTCAAATAAAAACTAGACAGAGCATTCTCATAAACTTGTTTGTGATGTGTGAACTCAGCTAACAGAGATGGATCTTTCTTTTGATAGAGCAGATCTGAAAAACACTTTTTGTTGAATCTGCAAGTGGACATTTGGATAGATTTGAAGATTTCGTTGGAAACGGGAATATCTTCATATCAAATCTAGACAGAAGCATTCTCGGAAACGTCTTTGTGATGTTTGCATTCAACTCATAAAGTTGAACATTCCGTTTCAGAGAGCAGCTTTGAGGCACTCTTTTTGTAGTATGTGCAAGTGGATATTTGGAGCGCTCTGAGGCCTTCTGTGAAAAAGCAAATATCTTCCCATAACCACTAGACAGAAACATTCTCAGAAACTCCTTTATGACGTATGCACTCACCTAACAGAAAAGAACCTTCCTTTTGACAGAGCAGTTTTGATACACTCTTTTTGTAGAATCTGCAAGTGGATATTTGGATAGCTGTGAAGATTTCGTTGGAAACGGGAATAGCTTCCTATAAAATCTAGACAGAAGCATTCTCAGAAACTGCTCTGTGATGTCTGCATTCAAGTCACAGAGTTGAACATTGCCTTTCATAGAGCAGGTTTGAAACGCTCTTTTTGTAGTATATGGAAGTGGATGTTTCGGACGGTTGGAAGCCCATGGTGATAAAGGGAATATCTTCCCCTACAAGCTGGAAAGAAGCATTCTGTGAAACTTGTTTGTGATGTGTGTACTCAACTAACAAAGTTGAACCTTTCTTTTCACAGAGCAGTTTTGAAACACTCTTTTTGTAGAATCTGCGAGGGGATATTTGGATACATTTCAGGATTTCGTTGGAAACGGGAATATCTTCATATAAAATCTCGACAGAAGCATTCTCAGAAACTTCCTTGTGATATGTGCATTCAAGTCACAGAGTTGAATATTCCCTTTCACAGAGTAGGTTTGAAACACTCTTTTTGTAGTATCTGGAAGTGGACATTTGGAGCGCCTTGACGCCTACGGTGAAAGGGGAAATATCTTCCCATAAAAACTAGACAGAAGCAATCTCAGAATCTTCTTTGGGATATATGCACGCAGCTAACAGAGTTGAACCTTTCTATTGACAGAGCAGTTTTGAAACAGTCTTTCTGTGGAATCTGCAAGTGGATATTTGGATAGCTTGGAGGATTTCGTTGGAAACGGGATTACGTATAAAAAGTAGTCAGCAGCATCCTCAGAAACTTCTTTGTGATGTGTGCATTCAAGTCACAGAGTTGAACATTCCCTTTCGTACAGCAGTTTTGAAACACTCTTTCTGTAGTAACCGGAAGTGAACATTAGGACAGCTTTCAGGTCTATGGTGAGAAAGGAAATATCTTCAAATAAAAACTAGACAGAAGCATTCTCATAAACTTGTTTGTGATGTCTGAACTCAGCTAACAGAGGTGGATCTTTCTTTTGATAGAGCAGTTCTGAAAAACACTTTTTGTTGAATCTGCAAGTGGACATTTGGATAGAATTGAAGATTTCGTTGGAAACGGGAATATCTTCATATCAAATCTAGACAGAAGCATTCTCAGAAACGTCTTTGTGATGTTTGCATTCAACCCATAGAGTTGAACATTCCGTTTCAGGGAGCAGCTTTGAAGCACTCTTTTTGTAGTATGTGCAAGTGGATATTTGGAGCGCTGTGAGGCCTGCGGTGAAAAAGCAAATATCTTCCCATAACCACTAGACAGAAACATTCTCAGAAACTCCTTTATGACGTATGCACTCAACTAACAGAGAAGAACCTTCCTTTTGACAGAGCAGTTTTGATACACTCTT
Source organism: Homo sapiens (assembly GCF_000001405.40). Lineage (NCBI taxonomy): Eukaryota > Metazoa > Chordata > Mammalia > Primates > Hominidae > Homo > Homo sapiens. Next base: position 16,740,704 of record NC_000013.11, read on the forward strand.
TTTGTAGAATCTGCAAGTGGATATTTGGATAGCTGTGAAGATTTCGTTGGAAACGGGAATATCTTCCTATAAAATCTAGACAGAAGCATTCTCAGAAACTGCTCTGTGATGTCTGTATTCAAGTCACAGAGTTGAACATTGCCTTTCATAGAGCAGGTTTGAAACGCTCTTTTTGTAGTATATGTAAGTGGATGTTTCAGACGGTTTGAGGCCGATGGTGATAAAGGGAATATCTTCCCCTACAAGCTAGAAAGAAGCATTCTGTGAAACTTGTTTTTGATGTGTGTACTCAACTAACAGAGTTGAACCTTCCTTTTTACAGAGCAGTTTTGAAACACTCTTTTTGTAGAATCTGCGAGGGGATATTTGGATAGATTTCAGGATTTCGCTGGAAACGGGAGTATCTTCATATAAAATCTCGACAGAAGCATTCTCAGAAACTTCCTTGCGATATGTGCATTCAAGTCACAGAGTTGAATATTCCCTTTCACAGAGTAGGTTTGAAACACTCTTTTTGTAGTATCTGGAAGTGGACATTTGGAGCGCCTTGACGCCTACGGTGAAAAGGGAAATATCTTCCCATCAAAACTAGACAGAAGCAATCTCAGAATCTTCTTTGGGATATATGCACGCAGCTAACAGAGTTGTACCTTTCTATTGACAGAGCAGTTTTGAAACAGTCTTTCTGTGGAATCTGCAAGTGGATATTTGGATAGCTTGGAGGATTTCGTTGGAAACGGGATTACGTATAAAAAGTAGACAGCAGCATCCTCAGAATCTTCTTTGTGATGTGTGCATTCAAGTCACAGAGTTGAACATTCCCTTTCGTACAGCAGTTTTGAAACACTCTTTCTGTAGTATCTGGAAGTGAACATTAGGACAGCTTTCAGGTCTATGGTGAGAAAGGAAATATCTTCAAATAAAAACTAGACAGAAGCATTCTCATAAACTTGTTTGTGATGTCTGAACTCAGCTAACAGAGGTGGATCTTCCTTTTGATAGAGCAGTTCTGAAAAACACTTTTTGTTGAATCTGCAAGTGGACATTTGGATAGATTTGAAGATTTCGTTGGAAACGGGAATATCTTCATATCAAATCTAGACAGAAGCATTCTCAGAAACGTCTTTGTGATGTTTGCATTCAACTCATAGAATTGAACATTGCGGTTCAGAGAGCCGCTTTGAAGCACTCTTTTTGTAGTATGTGCAAGTGGATATTTGGAGCGATCTGAGGCCTAAGGTGAAAAAGCAAATATCTTCCCATAACCACTAGACAGAAACATTCTCAGAAACTCCTTTATGACGTATGTACTCAACTAACAGAGAAGAACCTTCCTTTTGACAGAGCAGTTTTGATACACTCTTTTTGTAGAATCTGCAAGTGGATATTTGGATAGCTGTGAAGATTTCGTTGGAAACGGAAATATCTTCCTATAAAATCTAGACAGAAGCATTCTCAGAAACTGCTCTGTGATGTCTGCATTCAAGTCACAGAGTTGAACATTGCCTTTCATAGAGCAGGTTTGAAACGCCCTTTTTGTAGTATATGGAAGTGGACGTTTCGGACGGTTTGAGGCCCATGGTGATAAAGGGAATATCTTCCCCTACAAGCTAGAAAGAAGCATTGTGTGAAACTTATTTGTGATGTGTGTACTCAACTAACAGAGTTGAACCTTTCTTTTTACAGAGCAGTTTTGAAACACTCTTTTTGTAGAATCTGCGAGGGGATATTTGGGTACATTTCAGGATTTCGTTGGAAACGGGAATATCTTCATATAAAATCTCGACAGAAGCATTCTCAGAAACTTCTTTGTGATATGTGCATTCAAGTCACAGAGTTGAATATTCCCTTTCACAGAGTAGGTTTGAAACACTCTTTTTGTAGTATCTGGAAGTGGACATTTGGAGCGCCTTGACCCCTACGGTGAAAAGGGAAATATCTTCCCACAAAAACTAGACAGAAGCAATCTCAGAATCTACTTTGGGATATATGCACGCAGCTAACAGAGTTGAACCTTTCTATTGACAGAGCAGTTTTGAAACAGTCTTTCTGTGGAATCTGCAAGTGGATATTTGGATAGCTTGGAGGATTTCGTTGGAAACGGGATTACGCATAAAAAGTAGACAGCAGCATCCTCAGAAACTTCTTTGTGATGTGTGCATTCAAGTCACAGTGTTGAACATTCCCTTTCGTACAGCAGTTTTGAAACACTCTTTCTGTAGTATCTGGAAGTGAACATTAGGACAGCTTTCAGGTCTATTGTGAGAAAGGAAATATCTTCAAATAAAAACTAGACAGAAGCATTCTCATAAACTTGTTTCTGATGTGTGAACTCAGCTAACAGAGGTGGATCTTTCTTTTGATAGAGCAGTTCTGAAAAACACTTTTTGTTGAATCTGCAAGTGGACATTTGGATAGATTTGAAGATTTCGTTGGAAACGGGAATATCTTCATATCAAATCTAGACAGACAAGCATTCTCAGAAACGTCTTTGCGATGTTTGCATTCAACTCATAGAGTTGAACATTCCGTTTCAGAGAGCAGCTGTGAGGCACTCTTTTTGTAGTATGTGCAAGTGGATATTTGGAGCGCTCTGAGGCCTATGGTGAAAAAGCAAATATCTTCCCATAACCACTAGACAGATACATTCTCAGAAACTCCTTTATGACGTATGTACTCAACTAACAGAGAAGAACCTTCCTTTTGACAGAGCAGTTTTGATACACTCTTTTTGTAGAAACTGCAAGTGGATATTTGGATAGCTGTGAAGATTTCGTTGGAAACGGGAATATCTTCCTATAAAATCTAGACAGAAGCATTCTCAGAAACTGCTCTGTGATGTCTGCATTCAAGTCACAGAGTTGAACATTGCCTTTCATAGAGCAGGTTTGAAACGCTCTTTTTGTAGTATATGGAAGTGGATGTTTCGGACGGTTGGAGGCCCATGGTGATAAAGGGAATATCTTCCTCTACAAGCTAGAAAGAAGCATTCTGTGAAACTTGTTTGTGATGTGTGCACTCAACTAACAGAGTTGAACCTTTCTTTTTACAGAGCAGTTTTGAAACACTCTTTTTGTAGAATCTGCGAGGGGATATTTGGATACATTTCAGGATTTCGTTGGAAACGGGAATATCTTCATATAAAATCTCGACAGAAGCATTCTCAGAAACTTCCTTGTGATATGTGCATTCAAGTCACAGAGTTGAATATTCCCTTTCATAGAGTAGGTATGAAACACTCTTTTTGTAGTATCTGGAAGTGGACATTTGGAGCGCCTTGACGCCTACGGTGAAAAGGGAAATATCTTCCCATAAAAACTAGACAGAAGCAATCTCAGAATCTTCTTTGGGATATATGCACGCAGCTAACAGAGTTGAACCTTTCTATTGACAGAGCAGTTTTGAAACAGTCTTTCTGTGTAATCTGCAAGTGGATATTTGGATAGCTTGGAGGATTTCGTTGGAAACGGGATTACGTATAAAAAGTAGACAGCAACATCCTCAGAAACTTCTTTGTGATGTGTGCATTCAAGTCACAGAGTTGAACATTCCCTTTCGTACAGCAGTTTTGAAACACTCTTTCTGTAGTAACTGGAAGTGAACATTAAGACAGCTTTCAGGTCTATGGTGAGAAAGGAAATATCTTCAAATAAAAACTAGACAGAAGCATTCTCATAAACTTGTTTGTGATGTGCGAACTCAGCTAACAGAGGTGGATCTTTCTTTTGATAGAGCAGTTCTGAAAAACACTTTTTGTTGAATCTGCAAGTGGACATTTGGATAGATTTGAAGATTTCGTTGGAAACGGGAATATCTTCATATCAAATCTAGACAGAAGCATTCTCAGAAACGTCTTTGTGATGTTTGCATTCAACTCATAGAGTTGAACATTCCGTTTCAGAGAGCAGCTTTGAAGCACTCTTTTTGTAGCATGTGCAAGTGGATATTTGGAGCGCTCTGAGGCCTACGGTGAAAAAGCAAATATCTTCCCATAACCAGTAGACAGAAACATTCTCAGAAACTCCTTTATGACGTATGCACTCACCTAACAGAGAAGAACCTTCCTTTTGACAGAGCAGTTTTGATACACTCTTTTTGTAGAATCTGCAAGTGGATATTTGGATAGCTGTGAAGGTTTCGTTGGAAACGGAAATATCTTCCTATGAAATCTAGACAGAAGCATTCTCAGAAACAGCTCTGTGATGTCTGCATTCAAGTCACAGAGTTGAACATTGCCTTTCCTAGAGCAGGTTTGAAATGCTCTTTTTGTAGCATATGGAAGTGGACGTTTCGGACGGTTTGAGGCCCATGGTGATAAAGGGAATATCTTCCCCTACAAGCTAGAAAGAAGCATTCTGTGAAACTAGTTTGTGATGTGTGTACTCAACTAACAGAGTTGAACCTTTCTTTTTACAGAGCAGTTTTGAAACACTCTTTTTGTAGAATCTGCGAGGGGATATTTCGATAGATTTCAGGATTTCGTTGGAAACGGGAATATCTTCATATAAAATCTCGACAGAAGCATTCTCAGAAACTTCTTTGTGATATGTGCATTCAAGTCACAGAGTTGAATATTCCCTTTTACAGAGTAGGTTTGAAACACTCTTTTTGTAGTATCTGGAAGTGGACATTTGGAGCGCCTTGACGCCTACGGTGAAAAGGGAAATATCTTCTCATAAAAAGTAGACAGAAGCAATCTCAGAATCTTCTTTGGGATATATGCACGTAGCTAACAGAGTTGAACCTTTCTATTGACAGAGCAGGTTTGAAACAGTCTTTCTGTGGAATCTGCAAGTGGATATTTGGATAGCTTGGAGGATTTCGTTGGAAACAGGATTACGTATAAAAAGTAGACAGCAGCATCCTCAGAAACTTCTTTGTGATGTGTGCATTCAAGTCACAGAGTTGAACATTCCCTTTTGTACAGCAGTTTTGAAACACTCTTTCTGTAGTATCTGGAAGTGAACATTAGGACAGCTTTCAGGTCTATGGTGAGAAAGGAAATATCTTCAAATAAAAACTAGACAGAAGCATTCTCATAAACTTGTTTGTGATGTGTGAACTCAGCTAACAGAGGTGGATCTTTCTTTTGATAGAGCAGTTCTGAAAAACACTTTGTTGAATCTGCAAGTGGACATTTGGATAGATTTGAAGATTTCGTTGGAAACGGGAATATCTTCATATCAAATCTAGACAGAAGCATTCTCGGAAACGTCTTTGTGATGTTTGCATTCAACTCATAGAGTTGAACATTCCGTTTCAGAGAGCAGCTTTGAAGCACTCTTTTTGTAGTATGTGCAAGTGGATATTTGGAGCGCTGTGAGGCCTACGGTGAAAAAGCAAATATCTTCCCATAACCACTAGAAAGAAACATTCTCAGAAATTCCTTTATGACGTATGCACTCACCTAACAGAGAAGAACCTTCCTTTTGACAGAGCAGTTTTGATACACTCTTTTTGTAGAATCTGCAAGTGGATATTTGGATACCTGTGAAGATTTCGTTGGAAACGGGAATATCTTCCTATAAAATCTAGACAGAAGCATTCTCAGAAACTGCTCTGTGATTTCTGCATTCAAGTCACAGAGTTGAACATTGCCTTTCATAGAGCAGGTTTGAAACGCTCTTTTTGTAGTATATGGAAGTGGATGTTTCGGACGGTTGGAGGCCCATGGTGATAAAGGGAATATCTTCCCCTACAAGCTAGAAAGAAGCATTCTGTGAAACTTGTTTGTTATGTGTGTACTCAACTAACAGAGTTGAACCTTTCTTTTCACAGAGCAGTTTTGAAACACTCTTTTTGTAGAATCTGCGAGGGGATATTTGGATAGATTTCAGGATTTCGTTGGAAACGGGAATATCTTCATATAAAATCTCGACATTAGCATTCTCAGAAACTTCCTTGTGATATGTGCATTCAAGTCACAGAGTTGAATATTCCCTTTCACAGAGTAGGTTTGAAACACTCTTTTTGTAGTATCTGGAAGTGGACATTTGGAGCGCCTTGACACCTACGGTGAATAGGGAAATATCTTCCCATAAAAACTAGACAGAAGCAATCTCAGAATCTTCTTTGGGATATATGCACGCAGCTAACAGAGTTGAACCTTTCTATTGACAGAGCAGTTTTGAAACAGTCTTTCTGTGGAATCTGCAAGTGGATACTTGGAGAGCTTGGAGGATTTCGTTGGAAACGGGATTACGTATAAAAAGAAGACAGCAGCATCCTCAGAATCTTCTTTGTGATGTGTGCATTCAAGTCACAGATTTGAACATTCCCTTTCGTACAGCAGTTTTGAAACACTCTTTCTGTAGTATCTGGAAGTGAACATTAGGACAGCTTTCAGCTCTATGGTGAGAAAGGAAATATCTTCAAATAAAAACTAGACAGAAGCATTCTCATAAACTTGTTTGTGATGTGTGAACTCAGCTAACAGAGGTGGATCTTTCTTTTGATAGAGCAGTACTGAAAAACACTTTTTGTTGAATCTGCAAGTGGACATTTGGATAGATTTGAAGATTTCGTTGGAAACGGGAATATCTTCATATCAAATCTAGACAGAAGCATTCTCAGAAACGTCTTTGTGATGTTTGCATTCAACTCATAGAGTTGAACATTCCGTTTCAGAGAGCAGCTTTGAAGCACTCTTTTTGTAGTATGTGCAAGTGGACATTTGGAGCGCCCTGAGGCCTACGGTGAAAAAGCAAATATCTTCCCATAACCACTAGACAGAAACATTCTCAGAAACTCCTTTATGACGTATGCACTCTCCTAACAGAGAAGAACCTTCCTTTTGACTGAGCAGTTTTGATACACTCTTTTTGCAGAATCTGCAAGTGGATATTTGGATAGCTGTGAAGATTTCGTTGGAAACGGGAATATCTTCCTATAAAATCTAGACAGAAGCATTCTCAGAAACTGCTCTGTGATGTCTGCATTCAAGTCACAGAGTTGAACATTGCCTTTCCTAGAGCAGGTTTGAAACGCTCTTTTTGTAGTATATGGAAGTGGACGTTTCGGACGGCTTGAGGCCCATGGTGATAAAGGGAATATCTTCCCCTACAAGCTAGAAAGAAGCATTCTGTGAAACTTGTTTGTGATGTGTGTACTCAACTAACAGAGTTGAACCTTTTATTTTTACAGAGCAGTTTTGAAACACTCTTTTTGTAGAATCTGCGAGGGGATATTTGGATAGATTTCAGGATTTCGTTGGAAAGGGGAATATCTTCATATAAAATCTCGACAGAAGCATTCTCAGAAACTGCTCTGTGATGTCTGCATTCAAGTCACAGAGTTGAATATTCCCTTTCACAGAGTAGGTTTGAAACACTCTTTTTGTAGTATCTGGAAGTGGACATTTGGAGCGCCTTGACACCTATGGTGAAAAGGGAAATATCTTCCCATAAAAACTAGACAGAAGCAAGCTCAGAATCCTCTTTAGGATATATGCACGCAGCTAACAGAGTTGAACCTTTCTATTGACAGAGCAGTTTTGAAACAGTCTTTCTGTGGAATCTGCAAGTGGATATTTGGATAGCTTGGAGGATTTCGTTGGAAACGGGATTACGTATAAAAAGTAGACAGCAGCATCCTCAGAAACTACTTTGTGATGTGTGCATTCAAGTCACAGAGTTGAACATTCCCTTTCGTACAGCAGTTTTGAAACACTCTTTCTGTAGTATCTGGAAGTGAACATTAGGACAGCTTTCAGGTCTATGGTGAGAAAGGAAATATCTTCAAATAAAAACTAGACAGAAGCATTCTCATAAACTTGTTTGTGATGTGTGAACTCAGCTAACACACGTGGATCTTTCTTTTGATAGAGCAGTTCTGAAAAACAATTTTTGTTGAATCTGCAAGTGGACATTTGGATAGATTTGAAGATTTCGTTGGAAACGGGAATATCTTCATATCAAATCTAGACAGAAGCATTCTCAGAAACGTCTTTGTGATGTTTGCATTCAACTCATAGAGTTGAACATTCCGTTTCAAAGAGCAGCTTTGAGGCCCTCTTTTTGTAGTATGTGCAAGTGGATATTTGGAGCGCTCTGAGGCCTACGGTGAAAAAGCAAATATCTTCCCATAACCACTAGACAGAAACATTCTCAGAAACTGCTTTATGACGTATGCACTCACCTAACAGAGAAGAACCTTCCTTTTGACAGAGCAGCTTTGATACACTCTTTTTGTAGAATCTGCAAGTGTATATTTGGATAGCTGTGAAGATTTCGTTGGAAACGGGAATATCTTCCTATAAAATCTAGACAGAAGCATTCTCAGAAACTGCTCTGTGATGTCTGCATTCAAGTCACAGAGTTGAACATTGCCTTTCATAGAGCAGGTTTGAAATGATCTTTTTGTAGTATATGGAAGTGGACGTTTCAGACGGTTTGAGGCCCATGGTGATAAAGGGAATATCTTCCCCTACAAGCTAGAAAGAAGCATTCTGTGAAACTTGTTTGTGATGTGTGTACTCAAGTAAGAGAGTTGAACCTTTCTTTTCACAGAGCAGTTTTGAAACACTCTTTTTGTAGAATCTGCGAGGGGATATTTGGATAGATTTCAGGATTTCGTTGGAAACGGGAATATCTTCATATAAAATCTCGACAGATGCATTCTCAGAAACTTCTTTGTGATATGTGCATTCTAGTCACAGAGTTGAATATTCCCTTTCATAGAGTAGGTTTGAAACACTCTTTTTGTACTATCTGGAAGTGGACATTTGGAGCGCCTTGACGCCTACGGTGAAGAGGGAAATATCTTCCCATAAAAACTAGACAGAAGCAATCTCAGAATCTTCTTTGGGATATATGCACGAAGCTAACAGAGTTGAACCTTTCTATTGACAGAGCAGTTTTGAAACAGTCTTTCTGTGGAATCTGCAAGTGGATATTTGGATAGCTTGGAGGATTTCGTTGGAAACGGGATTACGTATAAAAAGTAGACAGCAGCATCCTCAGAAACTTCTTTGTGATGTGTGCATTCAAGTCACAGAGTTGAACATTCCCTTTCATACAGCAGTGTTGAAACACTCTTTATGTAGTATCTGGAAGTGAACATTAGGACAGCTTTCAGGTCTATGGTGAGAAAGGAAATATCTTCAAATAAAAACTAGACAGAAGCATTCTCATAAACTTGTTTGTGATGTGTGAACTCAGCTAACAGAGGTGGATCTTTCTTTTGAAAGAGCAGTTCTGAAAAACACTTTTTGTTGAATCTGCAAGTGGACATTTGGATAGATTTGAAGATTTCGTTGGTAACGGGAACATCTTCATATCAAATCTAGACAGAAGCATTCTCAGAAACGTCTTTGTGATGTTTGCATTCAACTCATAGAGTTGAACATTCCGTTTCAGTAGAGCAGCTTTGAAGCACTCTTTTTGTAGTATGTGCAAGTGGATATTTGGAGCGCTCTGAGGCCTACGGTGAAAAAGCAAATATCTTCCCATAACCACTAGACAGAAACATTCTCAGAAACTACTTTATGGCGTATGTACTCAACTAGCAGAGAAGAACTTTCCTTTTGACAGAGCACTTTTGATACACTCTTTTTGTAGTATCTGCAAGTGGATATTTGGATAGCTGTGAAGATTTCGTTGGAATCGGGAATATCTTCCTATAAAGTCTGGACAGAAGCATTCTCAGAAACTGCTCTGTGATGTCTGCATTCAAGTCACAGAGTTGAACATTGCCTTTCATAGAGCAGGTTTCAAGCACTCTTTTTTTAGTATATGGAAGTGGACGTTTCGGACGGTTTGAGGCCCATGGTGATAAAGGAAATATCTTCCCCTACAAGCTAGAAAGAAGCATTCTGTGAAACTTGTTTGTGATGTGTGTACTCAACTAACAGAGTTGAACCTTTCTTTTTACAGAGTAGTTTTGAAACACTCTTTTTGTAGAATCTGCGAGGGGATATTTGGATACATTTCAGCATTTCGTTGGAAACGGGAATATCTTCATATAAAATCTCGACAGAAGCATTCTCAGAAACTTCCTTGTGATACGTGCATTCAAGTCACAGAGTTGAATATTCCCTTTCACAGAGTAGGTTTGAAACACTCTTTTTGTAGTATCTGGAAGTGGACATTTGGAGCGCCTTGACACCTACGGTGAAAAGGGAAATATCTTCCCATAAAAACTAGACAGAAGCAATCTCAGAATCTTCTTTGGGATATATGCACGCAGCTAACAGAGTTGAACCTTTCTATTGACAGAGCAGTTTTGAAACAGTCTTTCTGTGGAATCTGCAAGTGCATATTTTGATAGCTTGGAGGATTTCGTTGGAAACGGGATTACGTATAAAAAGTAGACAGCAGCATCCTCAGAAACTTCTTTGTGATGTGTGCATTCAAGTCACAGAGTTGAACATTCCCTTTCGTACAGCAGTTTTGAAACACTCTTTCTGTGGTATCTGGAAGTGAACATTAGGACAGCTTTCAGCTCTATGGTGAGAAAGGAAATATCTTCAAATAAAAACTAGACAGAAGCATTCTCATAAACTTGTTTGTGATGTGTGAACTCAGCTAAGAGACGTGGATCTTTCTTTTGATACAGCAGTTTTGAAAAACACTTTTTGTTGAATCTGCAAGTGGACATTTTATAGATATGAAGATTTCGTTGGAAACGGGAATATCTTCATATCAAATCTAGACAGAAGCATTCTCGGAAACGTCTTTGTGATGTTTGCATTCAACTCATAGAGTTGAACATTCCGTTTCAGAGAGCAGCTTTGAGGCACTCATTTTGTAGTATGTGCAAGTGGATATTTGGAGCGCTCTGAGGCCTTCGGTGAAAAAGCAAATATCTTCCCATAACCACTACACAGAAACATTCTCAGAAACTCCTTTATGACGTATGCACTCACCTAACAGAGAAGAACCTTCCTTTTGACAGAGCATTTTTGATACACTCTTTTTGTAGAATCTGCAAGTGGATATTTGGATAGCTGTGAAGATTTCGTTGGAAACGGGAATATCTTCCTATAAAATCTAGACAGAAGCATTCTCAGAAACTGCTCTGTGATGTCTGCATTCAAGTCACAGAGTTCAACATTGTCTTTCATAGAGCAGGTTTGAAATGCTCTTTTTGTAGTATATGGAAGTGGACGTTTCGGACGGTTTGAGGCCCATGGTGATAAAGGGAATATCTTCCCCTACAAGCTAGAAAGAAGCATTCTGTGAAACTTGTTTGTGATGTGTGTACTCAACTAACAGAGTTGAACCTTTCTTTTTACAGAGCAGTTTTGAAACACTCTTTTTGTAGAATCTGCGAGGGGATATTTGGATACATTTCAGGATTTAGTTGGAAACGGGAATATCTTCACATAAAATCTTGACAGAAGCATTCTCAGAAGCTTCTTTGTGATATGTGCATTCAAGTCACAGAGTTCAATATTCCCTTTCACAGAGTAGGTTTGAAACACTCTTTTTGTAGTATCTGGAAGTGGACATTTGGAGCGCCTTGACGCCTAAGGTGAAAAGGGAAATATCTTCTCATAAAAAGTAGACAGAAGCAATCTCAGAATCTTCTTTGGGATATATGCACGCAGCTAACAGAGTTGAACCTTTCTATTGACAGAGCAGTTTTGAAACAGTCTTTCTGTGGAATCTGCAAGTGGATATTTGGATAGCTTGGAGGATTTCGTTGGAAACGGGATTACGTATAAAAAAGTAGACAGCAGCATCCTCAGAAACTTCTTTGTGATGTGTGCATTCAAGTCACAGAGTTGAACATTCCCTTTCGTACAGCAGTTTTGAAACACTCTGTAGTAACTGGAAGTGAACATTAGGACAGCTTTCAGGTCTATGGTGAGAAAGGAAATATCTTCAAATAAAAACTAGACAGAAGCATTCTCATAAACTTGTTTGTGATGTGTGAACTCAGCAAACAGCGGTGGATCTTTCTTTTGATAGAGCAGTTCTGAAAAACACTTTTTGTTGAATCTGCAAGTGGACATTTGGATAGTTTTGAAGATTTCCTTGGAAACGGGAATATCTTCATATCAAATCTAGACAGAAGCATTCTCAGAAACGTCTTTGTGATGTTTGCATTCAAGTCATAGAGTTGAACATTCCGTTTCAGAGAGCAGCTTTGAAGCACTCTTTTTGTAGTATGTGCAAGTGGATATTTGGAGCGCTCTGAGACCTACGGTGAAAAAGCAAATATCTTCCCATAACCACTAGACAGAAACATTCTCAGAAACTCCTTTATGACGTGTGCACTCACCTAACAGAGAAGAACCTTCCTTTTGACAGAGCAGTTTTGATACACTCTTTTTGTAGAATCTGCAAGTGGATATTTGGATAGCTGTGAAGATTTCGTTGGAAACGGGAATATCTTCCTATAAAACCTAGACAGAAGCATTCTCAGAAACTGCTCTGTGATGTCTGCATTCAAGTCACAGAGTTGAACATTGCTTTTCCTAGAGCAGGTTTGAAACGCTCTTTTTGTAGTATATGGAAGTGGACGTTTCGGATGGTTTGAGGCCCATGGTGATAAAGGGAATATCTTCCCCTACAAGCTAGAAAGAAGCATTCTGTGAAACTTGTTTGTGATGTGTGTACTCAACTAAGAGAGTTGAACCTTTCTTTTCACAGAGCAGTTTTGAAACACTCTTTTTGTAGAATCTGCGAGGGGATATTTGGATAGATTTCAGAATTTCGTTGGAAACGGGAATATCTTCATACAAAATCTCGACAGAAGCATTCTCAGAAACTTCCTTGTGATATGTGCATTCAAGTCACAGAGTTGAATATTCCCTTTCACAGAGTAGGTTTGAAACACTCTTTTTGTAGTATCTGGAAGTGGACATTCGGAGCGCCTTGATGCCTACGGTGAAAAGGGAAATATCTTCCCATAAAAACTAGACAGAAGCAATCTCAGAATCTTCTTTGGGATATATGCACGCAGCTAATAGAGTTGAACCTTTCTATTGACAGAGCAGTTTTGAAACAGTCTTTCTGTGGAATCTGCAAGTGGATATTTGGATAGCTTCGAGGATTTCTTTGGAAACGCGATTACGTATAAAAAGTAGACAGCAGCATCCTCAGAAACTTCTTTGTGATGTGTGCTTTCAAGTCACAGTGTTGAACATTCCCTTTCGTACAGTAGTTTTGAAACACTCTTTCTGTAGTATCTGGAAGTGAACATTAGGACAGCTTTCAGGTCTATGGTGAGAAAGGAAATATCTTCAAATAAAAACTAGACAGAAGCATTTTCATAAACTTGTTTGTGATGTGTGAACTCAGCTAACAGAGGTGGATCTTTCTTTTGATAGAGCAGTTCTGAAAAACACTTATTGTTGAATCTGCAAGTGGACATTTGGATAGATTTGAAGATTTCGTTGGAAACGGGAATATCTTCATATCAAATCTAGACAGAAGCATTCCCAGAAACGTCTTTGTGATGTTTGCATTCAACTCATAGAGTTGAACATTCCGTTTCAGAGAGCAGCTTTGAAGCACTCTTTTTGTAGTATGTGCAAGTGGATATTTGGAGCGCTCTGAGGCCTAAGGTGAAAAAGCAAATATCTTCCCATAACCACTAGACAGAAACATTCTCAGAAACTCCTTTATGACGTATGCACTCACCTAACAGAGAAGAACCTTCCTTTTGACAGAGCAGTTTTGATACACTCTTTTTGTAGAATCTGCAAGTGGATATTTGGATAGCTGTGAAGATTTCGTTGGAAACGGGAATATCTTCCTATAAAATCCAGACAGAAGCATTCTCAGAAACTGCTCTGTGATGTCTGCATTCAAGTCACAGAGTTGAACATTGCCTTTCATAGAGCCGGTTTGAAACGCTCTTTTTGTAGTATATGGAAGTGGATGTTTCGGACGGTTGGAGGCCCATGGTGATAAAGGGAATATCTTACCCAACAAGCTAGAAAGAAGCATTCTGTGAAACTTGTTTGTGATGTGTGTACTCAACTAACACAGTTGAACCTTTCTTTTTACAGAGCAGTTTTGAAACACTCTTTTTGTAGAATCTGCAAGTGGATATTTGGATAGCTGTGAAGGTTTCATTGGAAACGGGAATATCTTCCTATAAAATCTAGACAGAAGCATTCTCAGAAACTTCTTTGTGATATGTGCATTCAAGTCACAGAGTTGAATATTCCCTTTCACAGAGTAGGTTTGAAACACTCTTTTTGTAGTATCTGGAAGTGGACATTTGAAGCGCCTTGACGCCTACGGTGAAAAGGGAAATATCTTCCCATAAAAACTAGACAGAAAGCAATCTCAGAATCTTCTTTGGGATATATGCACGGAGTTAACAGAGTTGAACCTTTCTATTGACAGAGCAGTTTTGAAACAGTCTTTCTGTGGAATCTGCAAGTGGATATTTGGATAGCTTGGAGGTTTTCTTTGGAAACGGGATTACGTATAAAAAGTAGACTGCAGCATCCTCAGAAACTTCTTTGTGATGTGTGCATTCAAGTCACAGAGTTGAACATTCCCTTTCGTACAGCAGTTTTGAAACACTCTTTCTGTAGTATCTGGAAGTGAACATTAGGACAGCTTTCAGGTCTATGGTGAGAAAGGAAATATCTTCAAATATAAACTAGACAGAAGCATTTTCATAAACTTGTTTGTGATGTGTGAACTCAGCTAACAGAGGTGGATCTCTCTTTTGATAGAGCATCAGCTAACAGACGTGGATCTTTCTTTTGATACAGCAGTTTTGAAAAACACTTTTTGTTGAATCTGCAAGTGGACATTTGGATAGATATGAAGATTTCGTTGGAAACGGGAATATCTTCATATCAAATCTAGACAGAAGCATTCTCAGAAACGTCTTTGTGATGTTTGCATTCAACTCATAGAGTTGAACATTCCGTTTCAGAGAGCAGCTTTGAAGCACTCTTTTTGTAGTATGTGCAAGTGGATATTTGGAGCGCTCTGAGTCCTACGGGGAAAAAGCAAATATCTTCCCATAACCACTAGACAGAAACATTCTCAGAAACTCCTTTATGACGTATGTACTCAACTAACAGAGAAGAACCTTCCTTTTGACAGAGCAGTTTGAATACACTCTTTTTGTAGAATCTGCAAGTGGATATTTGGATAGCTGTGAAGATTTCGTTGGAAACGGGAATATCTTCCTATAAAATCTAGACAGAAGCATTCTCAGGAACTGCTCTGCGATGTCTGTATTCAAGTCACAGAGTTGAACATTGCCTTTCATAGAGCAGGTTTGAAACCCTCTTTTTGTAGTATATGGAAGTGGACGTTTCGGACGGTTTGAGGCCCATGGTGATAAAGGGAATATCTTCCCCTACAAGCTAGAAAGAAGCATTCTGTGAAACTTGTTTGTGATGTGTGTACTCAACTAACAGAGTTGAACCTTTCTTTTTACAGAGCAGTTTTGAAACACTCTTTTTGTGGAATCTGCGAGGGGATATTTGGATAGATTTCAGGATTTCGTTGGAAACGGGAATATCTTCATAGAAAATCTCGACAGAAGCATTCTCAGAAACTTCTTTGTGATATGTGCATTCAAGTCACAGAGTTGAATATTCCCTTTCACAGAGTAGGTTTGAAACACTCTTTTTGTAGTATCTGGAAGTGGACATTTGGAGCGCCTTGACACCTACGGTGAAAAGGGAAATATCTTCTCATAAAAAGTAGACAGAAGCAATCTCAGAATCTTCTTTGGGATATATGCACGCAGCTAACAGAGTTGAACCTTTCTATTGACAGAGCAGTTTTGAAACAGTCTTTCTGTGGAATCTGCAAGTGGATATTTGGATAGCTTGGAGGATTTCGTTGGAAACGGGATTGCATATAAAAAGTAGACAGCCAGCATCCTCAGAACTTCTTTGTGATGTGTGCATTCAAGTCACAGAGTTGAACATTCCCTTTCGTACAGCAGTTTTGAAACACTCTTTCTGTAGTATCTGGAAGTGAACATTAGGACAGCTTTCAGGTCTATGGTGAGAAAGGAAATATCTTCAAATAAAAACTAGACAGAGCATTCTCATAAACTTGTTCGTGATGTGTGAACTCAGCTAACACACGTGGATCTTTCTTTTGATAGAGCAGTTCTGACAAACACTTTTTGTTGAATCTGCAAGAGGACATTTGGATAGATTTGAAGATTTCGTTGGAAACGGGAATATCTTCATATCAAATCTAGACAGAAGCATTGTCAGAGACGTCTTTGTGATGTTTGCATTCAACTCATAGAGTTGAACATTCCCTTTCAGAGAGCAGCTTTGAAGCACTCTTTTTGTAGCATGTGCAAGTGGACATTTGGAGCACCCTGAGGCCTACGGTGAAAAAGCAAATATCTTCCCATAACCACTAGACAGAAACATTCTCAGAAACTCCTTTATGACGTATGCACTCACCTAACAGAGAAGAACCTTCCTTTTGACAGAGCAGTTTTGATACACTCTTTTTGTAGAATCTGCAAGTGGATATTTGGATAGCTGTGAAGATTTCGTTGGAAACGGGAATATCTTCCTATAATATCTAGACAGAAAGCATTCTCAGAAACTGCTCTGTGATGTCTGCATTCAAGTCACAGAGTTGAACATTGCCTTTCATAGAGCAGGTTTGAAACGCTCTTTTTGTAGTATATGGAAGTGGACGTTTCGGACGGTTTGAGGCCCATGGTGATAAAGGGAATATCTTCCCCTACAAGCTAGAAAGAAGCATTCTGTGAAACTTGTTTGTGATGTGTGTACGCAACTAACAGAGTTGAACCTTTCTTTTTACAGAGCAGTTTTGAAACACTCTTTTTGTAGAATCTGCGAGGGGATATTTGGATAGATTTCAGGTTTTCGTTGGAAACGGGAATATCTTCATATAAAATCTCGACAGAAGCATTCTCAGAAACTTCTTTGTGATATCTGCATTCCAGTCACAGAGTTGAATATTCTCTTTCACAGAGTAGGTTTGAAACACTCTTTTTATAGTATCTGGAATTGGACATTTGGAGCGCCTTGACGCCTACGGTGAAAAGGGAAATATCTTCCCATAAAAACTAGACAGAAGCAATCTCAGAATCTTCTTTGGGATATATGCACGCAGCTAACAGAGTTGAACCTTTCTATTGACACAGCAGTTTAGAAACAGTCTTTCTGTGGAATCTGCAAGTGGATATTTGGATAGCTTGGAGGATTTCGTTGGAAACGGGATTACGTATAAAAAGTAGACAGCAGCATCCTCAGAAACTTCTTTGTGATGTGTGCATTCAAGTCACAGTGTTGAACATTCCCTTTCGTACAGCAGTTTTGAAACACTCTATCTGTAGTATCTGGAAGTGAACATTAGGACAGCTTTCAGGTCTATGGTGAGAAAGGAAATATCTTCAAATAAAAACTAGACAGAAGCATTCTCATAAACTTGTTTGTGATGTGTGAACTCAGCTAACAGAGGTGGATCTTTCTTTTGATAGAGCAGTTCTGAAAAACACTTTTTGTTGAATCTGCAAGTGGACATTTGGATAGATTTGAAGATTTCGTTGGAAACGGAAATATCTTCATATCAAATCTAGACAGAAGCATTCTCAGAAACGTTCTTTGTGATGTTGGCATTCAACTCATAGAGTTGAACATTCCGTTTCAGAGAGCAGCTTTGAGGCACTCTTTTTGTAGTATGTGCAAGTGGATATTTGGAGCGCTCTGAGGCCTACGGTGAAAAAGCAAATATCTTCCCATAACCACTAGACAGAAACATTCTCAGAAACTTCTTTATGACGTATGCACTCACCTAACAGAGAAGAACCTTCCTTTTGACAGAGCAGTTTTGATACACTCTTTTTGTAGTATCTGCAGGTGGATATTTGGATAGCTGTGAAGATTTCGTTGGAAACGGGAATATCTTCCTATAAAGTCTGGACAGAAGCATTCTCTGAAACTGCTCTGTGATGTCTGCATTCAAGTCACAGAGTTGAACGTTGCCTTTCATAGAGCAGGTTTCAAACCCTCTTTTTTTAGTATATGGAAGTGGACGTTTCAGACTGTTTGAGGACCATGGTGATAAAGGAAATATCTTCCCCTACAAGCTAGAAAGAAGCATTCTGTGAAACTTGTTTGTGATGTGTGTACTCAACTTACAGAGTTGAACCTTTCTTTTTACAGAGCAGTTTTGAAACACTCTTTTTGTAGAATCTGCGAGGGGTTATTTGGATAGATTTCAGGATTTCGTTGGAAACGGGAATATCTTCATATAAAATCTCGACAGAAGCATTCTCAGAAACTTCTTTGTGATATGTGCATTCAAGTCACAGAGTTGAATATTCCCTTTCACAGAGTAGGTTTGAAACACTCTTTTTGTAGTATCTGGAAGTGGACATTTTGAGCGCCTTGACGCCTACGGTGAAAAGGGAAATATCTTCTCATAAAAAGTAGACAGAAGCAATCTCAGAATCTTCTTTGGGATATATGCACGCAGCTAACAGAGTTGAACCTTTCTATTGAGAGAGCAGTTTTGAAACAGTCTTTCTGTGGAATCTGCAAGTGGATATTTGGATAGCTTGGAGGATTTCGTTGGAAACGGGATTACGTATAAAAAGTAGACAGCAGCATCCTCAGAAACTTCCTTGTGGTGTGTGCATTCAAGTCACAGAGTTGAACATTCCCTTTCTTACAGCAGTTTTGAAACACTCTTTCTGTAGTATCTGGAAGTGAACATTAGGACAGCTTTCAGGTCTATGGTGAGAAAGGAAATATCTTCAAATAAAAACTAGACAGAAGCATTCTCATAAACTTGTTTGTGATGTGTGAACTCAGCTAACAGAGGTGGATCTTTCTTTTGATAGAGCAGTTCTGAAAAACACTTTTTGTTGAATCTGCAAGTGGACATTTGGATAGATTTGAAGATTTCGTTGGAAACGGGAATATCTTCATAACAATTCTAGACAGAAGCATTCTCAGAAACGTCTTTGTGATGTTTGCATTCAACTCATAGAGTTGAACATTCCGTTTCAGAGAGCAGCTTTGAATCACTCTTTTTGTAGTATGTGCAAGTGTATATTTGGAGCGCTCTGAGGCCTAAGGTGAAAAAGCAAATATCTTCCCATAACCACTAGACAGAAACATTCTCAGAAACTCCTTTATGACGTATGCACTCACCTAACAGAGAAGAAACCTTCCTTTTGACAGAGCACTTTTGATACACTCTTTTTGTAGAATCTGAAAGTGGATATTTGGATAGCTGTGAAGATTTCGTTGGAAACGGGAATATCTTCCTATAAATTCTAGACAGAAGCATTCTCAGAAACTGCTCTGTGATGTCTGCGTTCAAGTCACAGAGTTGAACATTGCCTTTCATGGAGCAGGTTTGAAACGCTCTTTTTGTAGTATATGGAAATGGACGTTTCGGACGGTTTGAGGCCCATGGTGATAAAGGGAATATCTTCCCCTACAAGCTAGAAAGAAGCATTCTGTGAAACTTGTTTGTGATGTGTGTACTCAACTAACAGAGTTGAACCTTTCTTTTTACAGAGCAGTTTTGAAACTCTCTTTTTGTAGAATCTACGAGGGGATATTTGGATAGATTTCAGGATTTCGTTGGAAACGGGAATATCTTCATATAAAATCTCGACAGATGCATTCTCAGAAACTTCTTTGTGATATGTGCATACTAGTCACAGAGTTGAATATTCCCTTTCACAGAGTAGGTTTGAAACACTCTTTTTGTAGTATCTGGAAGTGGACATTTGGAGCGCCTTAACGCCTACGGTGAAAAGGGAAATATCTTCCCATAAAAACTAGACAGAAGCAATCTCAGAATCGTCTTTGGGATATATGCACGCAGCTAACAGAGTTGAACCTTTCTATTGACATAGTAGTTTTGAAACAGTCTTTCTGTGGAATCTGCAAGTGGATATTTGGATAGCTTGGAGGATTTCGTTGGAAACGGGATTACGTATAAAAAGTAGACAGCAGCATCCTCAGAAACATCCTTGTGATGTGTGCATTCAAGTCACAGAGTTGAACATTCCCTTTCGTACAGCAGTTTTGAAACACTCTTTCTGTAGTATCTGGAAGTGAACTTTAGGAGAGCTTTCAGGTCTATAGTGAGAAAGGATATATACTTCAAATAAAAACTAGACAGAAGCATTTTCATAAACTTGTTTGTGATGTGTGAACTCAGCTAACAGAGGTGGATCTTTCTTTTGATAGAGCAGTTCTGAAAAACACTTTTTGTTGAATCTGCAAGTGGACATTTGGATAGATTTGAAGATTTCGTTGGGAACGGGAATATCTTCATATCAAATCTAGACAGAAGCATTGTCAGAAACGTCTTTGTGATGTTTGCATTCAACTCATAGAGTTGAACATTCCGTTTCAGAGAGCAGCTTTGAAGCACTCTTTTTGTAGTATGTGCAAGTGGATATTTGGAGCGCTCTGAGGCCTAAGGTGAAAAAGCAAATATCTTCCCATAACCACTAGACAGAAACATTCTCAGAAACTCCTTTATGACGTATGCACTCACCTAACAGAGAAGAACCTTCCTTTTGACAGAGCAGTTTTGATACACTCTTTTTGTAGAATCTGCAAGTGGATATTTGGATAGCTGTGAAGATTTCGTGGGAATCGGGAATATCTTCCTATAATATCTAGACAGAAGCATTCTCAGAAACTGCTCTTTGATGTCTGCATTCAAGTCACAGAGTTGAACATTGCCTTTCATAGAGCAGGTTTGAAACACTCTTTTTGTAGTATATGGAAGTGGACGTTTCGGACGGTTTGAGGCCCATGGTGATAAAGGGAATATCTTCCCCTACAAGCTAGAAAGAAGCATTCTGTGAAACTTGTTTGTGATGTGTGTACTCAACTAACAGAGTTGAACCTTTCTTTTTACAGAGCAGTTTTGAAACAGTCTTTTTGTAGAATCTGCGAGGGGATATTTGGATAGATTTCAGGATTTCGTTGGAAACGGGAATATCTTCATATAAAATCTCGACAGAAGCATTCTCAGAAGCTTCTTTGTGATATGTGCATTCAAGTCACAGAGTTCAATATTCCCTTTCACAGAGTAGGTTTGAAACACTCTTTTTGTAGTATCTGGAAGTGGACATTTGGAGCGCCTTGACGCCTACGGTGAAAAGGGAAATATCTTCTCATAAAAAGTAGACAGCAGCAATCTCAGAATCTTCTTTGGGATATATGCACGGAGTTAACAGAGTTGAACCTTTCTATTGACAGAGCAGTTTTGAAACAGTCTTTCTGTGGAATCTGCAAGTGGATATTTGGATAGCTTGGAGGTTTTCTTTGGAAACGGGATTACGTATAAAAAGTAGACTGCAGCATCCTCAGCAAACTTCTTTGTGATGTGTGCATTCAAGTCACAGAGTTGAACATTCCCTTTCGTACAGCAGTTTTGAAACACTCTTTCTGTAGTATCTGGAAGTGAACATTAGGACAGCTTTCAGGTCTATGGTGAGAAAGGAAATATCTTCAAATAAAAACTAGACGGAAGCATTCTCATAAACTTGTTTGTGATGTGTGAACTCAGCTAACAGAGGATGGATCTTTCTTTTGATAGAGCAGTTCTGAAAAACACTTTTTGTTGAATCTGCAAGTGGACATTTGGATAGATTTGAAGATTTCGTTGGAAACGGGAATATCTTCATATCAAATCTAGGCAAGAAGCATTCTCGGAAACGTCTTTGTGATGTTTGCATTCAACTCATAGAGTTGAACATTCCGTTTCAGAGAGCAGCTTTGAGGCACTCATTTTGTAGTATGTGCAAGTGGATATTTGGAGCGCTCTGAGGCCTTCGGTGAAAAAGCAAATATCTTCCCATAACCACTAGACGGAAACATTCTCAGAAACTCCTTTATGACGTATGTACTCAACTAACAGAGAAGAACCTTCCTTTTGACAGAGCAGATTTGATACACTCTTTTTGTAGAATCTGCAAGCGGATATTTGGATAGCTGTGAAGATCTCGTTGGAAACGGGAATATCTTCCTATAAAATCTAGACAGAAGCATTCTCAGAAACTGCTCTGTGATGTCTGCATTCAAGTCACAGAGTTGAACATTGCCTTTCCTAGAGCAGGTTTGAAACGCTCTCTTTGTAGTATATGGAAGTGGACGTTTCGGACGGTTTGAGGCCCATGGTGATAAAGGGAATATCTTCCCCTACAAGCTAGAAAGAAGCATTCTGTGAAACTTGTTTGTGATGTGTGTACTCAACTAACAGAGTTGAACCTTTCTTTTCACAGAGCAGTTTTGAAACACTCTTTTTGTAGAATCTGCGAGGGGATATTTGGATACATTTCAGCATTTCGTTGGAAACGGGAATATCTTCATATAAAATCTCGACAGAAGCATTCTCAGAAACTTCTTTGTGATATGTGCATTGAAGTCACAGAGTTGAATATTCCCTTTCACAGAGTAGGTTTGAAACACTCTTTTTGTAGTATCTGGAAGTGGACATTTGGAGCGCCTTGACACCTACGGTGAAAAGGGAAATATCTTCCCATAAAAACTAGACAGAAGCAATCTCAGAATTTTCTTTGGGATATATGCACACAGCTAACAGAGTTGAACTTTTCTATTGACATAGCAGTTTTGAAACAGTCTTTCTGTGGAATATGCAAGTGGATATTTGGATAGCTTGGAGGATTTCGTTGGAAACGGGATTACGTATAAAAAGTAGACAGCAGCATCCTCAGAAACTTCTTTGTGATGTGTGCATTCAAGTCACAGAGTTGAATATTCCCTTTCGTACAGCAGTTTTGAAACACTCTTTCTGTAGCATCTGGAAGTGAACATTAGGACAGCTTTCAGGTCTATGGTGAGAATGGAAATATCTTCAAATAAAAACTAGACAGAAGAATACTGATAAACTTGTTTGTGAAGTGTGAACTCAGCTAACACAGGTGGATCTTTCTTTTGATACAGCAGTTTTGAAAAACATTTTGTTGAATCTGCAAGTGGACATTTGGATAGATTTGAAGATTTCGTTGGAAACGGGAATATCTTCATATCAAATCTAGACAGAAGCATTCTCAGAAACGTCTTTGTGATGCTTGCATTCAACTCATAGAGTTGAACATTCCCTTCCAGAGAGCAGCTTTGAAGCACTCTTTTTATAGTATGTGCAAGGGGATATTTGGAGCGCTCTGAGGCCTAAGGTGAAAAAGCAAATATCTTCCCATAACCACTAGACAGAAACATTCTCAGAAACTCCTTTATGACGTATGCACTCACCTATCAGAGAAGAACCTTCCTTTTGACAGAGCAGTTTTGATACACTCTTTTTGTAGAATCTGCAAGTGGATATTTGGATATCTGTGAAGATTTCGTTGGAAACGGGAATATCTTCCTATAAAATCTAGACAGAAGCATTCTCAGAAACTGCTCTGTGATGTCTGCATTCAAGTCACAGAGTTGAATATTGCTTTTCATAGAGCAGGTTTGAAACGCTCTTTTTGTAGTATATGGAAGTAGACGTTTCGGACGGTTTGAGGCCCATGGTGATAAAGGGAATATCTTCCCCTACAAGCTAGAAAGAAGCATTCTGTGAAACTTGTTTGTGATGTGTGTACTCAACTAACAGAGTTGAACCTTTCTTTTTACAGAGCAGTTTTGAAACACTCTTTTTGTAGAATCTGCGAGGGGATATTTGGATAGGTTTCAGGATTTCGTTGGAAACGGGAATATCTTCATATAAAATCTCGACAGAAGCATTCTCAGAAACTTCTTTGTGATATGTGCATTCAAGTCACAGAGTTGAATATTCCCTTTCACAGTGTAGGTTTGAAACACTCTTTTTGTAGTATCTGGAAGTGGACATTTGGAGCGCCTTGACGCCTACGGTGAAAAGGGAAATATCTTCCCATAAAAACTAGACAGAAGCAATCTCAGAATTTTCTTTGGGATATATGCACACAGCTAACAGAGTTGAACTTTTCTATTGACATAGCAGTTTTGAAACAGTCTTTCTGTGGAATCTGCAAGTGGATATTTGGATAGCTTGGAGGATTTCGTTGGAAACAGGATTACGTATAAAAAGTAGACAGCAGCATCCTCAGAAACTTCTTTGTGATGTGTGCATTCAAGTCACAGAGTTGAACATTCCCTTTCGTACAGCAGTTTTGAAACACTCTTTCTGTAGTATCTGGAAGTGAACATTAGGACAGCTTTCAGGTCTATGGTGAGAAACGAAATATCTTCAAATAAAAACTAGACAGAAGCATTCTCATAAACTTGTTTGTGATGTGTGAACTCAGCTAACAGAGGTGGATCTTTCTTTTGATAGAGCAGTTCTGAAAAACACTTTTGTTGAATATGCAAGTGGACATTTGGATAGATTTGAAGATTTCGTTGGAAACGGGAATATCTTCATATCAAATCTAGACAGAAGCATTCTCGGAAACGTCTTTGTGATGTTTGCATTCAACTCATAGAGTTGAACATTCCGTTTCAGAGAGCAGCTTTGAAGCACTCTTTTTGTAGTATGTGCAAGTGGATATTTGGAGCGCTCTGAGGCCTACGGTGAAAAAGCAAATATCTTCCCATAACCACTACACAGAAACATTCTCAGAAACTCCTTTTATGACGTATGCACTCACCTAACAGAGAAGAACCTTCCTTTTGACAGAGCAGTTTTGATACACTCTTTTTGTAGAATCTGCAAGTGGATATTTGGATAGCTGTGAAGATTTCGTTGGAAACGGGAATATCTTCCTATAAAATCTATACAGAAGCATTCTCAGAAACTGCTCTGTGATGTCTGCATTCAAGTCACAGAGTTGAACATTGCCTTTCATAGAGCAGGTTTGAAACGCTCTTTTTGTAGTATATGGAAGTGGACGTTTCGGACGGTTTGAAGCCCATGGTGATAAAGGGAATATCTTCCCCTACAAGCTAGAAAGAAGCATTCTGTGAAACTTGTTTGTGATGTGTGTACTCAACTAACAGAGTTGAACCTTTCTTTTTACAGAGCAGTGTTGAAACACTCTTTTTGTAGAATCTGCGAGGGGATATTTGGATAGATTTCAGGATTTCGTTGGAAACGGGAATATCTTCATATAAAATCTCGACAGAAGCATTCTCAGAAGCTTCTTTGTGATATGTGCATTCAAGTCACAGAGTTCAATATTCCCTTTCACAGAGTAGGTTTGAAACACTCTTTTTGTAGTATCTGGAAGTGGACATTTGGAGCACCTTGACGCCTACGGTGAAAAGGGAAATATCTTCTCATAAAAAGTAGACAGAAGCAATCTCAGAATCTTCTTTGGGATATTTGCACGCAGCTAACAGAGTTGAACCTTTCTATTGACAGAGCAGTTTTGAAACAGTCTTTCTGTGGAATCTGCAAGTGGATATTTGGATAGCTTGGAGGATTTCGTTGGAAACGGGATTACGCATAAAAAGTAGACAGCAGCATCCTCAGAAACTTCTTTGTGATGTGTGCATTCAAGTCACAGAGTTGAACATTCCCTTTCGTACAGCAGTTTTGAAACTCTCTTTCTGTAGTATCTGGAAGTGAACATTAGGACAGCTTTCACGTCTATGGTGAGAAAGGAAATATCTTCAAATAAAAACTAGACAGAAGCATTCTCATAAACTTGTTTGTGATGTGTGAACTCAGCTAACAGAGGTGGATCTTTCTTTTGATAGAGCAGTTTTGAAAAACACTTTTTGTTGAATCTGCAAGTGGACATTTGGATAGATTTGAAGATTTCGTTGGAAACGGGAATATCTTCATATCAAATCTAGACAGAAGCATTCTCAGAAACGTCTTTGTGATGTTTGCATTCAACTCATAGAGTTGAACATTCCGTTTCAGAGAGCAGCTTTGAAGCACTCTTTTTGTAGTATGTGCAAGTGGATATTTGGAGCGCTCTGAGGCCTACGGTGAAAAAGCAAGTATCTTCCCATAACCACTAGACAGAAACATTCTCAGAAACTCCTTTATGACGTATGCACTCACCTAACAGAGAAGAACCTTCCTTTTGACAGAGCAGTTTTGATACACTCTTTTTGTAGAATCTGCAAGTGGATATTTGGATAGCTGTGAAGATTTCGTTGGAAACGGGAATATCCTCCTATAAAATCTAGACAGAAGCATTCTCAGAAACTGCTCTGTGATGTCTGCATTCAAATCACAGAGTTGAACATTGCCTTTCCTAGAGCAGGTTTGAAACGCTCTTTTTGTAGTATATGGAAGTGGACGTTTCGGACGGTTTGAGGCCCATGGTGATAAAGGGAATATCTTCCCCTAGCAGCTAGAAAGAAGCATTCTGAGGAAACTTGTTTGTGATGTGTGTACTCAACTAACAGAGTTGAACCTTTCTTTTTGCAGAGCAGTTTTGAAACACTCTTTTTGTAGAATCTGCGAGGGGATATTTGGATAGATTTCAGGATTTCGTTGGAAACGGGAATATCTTCATATAAAATCTCGACAGAAGCATTCTCAGAAACTTCCTTGTGATATGTGCATTCAAGTCACAGAGTTGAATATTCCCTTTCACAGAGTAGGTTTGAAACACTCTTTTTGTAGTATCTGGAAGTGGACATTTGGAGCGCCTTGACGCCCACGGTGAAAAGGGAAATATCTTCCAATAAAAACTAGACAGAAGCAATCTCAGAATCTTCTTTGGGATATATGCACGCAGCTAACAGAGTTGAACCTTTCTATTGACAGAGCAGTTTTGAAACAGTCTTTCTGTGGAATCTGCAAGTGGATATTTGGATAGCTTGGAGGACTTCGTTGGAAACGGGATTAAGTATAAAAAGTAGACAGCAGCATCCTCAGAAACTTCTTTGTGATGTGTGCATTCAAGTCACAGAGTTGAACATTCTCTTTCGTACAGCAGTTTTGAAATGCTCTTTCTGTAGTATCTGGAAGTGAACATTAGGACAGCTTTCAGGTCTATGGTGAGAAAGGAAATATCTTCAAATAAAAACTAGACAGAAAGCATTCTCATAAACTTGTTTGTGATGTGTGAACTCAGCTAACAGAGGTGGATCTTTCTTTTGATAGAGCAGTTCTGAAAAACACTTTTTGTTGAAACTGCAAGTGGACATTTGGATAGATTTGAAGATTTCGTTGGAAACGGGAATATCTTCATATCAAATCTAGACAGAAGCATTCTCAGAAACGTCTTTGTGATGTTTGCATTCAACTCATAGAGTTGAACATTCCGTTTCAGAGAGCAGCTTTGAAGCACTCTTTTTGTAGTATGTGCAAGTGGATATTTGGAGCGCTCTGAGGCCTACGGTGAAAAAGCAAATATCTTCCCATAACCAGTAGACAGAAACATTCTCAGAAACTCCTTTATGACGTATGCACTCACCTAACAGAGAAGAACCTTCCTTTTGACAGAGCACTTTTGATACACTCTTTTTGTAGAATCTGCAAGTGGATATTTAGATAGCTGTGAAGATTTCGTTGGAAACGGGAATATCTTCCTATAAAATCTAGACAGAAGCATTCTCAGAAACTGCTCTGTGATGTCTGCATTCAATTCACAGAGTTGAACATTGCCTTTCCTAGAGCAGGTTTGAAATGCTCTTTTTGTAGTATATGGAAGTGGACGTTTCGGACGGTTTGAGGCCCATGGTGATAAAGGGAATATCTTCCCCTACAAGCTAGAAAGAAGCATTCTGTGAAACTTGTTTGTGATGTGTGTACTCAACTAACAGAGTTGAACCTTTCTTTTTACAGAGCAGTTTTGAAACACTCTTTTTGTAGAATCTGCGATGGGTTATTTGGATACATTTCAGCATTTCGTTGGAAACGGGAATATCTTCATATAAAATCTCGACAGAAGCATTCTCAGAAACTTCTTTGTGATATGTGCATTCAAGTCACAGAGTTGAATATTCCCTTTCACAGAGTAGGTTTGAAACACTCTTTTTGTAGTATCTGGAAGTGGACATTTGGAGCGCCTTGACGCCTACAGTGAAAAGGGAAATATCTTCCCATAAAAACTAGACAGAAGCAATCTCAGAATTTTCTTTGGGATATATGCACACAGCTAACAGTAGTTGAACTTTTCTATTGACATAGCAGTTTTGAAACAGTCTTTCTGTGGAATCTGCAAGTGGATATTTGGATAGCTTGGAGGATTTCGTTGGAAACGGGATTACGTATAAAAATTAGACAGCAGCATCCTCAGAAACTTCTTTGTGATGTGTGCATTCAAGTCACAGAGTTGAACATTCCCTTTCGTACAGCAGTTTTGAAACACTCTTTCTGTAGTAACTGGAAGTGAACATTAGGACAGCTTTCAGGTCTATGGTGAGAAAGGAAATATCTTCAAATAAAAACTAGACGGAAGCATTCTCATAAACTTGTTTGTGATGTGTGAACTCAACTAACACACGTGGATCTTTCTTTTGATAGAGCAGTTCTGAAAAACACTTTTTGTTGAATCTGCAAGTGGACATTTGGATAGATTTGAAGATTTCGTTGGAAACGGGAATATCTTCATATCAAATCTAGACAGAAGCATTCTCAGAAACGTCTTTGTGATGTTTGCATTCAACTCATAGAGTTGAACATTCCCTTTCAGAGAGCAGCTTTGAAGCACTCTTTTTGTAGCATGTGCAAGTGGACATTTGGAGCGCCCTGAGGCCTACGGGGAAAAAGCAAATATCTTCCCATAACCACTAGACAGGAAACATTCTGAGAAACTCCTCTATGACGTATGCACTCACCTAACAGAGAAGAACCTTCCTTTTGACAGAGCATTTTTGATACACTCTTTTTGTAGAATCTGCAAGTGGATATTTGGATAGCTGTGAAGATTTCGTTGGAAACGGGAATATCTTCCTATAAAATCTAGACAGAAGCATTCTCAGAAACTGCTCTGTGATGTCTCCGTTCAAGTCACAGAGTTGAACATTGCCTTTCATGGAGCAGGTTTGAAACGCTCTTTTTGTAGTATATGGAAATGGACGTTTCGGACGGTTTGAGGCCCATGGTGATAAAGGGAATATCTTCCCCTACAAGCTAGAAAGAAGCATTCTGTGAAACTTGTTTGTGATGTGTGTACTCAACTAACAGAGTTGAACCTTTCTTTTTACAGAGCAGTTTTGAAACTCTCTTTTTGTAGAATCTGCGAGGGGATATTTGGATAGATTTCAGGATTTCGATGGAAACGGGAATATCTTCATATAAAATCTCGACAGAAGCATTCTCAGAAACTTCTTTGTGATATGTGTATTCAAGTCACAGGGTTGAATACTCCCTTTCACAGAGTAGGTTTGAAACACTCTTTTTGTAGTATCTGGAAGTGGACATTTGGAGCGCCTTGACGCCTACGGTGAAAAGGGAAATATCTTCCCATAAAAACTAGACAGAAGCAATCTCAGAATCTTCTTTGGGATATATGCACGCAGCTAACAGAGTTGAACCTTTCTATTGACAGAGCAGTTTTGAAACAGTCTTTCTGTGGAATCTGCAAGTGGATATTTGGATAGCTTGGAGGATTTCGTTGGAAACGGGATTACGTACAAAAAGTAGACAGCAGCATCCTCAGAAACTTCTTTGTGATGTGTGCATTCAAGCCACAGAGTTGAACATTCCCTTTCGTACAGCAGTTTTGAAACACTCTTTCTGTAGTATCTGGAAGTGAACATTAGGACAGCTTTCAGGTCTATGGTGAGAAAGGAAATATCTTCAAATAAAAACTAGACAGAAGCATTCTCATAAACTTGTTTGTGATGTGTGAACTCAGCTAACAGAGGTGGATCTTTCTTTTGATAGAGCAGTTCTGAAAAACACTTTTTGTTGAATCTGCAAGTGGACATTTGGATAGATTTGAAGATTTCGTTGGAAACGGGAATATCTTCATAACAAATCTAGACAGAAGCATTCTCAGAAACGTCTTTGTGATGTTTGCATTCAACTCATAGAGTTGAACATTCCGTTTCAGAGAGCAGCTTTGAAGCACTCTTTTTGTAGTATGTGCAAGTGGATATTTGGAGCGCTCTGAGGCCTACGGTGAGAAAGCAAATATCTTCCCATAACCACTAGACGGAAACATTCTCAGAAACTCCTTTATGACGTATGCACTCACCTAACAGAGAAGAACCTTCCTTTTGACAGAGCAGTTTTGATACACTCTTTTTGTAGAATCTGCAAGTGGATATTTGGATAGCTGTGAAGATTTTGCTGGAAACGGGAATATCTTCCTATAAAATCTAGACAGAAGCATTCTCAGAAACTGCTCTGTGATGTCTGCATTCAAGTCACAGAGTTGAACATTGCCTTTCATAGAGCAGGTTTGAAACGCTCTTTTTGTAGTATATGGAAGTGGACGTTTCGGATGGTTTGAGGCCCATGGTGATAAAGGGAATATCTTCCCCTACAAGCTAGAAAGAAGCATTCTGTGAAACTTGTTTGTGATGTGTGTACTCAACTAACAGAGTTGGACCTTTCTTTTTACAGAGCAGTTTTGAAACACTCTTTTTGTAGAATCTGTGAGGGGATATTTGGATAGGTTTCAGGATTTCGTTGGAAACGAGAATATCTTCATATAAAATCTCGACAGAAGCATTCTCAGGAAACTTCTTTGTGATATCTGCCTTCAAGTCACAGAGTTGAATATTCCCTTTCACAGAGTAGGTTTGAAACACTCTTTTTGTAGTATCTGGAAGTGGACATTTGGAACGCCTTGGCGCCTACGGTGAAAAGGTAAATATCTTCCCATAAAAACTAGACAGAAAGCAATCTCAGAATCTTCTTTGGGATATATGCACGCAGCTAACAGAGTTGAACCTTTCTATTGACTGAGCAGATTTGAAACAGTCTTTCTGTGGAATCTGCAAGTGGATATTTGGATAGCTTGGAGGATTTCGTTGGAAACGGGATTACGTATAAAAAGTAGACAGCAGCATCCTCAGAAACTTCTTTGTGATGTGTGCATTCAAGTCACAGAGTTGAACATTCCATTTCGTACAGCAGTTTTGAAACACTCTTTCTGTAGTATCTGGAAGTGAACATTAGGACAGCTTTCAGGTCTATGGTGAGAAAGGAAATATCTTCAAATAAAAACTAGACAGAAGCATTCTGATAAACTTGTTTGTGAAGTGTGAACTCAGCTAACAGGTGGATCTTTCTTTCGAAACAGCAGTTTTGAAAAACACTTTTTGTTGAATCTGCAAGTGGACATTTGAATAGATTTGAAGATTTCGTTGGAAACAGGAATATCTTTATATGAAATCTAGACAGAAGCATTCTCAGAAACGTCTTTGTGATGTTTGCATTCAACTCATAGAGTTGAAGATTCCCTTTCAGAGAGCAGCTTTGAAGCACTCTTTTTGTAGTATGTGCAAGGGGATATTTGGAGCGCTCTGAGGCCTAAGGTGAAAAAGCAAATATCTTCCCATAACCACTAGACAGAAACATTCTCAGAAACTCCTTTATGACGTATGTACTCAACTAACAGAGAAGAACCTTCCTTTTGAAAGAGCAGTTTTGATACACTCTTTTTGTACAATCTGCAAGTGGATATTTGGATAGCTGTGAAGATTTCGATGGAAACGGGAATATCTTCCTATAAAATCTAGACAGAAGCATTCTCAGAAACTGCTCTGTGATGTCTGCATTCAAGTCACAGAGTTGAACATTGCTTTTCCTAGAGCAGGTTTGAAACGCTCTTTTTGTAGTATATGGAAGTGGACGTTTCGGACGGTTTGAGGCCCATGGTGTTAAAGGGAATATCTTTCCCTACAAGCTAGAAAGAAGCATTCTGTGAAACTTGTTTGTGATGTGTGTACTCAACTAACAGAGTTGAACCTTTCCTTTTACAGAGCAGTTTTGAAACACTCTTTTTGTAGAATCTGCGAGGGGATATTTGGATAGATTTCAGGATTTCGTTGGAAACGGGAATATCTTCATATAAAATCTCGACAGAAGCATTCTCAGAAACTTCTTTGTGATATCTGCATTCAAGTCACAGAGTTGAATATTCCCTTTCACAGAGTAGGTTTGAAACACTCTTTTTGTAGTATCTGGAAGTGGATATTTGGAGCGCCTTGACACCTACGGTGAAAAGGGAAATATCTTCCCATAAAAACTAGACAGAAGCAATCTCAGAATCTTCTTTGGGATATATGCACGCAGCTAATAGAGTTGAACCTTTCTATTGACAGAGCAGTTTTGAAACAGTCTTTCTGTGGAATCTGCAAGTGGATATTTGGATAGCTTCGAGGATTTCTTTGGAAACGGGATTACGTATAAAAAGTAGACAGCAGCATCCTCAGAAACTTCTTTGTGATGTGTGCATTCAAGTCACAGAGATGAACATTCCCTTTCGTACAGCAGTTTTGAAACACTCTTTCTGTAGTATCTGGAAGTGAACATTAGGACAGCTTTCAGGTCTATGGTGAGAAAGGAAATATCTTCAAATAAAAACTAGACAGAAGCATTCTCATAAACTTGTTTGTGATGTGTGAACTCAGCTAACAGAGGTGGATCTTTCTTTTGATAGAGCAGTTCTGAAAAACACTTTTTGTTGAATCTGCAAGTGGACATTTGGATAGATTTGAAGGTTTCGTTGGAAACGGGAATATCTTCATATCAAGTCTAGACAGAAGCATTCTCAGAAACGTCTTTGTGATGTATGCATTCAACTCATAGAGTTGAACATTCCCTTTCAGAGAGCAGCTTTGAAGCACTCTTTTTGTAGTATGTGCAAGTGGACATTTGGAGCGCTTTGAGGCCTACGGGGAAAAAGCAAATATCTTCCCATAACCACTAGACAGAAACATTCTCAGAAACTCCGTTATGACGTATGCACTCACCTAACAGAGAAGAACCTACCTTTTGACTGAGCAGTTTTGATACACTCTTTTTGCAGAATCTGCAAGTGGATATTTGGATAGCTGTGAAGATTTCGTTGGAAACGGGAATATCTTCCTATAAAATCTAGACAGAAGCATTCTCAGAAACTGCTCTGTGATGTCTGCATTCAAGTCACAGAGTTGAACATTGCCTTTCATAGAGCAGGTTTGAAACGCTCTTTTTGTAGTATATGGAAGTGGACGTTTCGGACGGTTTGAGGCCCACGGTGATAAAGGGAATATCTTCCCCTACAAGCTAGAAAGAAGCATTCTGTGAAACTTGTTTGTGATGTGTGTACTCAACTAACAGAGTTGAACCTTTCTTTTCACAGAGCAGTTTTGAAACACTCTTTTTGTAGAATCTGCGAGGGGATATTTGGATAGATTTCTGGATTTCGTTGGAAACGGGAATATCTTCATATAAAATCTCGACAGAAGCATTCTGAGAAGCTTCTTTGTGATATGTGCATTCAAGTCACAGAGTTGAATATTCCCTTTCACAGAGTAGGTTTGAAACACTCTTTTTGTAGTATCTGGAAGTGGACATTTTGAGCACCTTGACGCCTACGGTGAAAAGGGAAATATCTTCTCATAAAAAGTAGACAGAAGCAATCTCAGAATCTTCTTTGGGATATATGCACGCAGCTAACAGAGTTGAACCTTTGTATTGACAGAGCAGTTTTGAAACAGTCTTTCTGTGGAATCTGGAAGTGGATATTTGGATAGCTTGGAGGATTTCGTTGGAAACGGGATTAAGTATAAAAAGTAGACAGCAGCATCCTCAGAAACTTCTTTGTGATGTGTGCATTCAAGTCACAGAGTTGAACATTCCCTTTCGTACCGCAGTTTTGAAACACTCTTTCTGTATTATCTGGAAGTGAACATTAGGACAGCTTTCAGGTCTATGGTGAGAAAGGAAATATCTTCAAATAAAAACTAGACAGAAGCATTCTCATAAACTTGTTTGTGATGTGTGAACTCAGCTAACAGAGGTGGATCTTTCTTTTGATAGAGCAGTTCTGAAAAACACTTTTTGTTGAATCTGCAAGTGGACATTTGGATAGATTTTAAGATTTCGTTGGAAACGGGAATATCTTCATATCAAATCTAGACAGAAGCATTCTCAGAAACGTCTTTGTGATGTTTGCATTCAACTCATAGAGTTGAACATTCCGTTTCAGAGGGCAGCTTTGAAGCACTCTTTTTGTAGTATGTGCAAGTGGATATTTGGAGCGCTGTGAGGTCTACGGTGAAAAAGCAAATATCTTCCCATAACCACTAGACTGAAACATTCTCAGAAACTCCTTTATGACGTATGTACTCAACTAACAGAGAAGAACCTTCTTTTTGACAGAACAGTTTTGATACACTCTTTTTGTAGAATCTCCAAGTGGATATTTGGATAGCTGTGAAGATTTCGTTGGAAACGGGAATATCTTCCTATAAAATCTAGACAGAAGCATTCTCAGAAACTGCTCTGTGATGTCTGCATTCAAGTCACAGAGTTGAACGGTTGCCTTTCATAGAGCAGGTTTGAAACGCTCTTTTTGTAGTATATGGAAGTGGACTTATCGGACGGTTTGAGGCCCATGGTGATAAAGGGAATATCTTCCCCTACAAGCTAGAAAGAAGCATTGTGTGAAACTTGTTTGTGATGTGTGTACTCAACTAACAGAGTTGAACCTTTCTTTTCACAGAGCAGTATTGAAACACTCTTTTTGTAGAATCTGCGAGGGGATATTTGGATAGATTTCAGCATTTCGTTGGAAACGGGAATATCTTCATATAAAATCTCGACAGAAGCATTCTCAGAAACTTCTTTGTGATATGTGCATTCAAGTCACAGAGTTGAATATTCCCTTTCACAGAGTAGGTTTGAAACACTCTTTTTGTAGTATCTGGAAGTGGACATTTGGAGCGCCTTGACACCTACGGTGAAAAGGGAAATATTTCCCATAAAAACTAGACAGAAGCAATCTCAGAATCTTCTTTGGGATACATGCACGCAGCTAACAGAGTTGAACCTTTCTATTGACAGAGCAGTTTTGAAACAGTCTTTCTGTGTAATCTGCAAGTGGATATTTGGATAGCTTGGAGGATTTCGTTGGAAACGGGATTACGTATAAAAAGTAGACAGCAGCATCCTCAGAAACTTCTTTGTGATGTGTGCATTCAAGTCACAGAGTTCAACATTCCCTTTCGTACAGCAGTTTTGAAACACTCTTTCTGTAGTATCTGGAAGTGAACATTAGGACAGCTTTCAGGTCTATGGTGAGAAAGGAAATATCTTCAAATAAAAACTAGACAGAAAGCATTCTGATAAACTTGTTTGTGAAGTGTGATCTCAGCTAACAGAGGTGGATCTTTCTTTTGATAGAGCAGTTCTGAAAAACACTTTTTGTTGAATCTGCAAGTGGACATTTGGATAGATTTGAAGATTTCGTTGGAAACGGGAATATCTTCATATCAAATCTAGACAGAAGCATTCTCAGAAACGTCTTTGTCATGTTTGCATTCAACTCATAGAGTTGAACATTCCCTTTCAGAGAGCAGCTTTGGAACACTCTTTTTGTAGTATGTGCAAGTGGATATTTGGAGCGCTCTGAGGCCTACGGTGAAAAAGAAAATATCTTCCCATAACCACTAGACAGAAACATTCTCAGAAACTCCTTTATGACGTATGCACTCACCTAACAGAGAAGAACCTTCCTTTTGACAGAGCAGTTTTGATACACTCTTTTTGCAGAATCTGCAACTGGATATTTGGATAGCTGTGAAGATTTCGTTGGAAACGGGAATATCTTCCTATAAAATCTAGACAGAAGCATTCTCAGAAACTGCTCTGTGATGTCTGCATTCAAGTCACAGAGTTGAACATTGCCTTTCATAGAGCAGGTTTGAAACGCTCTTTTTGTAGTATATGGAAGTGGATGTTTCGGACGGTTGGAGGCCCATGGTGATGAAGGGAATATCTTCCCCTACAAGCTAGAAAGAAGCATTCTGTGAAACTTGTTTGTGATGTGTGTACTCAACTAACAGAGTTCAACCTTTCTTTTTACAGAGCAGTTTTGAAACACTCTTTTTGTAGAATCTGCGAGGGGATATTTGGATAGATTTCAGGATTTCATTGGAAACGGGAATATCTTCATATAAAATCTCGACAGAAGCATTCTCAGAAACTTCTTTGTGATATCTGCATTCAAGTCACAGAGTTGAATATTCCCTTTCACAGAGTAGGTTTGAAACACTCTTTTTGTAGTATCTGGAAGTGGACATTTGGAGCGCCTTGACACCTATGGTGAAAAGGGAAATATCTTCCCATAAAAACTAGACAGAAGCAATCTCAGAATCTTCTTTGGGATATATGCACGCAGCTAACAGAGTTGAACCTTTCTATTGACAGAGCAGTTTTGAAACAGTCTTTCTGTGGAATCTGCAAGTGGATATTTGGATAGCTTGGAGGATTTCGTTGGAAACGGGATTACCTATAAAAAGTAGACAGCAGCATCCTCAGAAACTTCTTTGTGATGTGTTCATTCAAGTCACAGAGTTGAACATTCCTTTTCGTACAGCAGTTTTGAAACACTCTTTCTGTAGTATCTGGAAGTGAACATTAGGACAGCTTTCAGGTCTATGGTGAGAAAGGCAATATCTTCAAATAAAAACTAGACAGAAGCATTCTCATAAAACTTGTTTGTGATGTGTGAACTCAGCTAACAGACGTGGATCTTTCTTTTGATAGAGCAGTTCTGAAAAACACGTTTTGTTGAATCTGCAAGTGGACATTTGGATAGATTTGAAGATTTCGTTGGAAACGGGAATATCTTCATATCAAATCTAGACAGAAGCATTCTCAGAAACGTCTTTGTGATGTTTGCATTCAACTCATAGAGTTGAACATTCCGTTTCAGAGACCAGCTTTGAAGCACTCTTTTTGTAGTATGTGCAAGTGGATATTTGGAGCGCTCTGAGGCCTACGGTGTAAAAGCAAATATCTTCCCATAACCACTAGACAGAAACATTCTCAGAAACTCCTTTATGACGTATGCACTCACCTAACAGAGAAGAACCTTCCTTTTGACAGAGCAGTTTTGATGCACTCTTTTTGTAGAATCTGCAAGTGGATATTTGGATAGCTGTGAATATTTCGTTGGAAACGGGAATACCTTCCTATAAAATCTAGACAGAAGCATTCTCAGAAACTGCTCTGTGATGTCTGCATTGAAGTCACAGAATTGAACATTGCCTTTCCTAGAGCAGGTTTGAAACGCTCTTTTTGTAGTATATGGAAGTGGACGTTTCGGACGGTTGGAGGCCCAGGGTGATAAAGGGAATATCTTCCCCTACAAGCTAGAAAGAAGCATTCTGTGAAACTTGTTTGTGATGTGTGTACTCAACTAACGGAGTTGAACCTTTCTTTTTACAGAGCAGTTTTGAAACACTCTTTTTGTAGAATCTGCGAGGGGATATTTGGATAGATTTCAGGATTTCGTTGGAAACGGGAATATCTTCATATAAAATCTCGACAGAAGCATTCTCAGAAGCTTCTTTGTGATATGTGCATTCAAGTCACAGAGTTGAATATTCCCTTTCACAGGGTAGGTTTGAAACACTCTTTTTGTAGTATCTGGAAGTGGACATTTGGAGCGCCTTGACGCCTACGTTGAAAAGGGAAATATCTTCTCATAAAAAGTAGACAGAAGCAATCTCAGAATCTTCTTTGGGATATATGGACACAGCTAACAGAGTTGAACTTTTCTATTGACAGAGCAGTTTTGAAACAGTCTTTCTGTGGAATCTGCAAGTGGATATTTGGATAGCTTGGAGGATTTCGTTGGAAACGGGATTACGTATAAAAAGTAGACAGCAGCATCCTCAGAAGCTTCTTTGTGATGTGTGCATTCAAGTCACAGAGTTGAACATTCCCTTTCGTACAGCAGTTTTGAAACACTCTTTCTGTAGTATCTGGAAGTGAACATTAGGACAGCTTTCAGGTCTATGGTGAGAAAGGAAATATCTTCAAATAAAAACTAGACAGAAGCATTCTCATAAACTTGTTTGTGATGTCTGAACTCAGCTAACAGAGGTGGATCTTTCTTTTGATAGAGCAGTTCTGAAAAACACTTTTTGTTGAATCTGCAAGTGGACATTTGGATAGATTTGAAGATTTCGTTAGAAACGGGAATATCTTCATATCAAATCTAGACAGAAGCATTCTCAGAAACGTCTTTGTGATGTTTGCATTCAACTCATAGAGTTGAACATTCCGTTTCAGAGAGCAGCTTTGAAGCACTCTTTTTGTAGTATGTGCAAGTGGATATTTGGAGCGCTCTGAGGCCTACGGTGAAAAAGGAAATATCTTCCCATAACCATTAGACAGAAACATTCTCAGAAACTCCTTTATGACGTATGCACTCACCTAACTGAGAAGAACCTTCCTTTTGACAGAGCAGTTTTGATACACTCTTTTTGTAGAATCTGCAAGTGGATATTTGGATAGCTGTGAAGATTTCGTTGGAAACGGGAATATCTTCCTATAAAATCTAGACAGAAGCATTCTCAGAAACTGCTCTGTGATGTCTGCATTCAAGTCACAGAGTTGAACATTGCCTTTCATAGAGCAGGTTTGAAACGCTCTTTTTGTAGTATGTGGAAGTGGACGTTTCGGACGGTTTGAGGCCCATGGTGATAAAGGGAATATCTTCCCCTACAAGCTAGAAAGAAGCATTCTGTGAAACTTGTTTGTGATGTGTGTACTCCACTAACAGAGTTGAACCTTTCTTTTTACAGAGCAGTTTTGAAACACTCTTTTTGTAGAATCTGTGAGGGGATATTTGGATAGATTTCAGGATTTCGTTGGAAACGGGAATATCTTCATATAAAATCTCGACAGAAGCATTCTCAGTAAACTTCTTTGTGATATCTGCATTCAAGTCACAGAGTTGAATATTCCCTTTCACAGAGTAGGTTTGAAACACTCTTTTTGTAGTATCTGGAAGTGGACATTTTGAGCGCCTTGACACCTACGGTGAAAAGGGAAATATCTTCCCATAAAAACTAGACAGAAGCAATCTCAGAATCTTCTTTGGGATATATGCACGCAGCTAACAGAGTTGAACCTTTCTATTGACAGAGCGGTTTTGAAACAGTCTTTCTGTGGAATCTGCAAGTGGATATTTGGATAGCTTGGAGGATTTCGTTGGAAACGGGATTAAGTATAAAAAGTAGACAGCAGCATCCTCAGAAACTTCTTTGTGATGTGTGCATTCAAGTCACAGAGTTGAACATTCCCTTTCGTACAGCAGTTTTGAAACACTCTTTCTGTAGTAACTGGAAGTGAACATTAGGACAGCTTTCAGGTCTATGGTGAGAAAGGAAATATCTTCAAATAAAAACTAGACAAAAGCATTGTCATAAACATGTTTGTGATGTGTGAAATCAGCTAACAGAGGTGGATCTTTCTTTTGATAGAGCAGTTCTGAAAAACACTTTTTGTTGAATCTGGAAGTGGACATTTGGATAGATTTGAAGATTTCGTTGGAAACGGGAATATCTTCATATCAAATCTAGACAGAAGCATTCTCAGAAACGTCTTTGTGATGTTTGCATTCAACTCACAGAGTTGAACATTCCCTTTCAGAGAGCAGCTTTGAAGCACTCTTTTTGTAGTATGTGCAAGGGGATATTTGGAGCGCTCTGAGGCCTACGGTGAAAAAGCAAATATCTTCCCATAACCAGTAGACAGAAACATTCTCAGAAACTCCTTTATGACGTATGCACTCACCTAACAGAAAAGAACCTTCCTTTTGACAGAGCAGTTTTGATACACTCTTTTTGTAGAATCTGCAAGTGGATATTTGGATAGCTGTGAAGATTTCGTTGGAAACGGGAATATCTTCCTATGAAATCTAGACAGAAGCATTCTCAGAAACTGCTCTGTGATGTCTGCATTCAAGTCACAGAGTTGAACATTGCCTTTCATAGAGCAG
Organism: Homo sapiens; assembly: GCF_000001405.40. Classification (NCBI taxonomy): domain Eukaryota; kingdom Metazoa; phylum Chordata; class Mammalia; order Primates; family Hominidae; genus Homo; species Homo sapiens. Next base: position 16,780,463 of record NC_000013.11, read on the forward strand.
GTTTGAAACGCTCTTTTTGTACTATATGGAAGTAGACGATTCGGACCGTTTGAGGCCCATGGTGATAAAGGGAATATCTTCCCCTACAAGCTAGAAAGAAGCATTCTGTGAAACTTGTTTGTGATGTGTGTACTCAACTAACAGAGTTGAACCTTTCTTTTTACAGAGCAGTTTTGAAACACTCTTTTTGTAGAATCTGTGAGGGGATATTTGGATAGATTTCAGGATTTCGTTGGAAACGGTAATATCTTCATATAAAATCTCGACAGAAGCATTCTCAGAAACTTCTTTGTGATATGTGCATTCAAGTCACAGAGTTGAATATTCCCTTTCACAGAGTAGGTTTGAAACACTCTTTTTGTAGTATCTGGAAGTGGACATTTGGAGCGCCTTGACGCCTACGGTGGAAAGGGAAATATCTTCCCATAAAAACTGGACAGAAGCAATCTCAGAATCTTCTTTGGGATATATGCACGCAGCTAACAGAGTTGAACCTTTCTATTGACAGACCAGTTTTGAAACAGTCTTTCTGTGGAATCTGCAAGTGGATATTTGGATAGCTTGGAGGATTTCGTTGGAAACGGGATTAAGTATAAAAAGTAGACAGCAGCATCCTCAGAAACTTCTTTGTGATGTGTGCATTCAAGTCACAGAGTTGAACAATCCCTTTCGTACAGCAGTTTTGAAACACACTTTCTGTAGCATCTGGAAGTGAACATTAGGACAGCTTTCAGGTCTATGGTGAGAAAGGAAATATCTTCAAATAAAAACTAGACAGAAGCATTCTCATAAACTTGTTTGTGATGTGTGAACTCAGCTAACAGAGGTGGATCTTTCTTTTGATAGAGCAGTTCTGAAAAACACTTTTTGTTGAATCTGCAAGTGGATATTTGGATAGATTTGAAGATTTCGTTGGAAACGGGAATATCTTCATATCAAATCTAAACAGAAGCATTCTCAGAAACGTCTTTGTGATGTTTGCATTCAACTCATAGAGTTGAACATTCCGTTTCAGAGAGCAGCTTTGAAGCACTCTTTTTGTAGTATGTGCAAGTGGATATTTGGAGCGCTGTGAGGCCTACAGTGAAAAAGCAAATATCTTCCCATAACCACTAGACAGAAACATTCTCAGAAAATCCTTTATGACGTATGTACTCAACTAACAGAGAAGAACCCTCCTTTTGACAGAGCAGTTTTGATACACTCTTTTTGTAGAATCTGCAAGTGGATATATGGATAGCTGTGAAGATTTCGTTGGAAACGGGAATATCTTCCTATAAAATCTAGACAGAAGCATTCTCAGAAACTGCTCTGTGATGTCTGCATTCAAGTCACAGAGTTGAACATTGCCTTTCCTAGAGCAGGTTTGAAACGCTCTTTTTGTAGTATATGGAAGTGGACGGTTCGGACGGTTTGAGGCCCATGGTGATAAAGGGAATATCTTCCCCTACAAGCTAGAAAGAAGCATTCTGTGAAACTTCTTTGTGATGTGTGTACTCAACTAACAGAGTTGAACCTTTCTTTTTACAGAGCAGTTTTGAAACACTCTTTTTATAGAATCTGCGAGGGGATATTTGGATAGATTTCAGGATTTCGTTGGAAACGGGAATATCTTCATATAAAATCTCGACAGAAGCATTCTCAGAAAGTTCTTTGTGATATCTCCATTCAAGTCACCGAGTTGAATATTCCCTTTCACAGAGTAGGTTTGAAACACTCTTTTTGTAGTATCTGGAAGTGGACATTTGGAGCGCCTTGACGCCTACGGTGAAAAGGGAAATATCTTCCCATAAAAACTAGACAGAGCAATCTCAGAATCTTCTTTGGGATATATGCACGCAGCTAACAGAGTTGAACCTTTCTATTGACAGAGCAGTTTTGAAACAGTCTTTCTGTGGAATCTGCAAGTGGATATTTGGATAGCTTGGAGGATTTCGTTGGAAACGGGATTACGTATAAAAAGTAGACAGCAGCATCCTCAGAAACTTCTTTGTGATGTGTGCATTCAAGTCACAGAGTTGAACATTCCCTTTCGTACAGCAGTTTTGAAACACTCTTTCTGTAGTATCTGGAAGTGAACATTAGGACAGCTTTCAGGTCTATGGTGAGAAGGGAAATATCTTCAAATAAATACTAGACAGAAGCTTTCTGATAAACTTGTTTGTGAAGTGTGAACTCAGCTAACAGAGGTGGATCTTTCTTTTGATACAGCAGTTTTGAAAAACACTTTGTTGAATCTGCAAGTGGACATTTGGATAGATTTGAAGATTTCGTTGGAAACGGGAATATCTTCATATCAAATCTAGACAGAAGCATTCTCAGAAACGTCTTTGCGATGTTTGCATTCAACTCATAGAGTTGCACATTCCGTTTCAGAGAGCAGCTTTGAGGCACTCTTTTTGTAGTATGTGCAAGTGGATATTTTGAGCCCTCTGAGGCCTACGGTGAAAAAGCAAATATCTTCCCATAACCACTAGACAGAAACATTCTCAGAAACTCCTTTATGACGTATGTACTCAACTAACAGAGAAGAACCTTCCTTTTGACAGAGCAGTTTTGATACACTCTTTTGTAGTATCTGCAAGTGGATACTTGGATAGCTGTGAAGATTTCATTGGAAACGGGAATATCTTCCTATAAAGTCTGGACAGAAGCATTCTCAGAAACTGCTCTGTGTTGTCTGCATTCAAGTCACAGAGTTGAACATTGCCTTTCATAGAGCAGGTTTGAAACACTCTTTTTGTAGTATATGGAAGTGGACGTTTCGGACGGTTTGAGGCCCATGGTGTTTTAGGGAATATCTTCCCCTACAAGCTAGAAAGAAGCATTCTGTGAAACTTGTTTGTGATGTGTGTACTCAACTAAAAGAGTTGAACCTTTCTTTTTACAGAGCAGTTTTGAAACACTCTTTTTGTAGAATCTGCGAGGGGATATTTGGATAGGTTTCAGGATTTCGTTGGAAACGGGAATATCTTCATATAAAATCTCGACAGAAGCATTCTCAGAAACTTCTTTGTGATATGTGCATTCAAGTCACAGAGTTGAATATTCCCTTTCACAGAGTAGGTTTGAAACACTCTTTTTGTAGTATCTGGAAGTGGACATTTGGAGCGCCTTGACACCTACAGTGAAAAGGGAAATATCTTCTCATAAAAAGTAGACAGAAGCAATCTCAGAATCTTCTTTGGGATATATGCACGCAGCTAACAGAGTTGAACCTTTCTATTGACAGAGCAGTTTTGAAACAGTCTTTTTGTGGAATCTGCAAGTGGATATTTGGATAGCTTGGAGGATTTCTTTGGAAACGGGATTACGTATAAAAAGTAGACAGCAGCATCCTCAGAAACTTCTTTGTGATGTATGCATTCAAGTCCCAGAGTTGAACATTCCCTTTCGTACAGCAGTTTTGAAACACTCTTTCTGTAGTATCTGGAAGTGAACATTAGGACAGCTTTCAGGTCTATGGTGAGAAAGGAAATATCTTCAAATAAAAACTAGACAGAAAGCATTCTCATAAACTTGTTTGTGATGTGTGAACTCAGCTAACAGACGTGGATCTTTCTTTAGATAGAGCAGTTTTGAAAAACACTTTTTGTTGAATCTGCAAGTGGACATTTGGATAGATTTGAAGATTTCGTTGGAAACGGGAATATCTTCATATCAAATCTAGACAGAAGCATTCTCAGAAACGTCTTTGTGATGTTTGCATTCAACTCATAGAGTTGAACATTCCCTTTCAGAGAGCAGCTTTGAAGCACTCTTTTTGTAGCATGTGCAAGTGGACATTTGGAGCGCCCTGAGGCCTACGGGAAAAAGCAAATATCTTCCCATAACCACTAGACAGAAACATTCTCAGAAACTCCTTTATGACGTATGCACTCACCTAACAGAGAAGAACCTTCCTTTTGACAGAGCAGTTTTGATACACTCTTTTTGTAGTATCTGCAAGTGGATATTTGGATAGCTGTGAAGATTTCGTTGGAAACGGGAATATCTTCCTATAAAATCTAGACAGAAGCATTCTCAGAAACTGCTCTGTGATGTCTGCATTCAAGTCACAGAGTTGAACATTGCCTTTCATAGAGTAGGTTTGAAACGCTCTTTTTGTAGTATATGGAAGTGGACGTTTCGGACGGTTTGAGGCCCATGGTGTTAAAGGGAATATCTTCCCCTACAAGCTAGAAAGAAGCATTCTGTGAAACTGGTTTGTAATGTGTGTACTCAACTAACAGAGTTGAACCTTTCTTTTTACAGAGCAGTTTTGAAACACTCTTTTTGTAGAATCTGCGAGGGGATATTTGGATAGATTTCAGGGTTTCGTTGGAAACGGGAATATCTTCATATAAAATCTCGACAGAAGCATTCTCAGAAACTTCTTTGTGATATGTGCATTCAAGTCACAGAGTTGAATATTCCCTTTCACAGAGTAGGTTTGAAACACTCTTTTTGTAGTATCTGGAAGTGGACATTTGGAGCGCCTTGACACCTACGGTGAAAAGGGAAAATATCTTCTCATAAAAAGTAGACAGAAGCAATCTCAGAATCTTCTTTGGGATATATGCACACAGCTAACAGAGTTGAACCTTTCTATTGACAGAGCAGTTTTGAAACAGTCTTTCTGTAGAATCTGCAAGTGGATATTTGGATAGCTTGGAGGATTTCGTTGGAAACGGGATTACGTATAAAAAGTAGACAGCAGCATCCTCAGAAACTTCTTTGTGATGTGTGCATTCAAGTCACAGAGTTGAACATTCCCTTTCGTACAGCAGTTTTGAAACACTCTTTCTGTAGTAACTGGAAGTGAACATTAGGACAGCTTTCAGGTCTATGGTGAGAAAGGAAATATCTTCAATTAAAAACTAGACGGAAGCATTCTCGTAAACTTGTTTGTGATGTGTGGACTCAGCTAACAGAGGCGGATCTTTCTTTTGATAGAGCAGTTCGGGAAAACACTTTTTGTTGAATCTGCAAGTGGACATTTGGATAGATTTGAAGATTTCGTTGGAAACGGGAATATCTTCATATCAAATCTAGACAGAAGCATTCTCAGAAACGTCTTTGTGATGTTTGCATTCAACTCATAGAGTTGAACATTCCGTTTCAGAGGGCAGCTTTGAAGCACTCTTTTTGTAGTATGTGCAAGTGGATATTTGGAGCGCTGTGAGCTCTGCGGTGAAAAAGCAAATATCTTCCCATAACCACTAGACTGAAACATTCTCAGAAACTCCTTTATGACGTATGCACTCACCTAACAGAGAAGAAGCTTCCTTTTGACAGAGCAGTTTTGATACACTCTTTTTGTAGAATCTGCAACTGGATATTTGGATAGCTGTGAAGATTTCGTTGGAAACGGGAATATCTTCCTATAAAATCTAGACAGAAGCATTCTCAGAAACTGCTCTGTGATGTCTGCATTCAAGTCACAGAGTTGAACATTGCCTTTCATAGAGCAGGTTTGAAACGCTCTTTTTGTAGTATATGGAAGTGGACGTTTCGGACGGTTTGAGGCCCATGTTGATAAAGGGAATATCTTCCCCTACAAGCTAGAAAGAAGCATTCTGTGAAACTTGTTTGTGATGTGTGTACTCAACTAACAGAGTTGAACCTTTCTTTTTACAGAGCAGTTTTGAAACACTCTTTTTGTATAATCTGCGAGGGGATATTTGGATACATTTCAGGATTTCGTTGGAAACGGGAATATCTTCATATAAAATCTCGACAGAAGCATTCTCAGAAACTTCCTTGTGTTATGTGCATTCAAGTCACAGAGTTGAATATTCCCTTTCACAGAGTAGGTTTGAAACACTCTTTTTGTAGTATCTGGAAGTGGACATTTGGAGCGCCTTGACGCCTACGGTGAAAAGGGAAATATCTTCCCATAAAAACTAGACAGAAGCAATCTCAGAATTTTCTTTGGGATATATGCACACAGCTAACTGAGTTGAACTTTTCTATTGACATAGCAGTTTTGAAACAGTCTTTCTGTGGAATCTGCAAGTGGATATTTGGATAGCTTGGAGGATTTCGTTGGAAATGGGATTACGTATAAAAAGTAGACAGCAGCATCCTCAGAAATTTCTTTGTGATGTGTGCATTCAAGTCACAGAGTTGAACATTCCCTTTCGTACAGCAGTTTTGAAACACTCTTTCTGTAGTATCTGGAAGTGAACATTAGGACAGCTTTCAGGTCTATGGTGAGAAAGGAAATATCTTTAAATAAAAACTAGACAGAAGCATTCTCATAAACTTGTTTGTGATGTGTGAACTCAGCTAACAGAGGTGGATCTTTCTTTTGATAGAGCAGTTCTGAAAAACACGTTTTGTTGAATCTGCAAGTGGACATTTGGATAGATTTGAAGATTTCGTTGGAAACGGGAATATCTTCATATCAAATCTAGAAAGAAGCATTCTCAGAAACGTCTTTGTGATGTTTGCATTCAACTCATAGAGTTGAACATTCCCTTTCAAAGAACAGCTTTGAAGCACTCTTTTTGTAGTATGTGCAAGTGGATATTTGGAGCGCTCTGAGGCCTACGGTGAAAAAGCAAATATCTTCCCATAACCACTAGACAGAACATTCTCAGAAACTCCTTTATGACGTATGCACTCACCTAACAGAAAAGAACCTTCCTTTTGACAGAGCAGTTTTGATACACTCTTTTTGTAGAATCTGCAAGTGGATATTTGGATAGCTGTGAAGATTTCGTTGGAAACGGGAATATCTTCCTATAAAATCTAGACAGATAAGCATTCTCAGAAACTGCTCTGTGATGTCTGCATTCAAGTCACAGAGTTGAACATTGCCTTTCATAGAGCAGGTTTGAAACGCTCTTTTTGTAGTATATGGAAGTGGATGTTTCGGACGGTTGGAGGCCCATGGTGATAAAGGGAATATCTTCCCCTACAAGCTAGAAAGAAGCATTCTGTGAAACTTGTTTGTGATGTGTGTACTCAACTAACAGAGTTGAACCTTTCATTTTACAGAGCAGTTTAGAAACACTCTTTTTGTAGAATCTGCGAGGGGATATTTGGATAGATTTCAGGATTTCGTTGGAAACGGGAATATCTTCATTTAAAATCTCGACAGAAGCATTCTCAGAAACTTCCTTGTGATATGTGCATTGAAGTCACAGAGTTGAATATTCCCTTTCACAGAGTAGGTTTGAAACACTCTTTTTGTAGTATCTGGAAGTGGACATTTGGAGCGCCTTGACACCTACTGTGAAAAGGGAAATATCTACCCATAAAAACTAGACAGAAGCAATCTCAGAATCTTCTTTGGGATATATGCACGCAGCTAACAGAGTTGAACCTTTCTATTGACAGAGCGGTTTTGAAACAGTCTTTCTGTGGAATCTGCAAGTGGATATTTGGATAGCTTGGAGGATTTCGTTGGAAACGGGATTAAGTATGAAAAGTAGACAGCAGCATCCTCAGAAACTTCTTTGTGATGTGTGCATTCAAGTCACAGAGTTGAACATTCCCTTTCATACAGCAGTTTTGAAACACTCTTTCTGTAGTATCTGGAAGTGAACATTAGGACAGCTTTCAGGTCTATGGTGAGAAAGGAAATATCTTCAAATAAAAACTAGACAGAAGCATTCTCATAAACTTGTTTGTGATGTGTGAACTCAGCTAACAGAGGTGGATCTTTCTTTTGATAGAGCAGTTGTGAAAAACACTTTTTGTTGATTATGCAAGTGGATATTTGGATAGATTTGAAGATTTCGTTGGAAACGGGAATATCTTCATATCAAATCTAGACAGAAGCATTCTCAGAAACGTCTTTGTGATGTTTGCATTCAACTCATAGAGTTGAACATTCTGTTTCAGAGAGCAGGTTTGAAGCACTCTTTTTGTAGTATGTGCAAGTGGATATTTGGAGCGCTCTGAGGCCTACGGTGAAAAAGCAAATATCTTCCCATAACCACTAGACAGAAACATTCTCAGAAACTCCTTTATGACGTATGCACTCACCTAACAGAAAAGAACCTTCCTTTTGACAGAGCAGTTCTGATACACTCTTTTTGTAGAATCTGCAAGTGGATATTTGGATAGCTGTGAAGATTTCGTTGGAAACGGGAATATCTTCCTATAAAATCTAGACAGAAGCATTCTCAGAAACTGCTCTGTGATGTCTGCATTCAAGTCACAGAGTTGAACATTGCCTTTCATAGAGCAGGTTTGAAACGCTCTTTTTGTAGTATATGGAAGTGGATGTTTCGGACGGTTGGAGGCCCATGGTGATAAAGGGAATATCTTCCCCTGCAAGCTAGAAAGAGAGCATTCTGTGAACTTGTTTGTGATGTGTGTACTCAACTAACAGAGTTGAACCTTTCTTTTTACAGAGCAGTTTTGAAACACTCTTTTTGTAGAATCTGCGAGGGGATATTTGGATAGATTTCAGGATTTCGTTGGAAACGGGAATATCTTCATATAAAATCTCGACAGAGCATTCTCAGAAACTTCTTTGTGATATGTGCATTCAAGTCACAGAGTTGAATATTCCCTTTTACAGAGTAGGTTTGAAACACTCTTTTTGTAGTATCTGGAAGTGGACATTTGGAGCGCCTTGACGCCTACGGTGAAAAGGGAAATATCTTCTCATAAAAACTAGACAGAAGAAATCTCAGAATCATCTTTGGGATATATGCACGCAGCTAACAGAGTTGAACCTTTCTATTGACAGAGCAGTTTTGAAACAGTCTTTCTGTGGAATCTGCAAGTGGATATTTGGATAGCTTGGAGGATTTCGTTGGAAACGGGATTAGGTATAAAAAGTAGACAGCAGCATCCTCAGAAACTTCTTTGTGATGTGTGCATTCAAGTCACAGAGTTGAACATTCCCTTTCGTACAGCAGTTTTGAAACACTCTTTCTGGAGTATCTGGAAGTGAACATTAGGACAGCTTTCAGCTCTATGGTGAGAAAGGTAATATCTTCAAATAAAAACTAGACAGAAGCATTCTCATAAACTTGTTTGTGATGTGTGAACTCAGCTAACAGACGTGGATCTTTCTTTTGATACAGCAGTTTTGAAAAACACTTTTTGTTGAATCTGAAAGTGGACATTTGGATAGATTTGAAGATTTCCTTGGAAACGGGAATATCTTCATATCAAATCTAGACAGAAGCATTCTCAGTAAACGTCTTTGTGATGTTTGCATTCAACTCATAGAGTTGAACATTCCGTTTCAGAGACCAGCTTTGAAGCACTCTTTTTGTAGTATGTGCAAGTGGATATTTGGAGCGCTCTGAGGCCTACGGTGAAAAAGCAAATATCTTCCCATAACGACTAGACAGAAAACATTCTCAGAAACTCCTTTATGACGTATGCACTCACCTAACAGAGAAGAACCTTCCTTTTGACAGAGCAGTTTTGATACACTCTTTTTGTAGAATCTGCAAGTGGATATTTTGATACCTGTGAATATTTCGTTGGAAACGGGAATATCTTCCTATAAAATCTAGACAGAAGCATTCTCAGAAACTGCTCTGTGATGTCTGCATTCAAGTCACAGAGTTGAACATTGCCTTTCATAGAGCAGGTTTGAAAGGCTCTTTTTGTAGTATATGGAAGTGGACGTTTCGGACGGTTGGAGGCCCATGGTGATAAAGGGAATATCTTCCCCTACAAGCTAGAAAGAAGCATTCTGTGAAACTTGTTTGTTATGTGTGTACTCAACTAACAGAGTTGAACCTTTCTTTTTACAGAGCAGTTTTGAAACACTCTTTTTGTAGAATCTGCGAGGGGATATTTGGATAGATTTCAGGATTTTGTTGGAAACCGGAATATCTTTATATAAAATCTCGACAGAAGCATTCTCGGAAGCTTCTTTGTGATATGTGCATTCAAGTCACAGAGTTGAATATTCCCTTTCACAGAGTAGGTTTGAAACACTCTTTTTCTAGTATCTGGAAGTGGACATTTGGAGCGCCTTGATGCCTACGGTGAAAAGGGAAATATCTTCTCATAAAAAGTAGACAGAAGCAATCTCAGAATCTTCTTTGGGATATATGCACGCAGCTAACAGAGTTGAACCTTTCTATTGACAGAGCAGTTTTGAAACAGTCTTTCTGTGGAATCTGCAAGTGGATATTTGGATAGCTTGGAGGATTTCGTTGGAAACGGTATTACGTATAAAAAGTAGACAGCAGCATCCTCAGAAACTTCTTTGTGATGTGTGCATTCAAGTCACAGAGTTGAACATTCCCTTTCGTACAGCAGTTTTGAAACACTCTTTCTGTAGTATCTGGAAGTGAACATTAGGACAGCTTTCAGGTCTATGGTGAGAAAGAAAATATCTTCAAATAAAAACTAGACAAAAGCATTCTCATAAACTTGTTTGTGAAGTGTGAACTCAGCTAACAGAGGTGAATCTTTCTTTTGATAGAGCAGTTCTGAAAAACACTTTTTGTTGAATCTGCAAGTGGACATTTGGATAGATTTGAAGATTTCGTTGGAAACGGGAATATCTTCATATCAAATCTAGACAGAAGCATTCTCAGAAACGTCTTTGTGATGTTTGCATTCAACTCATAGAGTTGAACATTCCCTTTCAGAGAGCAGCTTTGAAGCACTCTTTTTGCAGTATGTGCAAGTGGATATTTGGAGCGCTCTGAGGCCTACGGGGAAAAAGCAAATATCTTCCCATAACCACTAGACAGAAACATTCTCAGGAACTCCTTTATGATGTATGCACTCACCTAACAGAGAAGAACCTTCCTTTTGACAGAGCAGTTTTGATACACTCTTTTTGTAGAATCTGCAAGTTTATATTTGGATAGCTGTGAAGATTTCGTTGGAAACGGGAATATCTTCCTATAAAATCTAGACAGAAGCATTCTCAGAAACTGCTCTGTGATGTCTGCATTCAAGTCACAGAGTTGAACATTGCCTTTCATAGAGCAGGTTTGAAATGCTCTTTTTGTAGTATATGGAAGTGGAAGTTTCAGACGGTTTGAGGCCCATGGTGATAAAGGGAATATCTTCCCCTACAAGCTAGAAAGAAACATTCTGTGAAACTTGTTTGTGATGTGTGTACTCAGCTAACAGAGTTGAACCTTTCTTTTTACAGAGCAGTTTTGAAACACTCTTTTTGTAGAATCTGCGAGGGGATATTTGGATAGATTTCAGGATTTCGTTGGAAAAGGGAATATCTTCATATAAAATCTCGACAGAAGCATTCTCAGAAACTTCTTTGTGATATCTGCATTCAAGTCACAGAGTTGAATATTCCCTTTCACAGAGTAGGTTTGAAACACTCTTTTTGTAGTATCTGGAAGTGGACATTTGGAGCGCCTTGACGCCTACGGTGAAAAGGGAAATATCTTCTCATAAAAAGTAGACAGAAAGCAATCTCAGAATCTTCTTTGGGATATATGCACGCAGCTAACAGAGTTGAACCTTTCTATTGACAGAGCAGTTTTGAAACAGTCTTTCTGTGGAATCTGCAAGTGGATATTGGGATAGCTTGGAGGATTTCGTTGGAAACGGGATTACGCATAAAAAGTAGACAGCAGCATCCTCAGAAACTTCTTTGTGATGTGTGCATTCAAGTCACAGAGTTGAACATTCCCTTTCGTACAGCAGTATTGAAACACTCTTTCTGTAGCATCTGGAAGTGAACATTAGGACAGCTTTCAGGTCTATGGTGAGAAAGGAAATATCTTCAAATAAAAACTAGACAGAAGCATTCTCATAAACTTGTTTGTGATGTGTGAACTCAGCTAACAGAGGTGGATTTTTCTTTTGATAGAGCAGTTCTGAAAAACACTTTTTGTTGAATCTGCAAGTGGACATTTGGATAGATTTGAAGATTTCGTTGGAAACGGGAATATCTTCATATCAAATCTAGACAGAAGCATTCTCAGAAACGTCTTTGTGATGTTTGCATTCAACTCACAGAGTTGAACATTCCCTTTCAGAGAGCAGCTTTGAAGCACTCTTTTTGTAGTATGTGCAAGGGGATATTTGGAGTGCTCTGAGGCCTACGGTGAAAAAGCAAATATCTTCCCATAACCACTAGACAGAAACATTCTCAGAAACTCCTTTATGACGTATGCACTCACCTAACAGAAAAGAACCTTCCTTTTGACAGAGCAGTTTTGATACACTCTTTTTGTAGAATCTGCAAGTGGATATTTGGATAGCTGTGAAGATTTCGTTGGAAACGGGAATATCTTCCTATAAAATCTACACAGAAGCATTCTCAGAAACTGCTCTGTGATGTCTGCATTCAAGTCACAGAGTTGAACATTGCCTTTCATAGAGCAGGTTTGAAACGCTCTTTTTGTAGTATATGGAAGTGGACGTTTCAGACGGTTTGAGGCCCATGGTGTTAAAGGGAATATCTTCCCCTACAAGCTAGAAAGAAGCATTCTGTGAAACTTGTTTGTGATGTGTGTACTCAACTAACAGAGTTGAACCTTTCTTTTTACAGAGCAGTTTTGAAACACTCTTTTTGTAGAATCTGCGAGGGAATATTTGGATAGATTTTAGGATTTCGTTGGAAACGGGAATATCTTCATATAAAATCTCGACAGAAGCATTCTCAGAAGCTTCTTTGTGATATGTGCACTCAAGTCACAGAGTTGAACATTCCCTTTCACAGAGTAGGTTTGAAACACTCTTTTTGTAGTATCTGGAAGTGGACATTTGGAGCGCCTTGACGCCTACGGTGAAAAGGGAAATATCTTCCCATAAAAACTAGACAGAAAGCAATCTCAGAATCTTCTTTGGGATATATGCACGCAGCTAACAGAGTTGAACCTTTCTATTGACAGAGCAGTTTTGAAACAGTCTTTCTGTGGAATCTGCAAGTGGATATTTGGATAGCTTGGAGGATTTCGTTGGAAACGGGATTACGTATAAAAAGTAGACAGCAGCATCCTCAGAAACTTCTTTGTGATGTGTGCATTCAAGTCACAGAGTTGAACATTCTCTTTCGTACAGCAGTTTTGAAACACTCTTTCTGTAGTATCTGGAAGTGAACATTAGGACAGCTTTCAGGTCTATGGTGAGAAAGGAAATATCTTCAAATAAAAACTAGACAGAAGCATTCTCATAAACTTGTTTGTGATGTGTGAACTCAGCTAACAGAGGTGGATCTTTCTTTTGATAGAGCAGTTCTGAAAAACACGTTTTGTTGAATCTGCAAGTGGACATTTGGATAGATTTGAAGATTTCGTTGGAAAAGGGAATATCTTCATATCAAATCTAGACAGAAGCATTCTCAGAAACGTCTTTGTGATGTTTGCATTCAACTCATAGAGTTGAACATTCCGTTTCAGAGACCAGCTTTGAGGCACTCTTTTTGTAGTATGTGCAAGTGGATATTTGGAGCGCTCTGAGGCCTACGGTGAAAAAGCAAATATCTTCCCATAACGACTAGACAGAAACATTCTCAGAAACTCCTTTATGACGTATGCACTCACCTAACAGAGAATAACCTTCCTTTTGACAGAGCAGTTTTGATACACTCTTTTTGTAGGATCTGCAAGTGGATATTTGGATAGCTGTGAAGATTTCGTTGGAAACGGGAATATCTTCCTATAAAATCTAGACAGAAGCATTCTCAGAAACTGCTCTGTGATGTCTGCATTCAAGTCACAGAGTTGAACATTGCCTTTCCTAGAGCAGGTTTGAAACGCTCTTTTTGTAGTATATGGAAGTGGATGTTTCGGACGGTTGGAGGCCCATGGTGATAAAGGGAATATCTTCCCCTACAAGCTAGAAAGAAGCATTCTGTGAAACTTGTTTGTGATGTGTGTACTAAACTAACAGAGTTGAACCTTTCTTTTTACAGAGCAGTTTTGAAACACTCTTTTTGTAGAATCTGCGAGGGGATATTTGGATAGATTTCAGGATTTCGTTGGAAACGGGAATATCTTCATATAAAATCTCGACAGAAGCATTCTCAGAAACTTCTTTGTGATATGTGCATTCAAGTCACAGAGTTGAATATTCCCTTTCACAGAGTAGGTTTGAAACACTCTTTTTGTAGTATCTGGAAGTGGACATTTGGAGCGCCTTGAGGCCTACGGTGAAAAGGGAAATATCTTCTCATAAAAAGTAGACAGAAAGCAATCTCAGAATCTTCTTTGGGATATATGCACGCAACTAACAGAGTTGAACCTTTCTATTGACAGAGCAGTTTTGAAACAGTCTTTCTGTGGAATCTGCAAGTGGATATTTGGATAGCTTGGAGGATTTCTTTGGAAATGGGATTACGTATAAAAAGTAGACAGCAGCATCCTCAGAAACTTCTTTGTGATGTGTGCATTCAAGTCACAGAGTTGAACATTCCCTTTCGTACAGCAGTTTTGAAACACTCTTTCTGTAGTATCTGGAAGTGAACATTAGGACAGCTTTCAGGTCGATGGTGAGAAAGGGAATATCTTCAAATAAAAACTAGACAGAAGCATTCTCATAAACTTGTTTGTGATGTGTGAACTCAGCTAACAGACGTGGATCTTTCTTTTGATACAGCAGTTTTGAAAAACACTTTTTGTTGAATCTGCAAGTGGACATTTGGATAGATATGAAGATTTCGTTGGAAACGGTAATATCTTCATATCAAATCTAGACAGAAGCATTCTTGGAAACGTCTTTGTGATGTTTGCATTCAACTCATAGAGTTGAACATTCCGTTTCAGAGAGCAGCTTTGAAGCATTCTTTTTGTAGTATGTGCATGGGGATATATGGAGCGCTCTGAGGCCTAAGGTGAAAAAGCAAATATCTTCCCATAACCACTACACAGAAACATTCTCAGAAACTCCTTTATGACGTATGCACTCACCTAACAGAGAAGAACCTTCCTTTTGACAGAGCAGTTTTGATAAACTCATTTTGTAGAATCTGCAAGTGGATATTTGGATAGCTGTGAAGATTTCGTTGGAAACGGGAGTATCTTCCTATAAAATCTAGACAGAAGCATTCTCAGAAACTGCTCTGTGATGTCTGCATTCAAGTCACAGAGTTGAACATTGCCTTTCATAGAGCAGGTTTGAAACGCTCTTTTTGTAGTACATGGAAGTGGACGTTTCGGACGGTTTGAGGCCCATGGTGATAAAGGGAATATCTTCCCCTACTAGCTAGAAAGAAGCATTCTGTGAAACTTGTTTGTGATGTGTGTACTCAACTAACAGAGTTGAACCTTTCTTTTTACAGAGCAGTTTTGAAACACTCTTTTTGTAGAATCTGCGAGGGGATATTTGGATAGATTTCAGGATTTCGTTGGAAAGGGGAATATCTTCATATAAAATCTGGACAGAAGCATTCTCAGAAACTTCTTTGTGGTATGTGCATTCAAGTCACAGAGTTGAATATTCCCTTTCACAGAGTAGGTTTGAAACACTCTTTTTGTAGTATCTGGAAGTGGACATTTTTAGCGCCTTGACGCCTACAGTGAAAAGGGAAATATCTTCCCATAAAAACTAGACAGAAGCAATCTCAGAATCTTCTTTGGGATATATGCACGCAGCTAACAGAGTTGAACCTTTTTATTGACAGAGCAATTTTGAAACAGTCTTGCTGTGGAATCTGCAAGTGGATATTTGGATAGATTAGAGGATTTCGTTGGAAACGGGATTACGTATAAAAAGTAGACAGCAGCATCCTCAGAAACTTTTTTGTGATGTGTGCATTCAAGTCACAGAGTTGAACATTCCCTTTCGTACAGCAGTTTTGAAACACCCTTTCTGTAGTATCTGGAAGTGAACATTAGGACAGCTTTCAGGTCTATGGTGAGAAAGGAAATATCTTCAAATAAAAACTAGACAGAAGCATTCTCATAAACTTGTTTGTGATGTGTGAACTCAGCTAACAGAGATGGATCTTTCTTTTGATAGAGCAGTTCTGAAAAACACTTTTTGTTGAATCTGCAAGTGGACATTTGGATAGATTTGAAGATTTCGTTGGAAACGGGAATATCTTCATATCAAATCTAGACAGAAGCATTCTCAGAGACGTCTTTGTGATGTTTGCATTCAACTCATAGAGTTGAACATTCCGTTTCAGAGAGCAGCTTTGAGGCACTCATTTTTGTAGTATGTGCAAGTGGATATTTGGAGCGCTCTGAGGCCTACGGTGAAAAAGCAAATATCTTCCCATAACCACTAGACAGAAACATTCTCAGAAACTCCTTTATGACGTGTGTACTCATCTAACAGAGAAGAACCTTCCTTTTGACAGAGCAGTTTTGATACACTCTTTTTGTAGAATCTGCAAGTGGATATTGGGATAGCTGTGAAGATTTCGTTGGAAACGGGAATATCTTCCTATAAAATCTAGACAGAAGCACTTCTCAGAAACTGCTCTGTGATGTCTGCATTCAAGTCACAGAGTTGAACATTGCCTTTCATAGAGCAGGTTTGAAACGCTCTTTTTGTAGTATATGGAAGTGGACGTTTCGGACGGTCTGAGGCCCATGGTGATAAAGGGAATATCTTCCCCTATAAGCTAGAAAGAAGCATTCTGTGAAACTTGTTTGTGATGTGTGTACTCAAGTAACAGAGTTGAACCTTTCTTTTTACAGAGCAGTTTTGAAACACTCTTTCTGTAGAATCTGCGACGGGATATTTGGATAGATTTCAGGATTTCGTTGGAAACGGGAATATCTTCATATAAAATCTCGACAGAAGCATTCTCAGAAACTTCTTTGTGATATCTGCCTTCAAGTCACAGAGTTGAATATTCCCTTTCACAGAGTAGGTTTGAAACACTCTTTTTGTAGTATCTGGAAGTGGACATTTGGAGTGCCTTGACGCCTACGGTGACAAGGGAAATATCTTCCCATAAAAACTAGACAGAAGCAATCTCAGAATCTTCTTTGGGATATATGCACGCAGCTAACAGAGTTCAACCTTTCTATTGACAGAGCAGTTTTGAAACAGTCTTTCTGTGGAATCTGCAAGTGGATATTTGGATAGCTTGGAGGATTTCGTTGGAAACGGGATTACGTATAAAAAGTAGACAGCAGCATCCTCAGAAACTTCTTTGTGATGTGTGCATTCAAGTCACAGAGTTGAACATTCCCTTTCGTACAGCAGTTTTGAAACACTCTTTCTGTAGTATCTGGAAGTGAACATTAGGAGAGCTTTCAGGTCTATGGTGAGAAAGGAAATATCTTCAAATAAAAACTAGACAGAAGCATTCTGATAAACTTGTTTGTGAAGTGTGAACTCAGCTAACAGAGGTGGATCTTTCTTTTGATTGAGCAGTTCTGAAAAACACTTTTTGTTGAATCTGCAAGTGGACATTTGGATAGATTTGAAGATTTCGTTGGAAACGGGAATATCTTCATATCAAATCTAGACAGAAGCATTCTCAGAAACGTCTTTGCGATGTTTGCATTCAACTCATAGAGTTGAACATTCCGTTTCAGAGAGCAGCTTTGAGACACTCTTTTTGTAGTATGTGCAAGTGGATATTTGGAGTGCTCTGAGGCCTACGGTGAAAAAGCAAATATCTTCCCATAACCACTAGACAGAAACATTCTCAGAAACTCCTTTATGACGTATGTACTCAACTAACAGAGAAGAACCTTCCTTTTGACAGAGGAGTTTTGATACACTCTTTTTGTAGAATCTGCAAGTGGATATTTGGATAGCTGTGAAGATTTCGTTGGAAACGGGAATATCTTCCTATAAAATCTAGACAGAAGCATTCTCAGAAACTGCTCTGTGATGTCTGCATTCAAGTCACAGAGTTGAACATTGCCTTTCCTAGAGCAGGTTTGAAACGCTCTTTTTGTAGTATATGGAAGTGGACGTTTTGGACGGTTTGAGGCCCATGGTGATAAAGGGAATATCTTCCCCTACAAGCTAGAAAGAAGCATTCTGTGAAACTTGTTTGTGATGTGTGTACTCAACTAACAGAGTTGAACCTTTCTTTTTACAGAGCAGTTTTGAAACACTCTTTTTGTAGAATCTGCGAGGGGATATTTGGAGAGATTTCAGGATTTCGTTGGAAACGGGAATATCTTCATATAAAATCTCGACAGAAGCATTCTCAGTAAACTTCTTTGTGATATGTGCATTCAAGTCACAGAGTTGAATATTCCCTTTCACAGAGTAGGTTTGAAACACTCTTTTTGTAGTATCTGGAAGTGGACATTTGGAGCGCCTTGACGCCTACGGTGAAAAGGGAAATATCTTCCCATAAAAACTAGACAGAAGCAATCTCAGAATCTTCTTTGGGATATATGCACGCAGCTAACAGAGTTGAACCTTTCTATTGACAGCAGTTTTGAAACAGTCTTTCTGTGGAATCTGCCAGTGGATATTTGGATAGCTTGGAGGATTTCGTTGGAAACAGGATTACGTATAAAAAGTAGACAGCAGCATCCTCAGAAACTTCTTTGTGATGTGTGCATTCAAGTCACAGCAGTTGAACATTCCCTTTCGTACAGCAGTTTTGAAACACTCTTTCTGTAGTATCTGGAAGTGAACATTAGGACAGCTTTCAGGTCTATGGTGAGAAAGGAAATATCTTCAAATAAAAACTAGACAGAAGCATTCTAATAAACTTGTTTGTGAAGTGTGAACTCAGCTAACAGTGGTGGATCTTTCTTTTGATACAGCAGTTTTGAAAAACACTTTGTTGAATCTGCAAGTGGACATTTGGATAGATTTGAAGATTTCGTTGGAAACGGGAATATCTTCATATCAAATCTAGACAGAAGCATTCTCAGAAACGTCTTTGTGATGTTTGCATTCAACTCATAGAGTTGAACATTCCCTTTCAGAGAGCAGCTTTGAAGCACTCTTTTTGTAGCATGTGCAAGTGGACATTTGGAGCGCCCTGAGGCCTATGGGGAAAAAGCAAATATCTTCCCATAACCACTAGACAGAAACATTCTCAGAAACTCCTTTATGACGTATGCACTCACCTAACAGAGAAGAACCTTCCTTTTGACAGAGCAGTTTTGATACACTCTTTTTGTAGAATCTGCAAGTGGATATTGGGATAGCTGTGAAGATTTCGTTGGAAACGGGAATATCTTCCTATGAAATCTAGACAGAAGCATTCTCAGAAACTGCTCTGTGATGTCTGCTTTCAAGTCACAGAGTTGAACATTGCCTTTCCTAGAGCAGGTTTGAAACGCTCTTTTTGTAGTATATGGAAGTGGATGTTTCGGACGGTTTTAGGCCCATGGTGATAAAGGGAATATCTTCCCCTACAAGCTAGAAAGAAGCATTCTGTGAAACTTGTTTGTGATGTGTGTACTGAACTAACAGAGTTGAACCTTTCTTTTTACAGAGCAGTTTTGAAACACTCTTTTTGTAGAATCTGTGAGGGGATATTTGGATAGATTTCAGGATTTCGTTGGAAACGGGAATATCTTCATATGAAATCTCGACAGAAGCATTCTCAGAAACTTCCTTGTGATATGTGCATTCAAGTCACAGAGTTGAATATTCCCTTTCACAGAGTAGGTTTGAAACACTCTTTTTGTAGAATCTGGAAGTGGACATTTGGAGCGCCTTGACACCTACGGTGAAAAGGGAAATATCTTCCCATAAAAACTAGACAGAAGCAATCTCAGAATCTTCTTTGGGATATATGGACGCAGCTAACAGAGTTGAACCTTTCTATTGACAGAGCAGTTTTGAAACAGTCTTTCTGTGGAATCTGCAAGTGGATATTTGGATAGCTTGGAGGATTTCGTTGGAAACGGGATTACGTATAAAATGTAGACAGCAGCATCCTCAGAACCTTCTTTGTGATGTGTGCATTCAAGTCACAGAGTTCAACATTCCCTTTCGTACAGCAGTTTTGAAACACTCTTTCTGTAGTAACTGGAAGTGAACATTAGGACAGCTTTCAGGTCTATGGTGAGAAAGGAAATATCTTCAAATAAAAACTAGACAGAAGCATTCTGATAAACTTGTTTGTGAAGTGTGAACTCAGCTAACAGTGGTGGATCTTTCTTTTCATACAGCAGTTTTGAAAAACACTTTGTTGAATCTGCAAGTGGACATTTGGATAGATTTGAAGATTTCGTTGGAAACGGGAATATCTTCATATCAAATCTAGACAGAAGCATTCTCAGAAACGTCTTTGTGATGTTTGCATTCAACTCATAGATTTGAACATTCCGTTTCAGAGAGCAGCTTTGAAGCACTCTTTTTGTAGTATGTGCAAGTGGATATTTGGAGAGCTCTGACGCCTACGGTGAAAAAGCAAATATCTTCCCATAACCACTAGACAGAAACATTCTCAGAAACTCCTTTATGACGTATGTACTCAACTAACAGAGAAGAACCTTCCTTTTGACAGAGCAGTTTTGATACACTCTTTTTGTAGAATCTGCAAGTGCATATTTGGATAGCTGTGAAGATTTCGTTGGAAACGGGAATATCTTCCTATAAAATCTAGACAGAAGCATTCTCAGAAACTGCTCTGTGATGTCTGCATTCAAGTCACAGAGTTGAACATTGCCTTTCATAGAGCAGGTTTGAAATGCTGTTTTTGTAGTATATGGAAGTGGACGTTTCGGACGGTTTGAGGCCCATGGTGATAAAGGGAATATCTTCCCCTACAAGCTAGAAAGAAGCATTCTGTGAAACTTGTTTGTGATGTGTGTACTCAACTAACAGAGTTGAACCTTTCTTTTTGCAGAGCAGTTTTGAAACACTCTTTTTGTAGAATCTGCGAGGGGATATTTGGATAGATTTCAGGATTTCGTTGGAAACGGGAATATCTTCATATAAAATCTCGACAGAAGCATTCTCAGAAACTTCCTTGTGATATGTGCATTCAAGTCACAGAGTTGAATATTCCCTTTCACAGAGTAGGTTTGAAACACTCTTTTTGTAGTATCTGGAAGTGGACATTTGGAGCGCCTTGACGCCTACGGTGAAAAGGGAAATATCTTCCCATAAAAACTAGACACAAGCAATCTCAGAATTTTCTTTGGGATATATGCACACAGCTAACAGAGTTGAACTTTTCTATTGACATAGCAGTTTTGAAACAGTCTTTCTGTGGAATATGCAAGTGGATATTTCGATAGCTTGGAGGATTTCGTTGGAAACGGGATTACGTATAAAAAGTAGACAGCAGCATCCTCAGGAAACTTCTTTGTGATGTGTGCATTCAAGTCACAGCAGTTGAACATTCCCTTTCGTACAGCAGTTTTGAAACACTCTTTCTGTAGTATCTGGAAGTGAACATTAGGACAGCTTTCAGCTCTATGGTGAGAAAGGAAATATCTTCAAATAAAAACTAGACAGAAGCATTCTCATAAACTTCTTTGTGATGTGTGAACTCAGCTAACCGAGGTGGATCTTTCTTTTGATAGAGCAGTTCTGAAAAACACTTTTTGTTGAATCTGCAGGTGGACATTTGGATAGATTTGAAGATTTCGTTGGAAACGGGAATAACTTCATTTCAAATCTAGACAGAAGCATTCTCAGAAACGTCTTTGTGATGTTTGCATTCAACTCATAGAGTTGAACATTCCCTTTCAGAGAGCAGCTTTGAAGCACTCTTTTTGTAGTATGTGCAAGTGGATATTTGGATCGCTCTGAGGCCTAAGGTGAAAAAGCAAATATCTTCCCATAACCACTAGACAGAAACATTCTCAGGAACTCCTTTATGATGTATGCACTCACCTAACAGAGAAGAACCTTCCTTTTGACAGAGCAGTTTTGATACACTCTTTTTGTAGAATCTGCAAGTGGATATTTGGATAGCTGTGAAGATTTCGTTGGAAACGGGAATATCTTCCTATAAAATCTAGACAGAAGCATTCTCAGGAACTGCTCTGCGATGTCTGTATTCAAGTCACAGGGTTGAACATTGCCTTTCATAGAGCAGGTTTGAAACGCTCTTTTTGTAGTATATGGAAGTGGACGTTTCGGACGGTTTGAGGCCCATGGTGATAAAGGGAATATCTTCCCCTACAAGCTAGAAAGAAGCATTCTGTGAAACTTGTTTGTGATGTGTACTCAACTAACAGAGTTGAACCTTTCTTTTTACAGAGCAGTTTTGAAACACTCTTTTTGTAGAATCTGCGAGGGGATATTTGGATAGATTTCAGGATTTCGTTGGAAACGGGAATGTCTTCATATAAAATCTCGACAGAAGCATTCTCAGAAACTTCTTTGTGATATCTGCATTCAAGTCACAGAGTTGAATATTCCCTTTCACAGAGTAGGTTTGAAACACTCTTTTTGTAGTATCTGGAAGTGGACATTTGGAGCGCCTTGACGCCTACGGTGAATAGGGAAATATCTTCCCATAAAAACTAGACAGAAGCAATCTCAGAATTTTCTTTGGGATGTATGCACATAGCTAACAGAGTTGAACCTTTCTTTTTACAGAGCAGTTTTGAAACACTCTTTTTGTAGAATCTGCAAGTGGATATTTGGATAGCTTGGAGGATTTCGTTGGAAACGGGATTACGTATAAAAAGTAGACGGCAGCATCCTCAGAAACATCCTTGTGATGTGTGCATTCAAGTCACAGAGTTGAACATTCCCTTTCGTACAGCAGTTTTGAAACACTCTTTCTGTAGTATCTGGAAGTGAACTTTAGGAGAGCTTTCAGGTCTATAGTGAGAAAGGATATATCTTCAAATAAAAACTAGACAGAAGCATTCTCATAATCTTGTTTGTGATGTGTGAACTCAGCTAACAGAGGTGGATCTTTCTTTTGATAGAGCAGTTCTGAAAAACACTTTTTGTTGAATCTGCAAGTGGACATTTGGATAGATTTGAAGATTTCGTTGGAAACGGGAATATCTTCATATCAAATCTAGACAGAAGCATTCTCAGAAACGTCTTTGCGATGTTTGCATTCAACTCATAGAGTTGAACATTCCCTTTCAGAGAGCAGCTTTGAAGCACTCTTTTTGTAGCATGTGCAAGTGGACATTTGGAGCGCCCTGAGGCCTACGGGGAAAAAGCAAATATCTTCCCATAACCACTAGACAGAAACATTCTCAGAAACTGCTTTATGACGTATGCACTCACCTAACAGAGAAGAACCTTCCTTTTGACAGAGCAGTTTTGATACACTCTTTTTGTAGAATCTGCAAGTAGATATTTGGATAGCTGTGAAGATTTCGTTGGAAACGGGAATATCTTCCTATAAAATCTAGACAGAAGCATTCTCAGAAACTGCTCTGTGATGTCTGCATTCAAGTCACAGAGTTGAACATTGCCTTTCATAGAGCAGGTTTGAAACGCTCTTTTTGTAGTATAGGGAAGTGGATGTTTCGGACGGTTTGAGGCCCATGGTGATAAAGGGAATATCTTCCCCTACAAGCTAGAAAGAAGCATTCTGTGAAACTTGTTTGTGATGTATGTACTCAACTAACAGAGTTGAACCTTTCTTTTTACAGAGCAGTTTTGAAACACTCTTTTTGTAGAATCTGCGAGGGGATATTTGGATAGATTTCAGGATTTCGTTGGAAACGGGAATATCTTCATATAAAATCTCGACAGAAGCATTATCAGAAACTTCTTGGTGATATGTGCATTCAAGTCACAGAGTTGAATATTCCCTTTCACAGAGTAGGTTTGAAACACTCTTTTTGTAGTATCTGGAAGTGGACATTTGGAGCGCCTTGACGCCTACGGTGAAAAGGGAAATATCTTCCCATAAAAACTAGACAGAAGCAATCTCAGAATCTTCTTTGGTATATATGCACGCAGCTAATAGAGTTGAACCTTTCTATTGACAGAGCAGTTTTGAAACAGTCTTTCTGTGGAATCTGCAAGTGGATATTTGGATAGCTTGGGGGATTTCTTTGGAAAAGGGATTACGTATAAAAAGTAGACAGCAGCATCCTCAGAAACTTCTTTGTGATGTGTGCATTCAAGTCACAGAGTTGAACATTCCCTTTCGTACAGCAGTTTTGAAACACTCTTTCTGTAGTATCTGGAAGTGAACATGAGGACAGCTTTCAGGTCTATGGTGAGAAAGGAAATATCTTCAAATAAAAACTAGACAGAAGCATTCTCATAAACTTGTTTGTGATGTGTGAACTCAGCTAACAGAGGTGGATCTTTCTTTTGATAGAGCAGTTCTGAAAAACACTTTTTGTTGAATCTGCAAGTGGACATTTCGATAGATTTGAAGATTTCGTTGGAAACGGGAACATCTTCATATCAAATCTAGACAGAAGCATTTTCAGAAACGTCTTTGTGATGTTTGCATTCAACTCATAGAGTTGAACATTCCGTTTCAGAGAGCAGTTTTGAGGCACACTTTTTGTAGTATGTGCAAGTGGATATTTGGAGCGCTCTGAGGCCTACGGTGAAAAAGCAAATATCTTCCCATAACCACTAGACAGAAACATTCTCAGAAACTCCTTTATGACGTATGCACTCACCTAACAGAAAAGAACCTTCCTTTTGATAGAGCAGTTTTGATACACTCTTTTTGTAGAATCTGCAAGTGGATATTTGGATAGCTGTGAAGATTTCGTTGGAAACGGGAATATCTTCCTATAAAATCTAGACAGAAGCATTCTCAGAAACTGCTCTGTGATGTCTGCATTCAAGTCACAGAGTTGAACATTGCCTTTCCTAGAGCAGGTTTGAAACGCTCTTTTTGTAGTATATGGAAGTGGACGTTTCGGACGGTTTGAGGCCCATGGTGATAAAGGGAATATTCTTCCCCTACAAGCTAGAAAGAAGCATTCTTTGAAACTTGTTTGTGATGTGTGTACTCAACTAACAGAGTTGAACCTTTCTTTTTACAGAGCAGTTTTGAAACACTCTTTTTGTAGAATCTGCGAGGGGATATTTTGATACATTTCAGCATTTCGTTGGAAACGGGAATATCTTCATATCAAATCTAGACAGAAGCATTCTCAGAAAGTTCTTTGTGATATCTGCACTCAAGTCACAGAGTTGAATATTCCCTTTCACAGAGTAGGTTTGAAACACTCTTTTTGTAGTATCTGGAAGTGGACATTTGGAGCGCCTTGACACCTACGGTGAAAAGGGAAATATCTTCCGATAAAAACTAGACAGAAGCAATCTCAGAATCTTCTTTGGGATATATGCACGCAGCTAACAGAGTTGAACCTTTCTATTGGCAGAGCAGTTTTGAAACAGTCTTTCTGTGGAATCTGCAAGTGGATATTTGGATAGCTTGGAGGATTTCGTTGGAAACGGGATTACGTATAAAAAGTAGACAGCAGCATCCTCAGAAACTTCTTTGTGATGTGTGCATTCAAGTCACAGAGTTGAACATTCCCTTTTGTACAGCAGTTTTGAAACACTCTTTCTGTAGTATCTGGAAGTGAACATTAAGACAGCTTTCAGGTCTATGGTGAGAAAGGAAATATCTTCAAATAAAAACTAGACAGAAGCATTCTCATAAACTTGTTTGTGATGTGTGAACTCAGCTAACAGAGGTGGATCTTTCTTTTGATAGAGCAGTTCTGAAAAACACTTTTTGTTGAATCTGCAAGTGGACATTTGGATAGATTTGAAGATTTCGTTGGAAACGGGAATATCTTCATATCAAATTTTGACAGAAGCATTCTCAGAAACGTCTTTGTGATGTTTGCATTCAACTCATAGAGTTGAACATTCCGTTTCAGAGAGCAGCTTTGAAGCACTCTTTTTGTAGTATGTGCAAGGGGATATTTGGAGCGCTCTGAGGCCTAAGGTGAAAAAGCAAATATCTTCCCATAACCACTAGACAGAAACATTCTCAGAAACTCCTTTATGACGTATGCACTCACCTAACAGAGAATAACCTTCCTTTTGACAGAGCAGTTTTGATACACTCTTTTTGTAGAATCTGCAAGTGGATATTTGGATAGCTGTGAAGGTTTCGTTGGAAACGGGAATATCTTCCTATAAAATCTAGACAGAAGCATTCTCAGAAACTGCTCTGTGATGTCTGCATTCAAGTCACAGAGTTGAACATTGCCTTTCATAGAGCAGGTTTGAAACGCTCGTTTTGTAGTATATGGAAGTGGACTTTTCGGACGGTTTGAGGCCCATGGTGATAAAGGGAATATCTTCCCCTACAAGCTAGAAAGAAGCATTCTGTGAAACTTGCTTGTGATGTTTGTACTCAACTAACAGAGTTGAACCTTTCTTTTTACAGAGCAGTTTTGAAACACTCTTTTTGTAGAATCTGCGAGGGGATATTTGGATAGATTTCAGGATTTCGTTGGAAACGGGAATATCTTCATATAAAATCTCGACAGAAGCATTCTCAGAAACTTCTTTGTGATATGTGCATTCAAGTCACAGAGTTGAATATTCCCTTTCACAGAGTAGGTTTGAAACACTCTTTTTGTAGTATCTGGAAGTGGACATTTGTAGCGCCTTGACGCCTACGGTGAAAAGGGAAATATCTTCCCATAAAAACTAGACAGAAGCAATCTCAGAATCTTCTTTGGGATATATGCACGCAGCTAACAGAGTTGAACCTTTCTATTGACAGAGCAGTTTTGAAACAGTCTTTCTGTGGAATCTGCAAGTGCATATTTGGATAGCTTGGAGGATTTCGTTGGAAACGGGATTACGTATAAAAATTAGACAGCAGCATCCTCAGAAACTTCTTTGTGCGGTGTGCATTCAAGTCACAGAGTTGAACATTCCCTTTCGTACAGCAGTTTTGAAACACTCTTTCTGTAGTATCTGGAAGTGAACATTAGGACAGCTTTCAGGTCTATGGTGAGAAAGGAAATATCTTAAAATAAAAACTAGACAGAAGCATTCTCATAAACTTGTTTGTGATGTGTGAACTCAGCTAACAGAGGTGGATCTTTCTTTTGATAGAGCAGTTCTGAAAAACACTTTTTGTTGAATCTGCAAGTGGACATTTGGATAGATTTGAAGATTTCGTTGCAAACGGGAATATCTTCATATCAAATCTAGACAGAAGCATTCTCAGAAAAGTCTTTGTGATGTTTGCATTCAACTCACAGAGTTGAACATTCCCTTTCAGAGAGCAGCTTTGAAGCACTCTTTTTGTAGTATGTGCAAGGGGATATTTGGAGCGCTCTGAGGCCTACGGTGAAAAAGCAAATATCTTCCCATAACCACTAGACAGAAACATTCTCAGAAACTCCTTTATGACGTATGCACTCACCTAACAGAGAAGAACCTTTCTTTTGACAGAGCAGTTTTCATACACTCTTTTGGTAGAATCTGCAAGTGGATATTTGGATAGCTGTGAAGATTTCGTTGGAAACGGGAATATCTTCCTATAAAATCTAGACAGAAGCATTCTCAGAAACTGCTCTGTGATGTCTGCATTCAAGTCACAGAGTTGAACATTGCCTTTCATAGAGCAGGTTTGAAATGCTCTTTTTGTAGTATATGGAAGTGGACGTTTCGGACGGTTTGAGGACCACGGTGATAAAGGGAATATCTTCCCCTACAAGCTAGAAAGAACAATTCTGTGAAACTTGTTTGTGATGTGTGTACTCAACTAACAGAGTTGAACCTTTCTTTTTACAGAGCAGTTTTGAAACACTCTTTTTGTAGAATCTGCGAGGGGATATTTGGATACATTTCAGGATTTCGTTGGAAACGGGAATATCTTCATATAAAATCTCGACAGAAGCATTCTCAGCAAACTTCTGTGTGATATCTGCATTCAAGTCACAGGAGTTGAATATTCCCTTTCACCGAGTAGGTTTGAAACACTCTTTTTGTAGTATCTGGAAGTGGACATTTGGAGCGCCTTGACGCCTACGGTGTAAAGGGAAATATCTTCCCATAAAAACTAGACAGAAGCAATCTCAGAATCGTCTTTGGGATATATGCACGCAGCTAACAGAGTTGAACCTTTCTATTGACAGAGCAGTTTTGAAACAGTCTTTCTGTGGAATCTGCAAGTGGATATTTGGATAGCTTGGAGGATTTCGTTGGAAACAGGATTACGTATAAAAAGTAGACAGCCAGCATCCTCAGAAACTTCTTTGTGATGTGTGCATTCAAGTCACAGAGTTGAACATTCCCTTTCGTACAGCAGTTTTGAAACACTCTTCCTGTAGTATCTGGAAGTGAACATTAGGACAGCTTTCAGCTCTATGGTGAGAAAGGAAATATCTTCAAATAAAAACTAGACAGAGCATTCTCATAAACTTCTTTGTGATGTGTGAACTCAGCTAACCGAGGTGGATCTTTCTTTTGATAGAGCAGTTCTGAAAAACACTTTTTGTTGAATCTGCAAGTGGACATTTGGATAGATTTGAAGATTTCGTTGGGAACGGGAATATCTTCATATCAAATCTAGACAGAAGCATTCTCAGAAACGTCTTTGTGATGTTGGCATTCAACTCATAGAGTTGAACATTCCGTTTCAGAGAGCAGTTTTGAAGCACTCTTTTTGTAGTATGTGCAAGGGGATATTTTGAGCGCTCTGAGGCCTAAGGTGAAAAAGCAAATATCTTCCCATAACCACTAGACAGAAACATTCTCAGAAACTCCTTTATGACGTATGCACTCACCTAACAGAAAAGAACCTTCCTTTTGACAGAGCAGTTTTGAAACACTCTTTTTGTAGAATCTGCAAGTGGATATTTGGATAGCTGTGAAGATTTCGTTGGAAACGGGAATATCTTCCTATAAAATCTAGACAGAAGCATTCTCAGAAACTGCTCTGTGATGTCTGCATTCAAGTCACAGAGTTGAACATTGCCTTTCATAGAGCAGGTTTGAAACGCTCTTTTTGTAGTATATGGAAGTAGACGTTTCAGACGGTTTGAGGCCCATGGTGATAAAGGGAATATCTTCCCCTACAAGCTAGAAAGAAGCATTCTGTGAAACTTGTTTGTGATGTGTGTACTCAACTAACAGAGTTGAACCTTTCTTTTCACAGAGCAGTTTTGAAACACTCTTTTTGTAGAATCTGCGAGCGGATATTTGGATAGATTTCAGGATTTCGTTGGAAACGGGAATATCTTCATATAAAATGCTCGACAGAAGAATTCTCAGAAACTTCTTTGTGATATGTGCATTCAAGTCACAGAGTTGAATATTCCCTTTCACAGAGTAGGTTTGAAACACTCTTTTTGTAGTATCTGGAAGTGGACATTTGGAGCGCCTTGACGCCTACGGTGGAAAGGGAAATATCTTCCCATAAAAACTAGACAGAAGCAATCTCAGAATCTTCTTTGGGATATATGCACGCAGCTAACAGAGTTGAACCTTTCTGTTGACAGAGCAGTTTTGAAACAGTCTTTCTGTGGAATCTGCAAGTGGATATTTGGATAGCTTGGAGGATTTCGTTGGAAACGGGATTACGTATAAAAAGTAGACAGCAGCATCCTCAGAAACTTCTTTGTGATGTGTGCATTCAAGTCACAGAGTTGAACATTCCCTTTCGTACAGCAGTTTTGAAACACTTTTTCTGTAGCATCTGGAAGAGAACATTAGGACAGCTTTCAGGTCTAGGGTGAGAAAGGCAATATCTTCAAATAAAAACTAGACAGAAGCATTCTCATAAACTTGTTTGTGATGTGTGAACTCAGCTAACAGAGGTGGATCTTTCTTTTGATACAGCAGTTCTGAAAAACACTTTTCGTTGAATCTGCAAGTGGACATTTGGATAGATTTGAAGATTTCGTTGGAAACGGGAATATCTTCATATCAAATCTAGACAGAAGCATTCTCAGAAACGTCTTTGTGATGTTTGCATTCAACTCATAGAGTTGAACATTCCGTTTCAGAGATCAGCTTTGAAGCACTCTTTTTGTAGTATGTGCAAGTGGATATTTGGATCGCTCTGAGGCCTAAGGTGAAAAAGCAAATATCTTCCCATAACCACTAGACAGAAACATTCTCAGAAACTCCTTTATGACGTATGCACTCACCTAACAGAGAAGAACCTTCCTTTTGACAGAGCAGTTTTGATACACTCTTTTTGTAGAATCTGCAAGTGGATATTTGGATAGCTGTGAAGATTTCGTTGGAAACGGGAATATCTTCCTATAAAATCTAGACTGAAGCATTCTCAGAAACTGCTCTGCGATGTCTGCATTCAAGTCACTGAGTTGAACATTGCCTTTCATAGAGTAGGTTTGAAACGCTCTTTTTGTAGTATATGGAAGTAGACGTTTCGGACGGTTTGAGGCCCATGGTGATAAAGGGAATATCTTCCCCTACAAGCTAGAAAGAAGCATTCTGTGAAACTTGTTTGTGATGTGTGTACTCAACTAACAGAGTTGAACCTTTCTTTTTAAAGAGCAGTTTTGAAACACTCTTTTTGTAGAATCTGCGAGGGGATATTTGGATACATTTCAGGATTTCGTTGGAAACGGGAATATCTTCATATAAAATCTCGACAGAAGCATTCTCAGAAACTTCTTTGTGATATCTGCATTCAAGTCACAGAGTTGAATATTCCCTTTCACAGAGTAGGTTTGAAACACTCTTTTTGTAGTATCTGGAAGTGGACATTTGGAGCGCCTTGACGCCTACGGTGAAAAGGGAAATATCTTCTCATAAAAACTAGACAGAAGCAATCTCAGAATCTTCTTTGGGATATATGCACGCAGCTAACAGAGTTGAACCTTTCTATTGACAGAGCAGTTTTGAAACAGTCTTTCTGTGGAATCTGCAAGTGGATATTTGGATAGATTGGAGGATTTCGTTGGAAACGGGATTACGCATAAAAAGTAGACAGCAGCATCCTCAGAAACTTCTTTGTGATGTGTGCATTCAAGTCACAGAGTTGAACATTCCCTTTCGTACAGCAGTTTTGAAACACTCTTTCTGTAGTATCTGGAAGTGAACATTAAGACAGCTTTCAGCTCTATGGTGAGAAAGGAAATATCTTCAAATAAAAACTAGACAGAAGCATTCTCATAACCTTGTTTGTGATGTGTGAACTCAGCTAACAGAGGTGGATCTTTCTTTTGATAGAGCAGTTCTGAAAAACACTTTTTGTTGAATCTGCAAGTGGATATTTGGATAGATTTGAAGATTTCTTTGGAAACGGGAATATCTTCATATCAAATCTAGACAGAAGCATTCTCAGAAACGTCTTTGTGATGTTTGCATTCAACTCATAGAGTTGAACATTCCCTTTCAGAGAGCAGCTTTGAAGCACTCTTTTTGTAGTATGTGCAAGGGGATATTTTGAGCGCTGTGAGGCCTAAGGTGAAAAAGCAAATATCTTCTCATAACCACTAGACACAAACATTCTCAGAAACTCCTTTATGACGTATGCACTCACCTAACTGAGAAGAACCTTCCTTTTGACAGAGCAGTTTTGATACACTCTTTTTGTAGAATCTGCAAGTGGATATTTGGATAGCTGTGAAGATTTCGTTGAAAACGGGAATATCTTCCTATAAAATCTAGACAGAAGCATTCTCAGAAACTGCTCTGTGATGTCTGCATTCAAGTCACAGAGTTGAACATTGCCTTTCCTAGAGCAGGTTTGAAACGCTCTTTTTGTAGTATATGGAAGTTGACGTTTCGGACGGTTTGAGGCCCATGGTGATAAAGGGAATATCTTCCCCTACAAGCTAGAAAGAAGCATTGTGTGAAACTTGTTTGTGATGTGTGTACTCAACTAACAGAGTTGAACCTTTCTTTTCACAGAGCAGTTTTGAAACACTCTTTTTGTAGAATCTGCAAGGGGATATTTGGATAGATTTCAGGATTTCGTTGGAAACGGGAATATCTTCATATAAAATCTCGACAGAAGCATTCTCAGAAACTTCTTTGGAATATGTGTATTCAAGTCACAGAGTTGAATACTCCCTTTCACAGAGTAGGTTTGAAACACTCTTTTTGTAGTATCTGGAAGTGGACATTTGGAGCGCCTTGACGCCTACAGTGAAAAGGGAAATATCTTCCCATAAAAACTAGACAGAAGCAATCTCAGAATCTTCTTTGGGATATATGCACGCAGCTAACAGAGTTGAACCTTTCTATTGACAGAGCAGTTTTGAAACAGTCTTTCTGTGGAACCTGCAAGTGGATATTTGGATAGCTTGGAGGATTTCGTTGGAAACGGGATTACGTATAAAAAGTAGACAGCAGCATCCTCAGAAACTTCTTTGTGATGTGTGCTTTCAAGTCACAGTGTTGAACATTCCCTTTCGTACAGTAGTTTTGAAACACTCTTTCTGTAGTATCTGGAAGTGAACATTAGGACAGCTTGCAGGTCTATGGTGAGAAGGGAAATATCTTCAAATAAAAACTAGACAGAAGCATTCTCATAAACATGTTTGTGATATGTGAACTCAGCTAACAGAGGCGGATCTTTCTTTTGATAGAGCAGTTCGGAAAAACACTTTTTGTTGAATCTGCAAGTGGACATTTGGATAGATTTGAAGATTTCGTTGGAAACGGGAATATCTTCATATCAAATCTAGACAGAAGTATTCTCAGACACGTCTTTGTGATGTTTGCATTCAACTCATAGAGTTGAACATTCCCTTCCAGAGAGCAGCTTTGAAGCACTCTTTTTGTAGCATGTGCAAGTGGACATTTGGAGTGCCCTGAGGCCTACGGGGAAAAAGCAAATATCTTCCCGTAACCACTAGACAGAAACATTCTCAGAAACTCCTTTATGACGTATGCACTCACCTAACAGAGAAGAACCTTCCTTTTGACAGAGCAGTTTTGATACACTCTTTTTGTACAATCTGCAAGTGGATATTTGGATAGCTGTGAAGATTTCGTTGGAAACGGGAATATCTTCCTATAAAATCTACACAGAAGCATTCTCAGAAACTGCTCTGTGATGTCTGCATTCAAGTCACAGAGTTGAACATTGCCTTTCATAGAGCAGGTTTGAAACGCTCTTTTTGTAGTATATGGAAGTGGACTTATCGGACGGTTTGAGGCCCATGGTGATAAAGGGAATATCTTCCCCTGCAAGCTAGAAAGAAGCATTCTGTGAAACTTGTTTGTGATGTGTGTACTCAACTAACAGAGTTGAACCTTTCTTTTCACAGAGCAGTTTTGAAACACTCTTTTTGTAGAATCTGCGAGGGGAAATTTGGATACATTTCAGGATTTCGTTGGAAACGGGAATATCTTCATACAAAATCTCGACAGAAGCATTCTCAGAAACTTCTTTGTGATATGTGCATTCAAGTCACAGAGTTGAATATTCCCTTTCACAGAGTAGGTTTGAAACACTCTTTTTGTAGCATCTGGAAGTGGACATTTGGAGCGCCTTGACTCCTACGGTGAAAAGGGAAATATCTTCCCATAAAAACTAGACAGAAGCAATCTCAGAATCTTCTTTGGGATATATGCACGCAGCTAACAGAGTTGAACCTTTCTATTGACAGAGCAGTTTTGAAACAGTCTTTCTGTGGAATCTGCAAGTGGATATTTGGATAGCTTGGAGGGTTTCGTTGTAAACGGGATTACGTATAAAAAGTAGACAGCAGCATCCTCAGAAACTTCTTTGTGATGTGTGCATTCAAGTCACAGAGTTGAACATTCCCTTTCGTACAGCAGTTTGAAACACTTTCTGTAGTATCTGGAAGTGAACATTAGGACAGCTTTCAGGTCTATGGTGAGAAAGGAAATATCTTCAAATAAAAACTAGACAGAAGCATTCTCATAAACTTGTTTCTGATGTGTGAACTAAGCTAACAGAGGTGGATCTTTCTTTTGATAGAGCAGTTCTGAAAAACACTTTTTGTTGAATCTGCAAGTGGATATTTGGATAGATTTGAAGATTTCGTTGGAAACGGGAATATCTTCATATCAAATCTAGACAGAAGCATTCTCAGAAAAGTCTTTGTGATGTTTGCATTCAACTCATAGAGTTGAACATTCCCTTTCAGAGAGCAGCTTTGAAGCACTCTTTTTGTAGTATGTGCAAGTGGATATTTGGAGCGCTCTGAGGCCTATGGTGAAAAAGCAAATATCTTCCCATAACCACTAGACAGAAACATTCTCAGAAACTCCTTTATGACATATGCACTCACCTAACAGAGAAGAACCTTCCTTTTGACAGAGCAGTTTTGATACACTCTTTTTGTAGAATCTGCAAGTGGATATTTGGATAGCTGTGAAGATTTCGTTGGAAACGGGAATATCTTCCTATAAAATCTAGACAGAAGCATTCTCAGAAACTGCTCTGTGATGTCTGCATTCAAGTCACAGAGTTGAACATTGCCTTTCATAGAGCAGGTTGTAAATGCTCTTTTTGTAGTATATGGAAGTGGACATTTCGGACGGTTTGAGGCCCATGGTGATAAAGGGAATATCTTCCCCTACAAGCTAGAAAGAAGCATTCTGTGAAACTTGTTTGTGATGTGTGTACTCAACTAACAGAGTTGAACCTTTCTTTTCACAGAGCAGTTTTGAAACACTCTTTTTGTAGAATCTGCGAGGGGATATTTGGATAGATTTCAGGATTTCGTTGGAAACGGGAAAATATCTTCATATAAAATCTCGACAGAGAAGCATTCTCAGAAACTTCTTTGTGATATCTGCATTCAAGTCACAGAGTTGAATATTCCCTTTCACAGAGTAGGTTTGAAACACTCTTTTTGTAATATCTGGAAGTGGACATTTGGAGCGCCTTGACGTCTACGGTGAAAAGGGAAATATCTTCCCATAAAAACTAGACAGAAGCAATCTCAGAATCTTCTTTGGGATATATGCAGGCAGCTAACAGAGTTGAACCTTTCTATTGACAGAGCAGTTTTGAAACAGTCTTTCTGTGGAATCTGCAAGTGGATATTTGGATAGATTGGAGGATTTCGCTGGAAACGGGATTACGTATAAAAAGTAGACAGCAACATCCTCAGAAACTTCTTTGTGATGTGTGCATTCAACTCACAGAGTTGAACATTCCCTTTCGTACAGCAGTTTTGAAACACTCTTTCTGTAGTATCTGGAAGTGAACATTAGGACAGCTTTCAGCTCTATGGTGAGAAAGGAAATATCTTCAAATAAAAACTAGACAGATAAGCATTCTCATAAACTTGTTTGTGATGTGTGAACTCAGCTAACAGAGGTGGATCTTTCTTTTGATAGAGCAGTTCGGAAAAACACTTTTTGTTGAATCTCCAAGTGGACATTTGGATAGATTTGAAGATTTCGTTGGAAACGGGAATATCTTTATATCAAATCTAGACAGAAGCATTCTCGGAAACGTCTTTGTCATGTTTGCATTCACCTCATAGAGTTGAACATTCCGTTTAAGAGAGCAGCTTTGAAGCACTCTTTTTGTAGTATGTGCAAGGGGATATTTGGAGCGCTCTGAGGCCTAAGGTGAAAAAGCAAATATCTTCCCATAACCACTAGACAGAAACATTCTCAGAAACTCCTTTATGACGTATGTACTCACCTAACAGAGAAGAACCTTCCTTTTGACAGAGCAGTTTTGATACACTCTTTTTGTAGAATCTGCAAGTGGATATTTGGATAGCTGTGAAGATTTCGTTGGAAACGGGAATATCTTCCTATAAAATGTAGACAGACAAGCATTCTCAGAAACTGCTCTGTGATGTCTGCATTCAAGTCACAGAGTTGAACATTGCCTTTCATAGAGCAGGTTTGAAACTCTCTTTTTGTAGTATATGGAAGTAGACGTTTCGGACGGTTTGAGGCCCATGGTGATAAAGGGAATATCTTCCCCTACAAGCTAGAAAGAAGCATTGTGTGAAACTTGTTTGTGATGTGTGTACTCAACTAACAGAGTTGAACCTTTCTTTTTACAGAGCAGTTTTGAAACACTCTTTTTGTAGAATCTGCGAGGGGATATTTGGATACATTTCAGCATTTCGTTGGAAACGGGAATATATTCATATAAAATCTCGACAGAAGCATTCTCAGAAACTTCTTTGTGATATGTGCATTCAAGTCACAGAGCTGAATATTCCCTTTCACAGAGTAGGTTTGAAACACTCTTTTTGTAGTATCTGGAAGTGGACATTTGGAGCGCCTTGACACCTACGGTGAAAAGGGAAATATCTTCCCATAAAAACTAGACAGAAGCAATCTCAGAATCTTCTTTGGGATATATGCACGCAGCTAACAGAGTTGAACCTTTCTATTGACAGAGCAGTTTTGAAACAGTCTTTCTGTGGATTCTGCAAGTGGATATTTGGATAGGTTGGAGGATTTCGTTGGAAACGGGATTACGTATAAAAAGTAGACAGCAGCATCCTCAGAAACTTCTTTGTGATGTGTGCATTCAAGTCACAGAGTTCAACATTCCCTTTCGTACAGCAGTTTTGAAACACTCTTTCTGTAGTATCTGGAAGTGAACATTAGGACAGCTTTCAGGTCTATGGTGAGAAAGGAAATATTCTTCAAATAAAAACTAGACAGAAGCATTCTCATAAACTTGTTTGTGATGTGTGAACTCAGCTAACAGAGGTGGATCTTTCTTTTGATAGAGCAGTTCTGAAAAACACTTTCTGTTGAATCTGCAAGTGGACATTTGGATAGATTTGAAGATTTCGTTGGAAACGGGAAGATCTTCATATCAAATCTAGACAGAAAGCATTCTCAGAAACGTCTTTGTGATGTTTGCATTCAACTCATAGAGTTGAACATTCCCTTTCAGAGAGCAGCTTTGAAGCACTCTTTTTGTAGTATGTGCAAGTGGATATTTGGAGCGCTCTGAGGCCTACGGTGAAAAAGCAAATATCTTCCCATAACCACTAGACAGAAACATTCTCAGAAACTCCTTTATGACGTATGCACTCACCTAACAGAAAAGAACCTTCCTTTTGACAGAGCAGTTTTGATACACTCTTTTTGTAGAATCTGCAAGTGGATATTTGGATAGCTGTGAAGATTTCGTTGGAAACGGGAATATCTTCCTATAAAATTTAGACAGAAGCATTCTCAGAAACTGCTCTGTGATGTCTGCATTCAAGTCACAGAGTTGAACATTGCCTTTCATAGAGCACGTTTGAAACGCTCTTTTTGTAGTATATGGAAGTAGACTTTTCGGACGGTTTGAGGCCCATAGTGATAAAGGGAATATCTTCCCCTACAAGATAGAAAGAAGCACTCTGTGAAACTTGTTTGTGATGTGTGTATTCAACTAACAGAGTTGAACCTTTCTTTTTACAGAGCAGTTTTGAAACACTCTTTTTGTAGAATCTGCAAGGGGATATTTGGATAGATTTCAGGATTTCGTTGGAAACGGGAATATCTTCATATAAAATCTCGACAGAAGCATTCTCAGAAACTTCTTTGTAATATGTGCATTCAAGTCACAGAGTTGAATATTCCCTTTCACAGAGTAGGTTTGAAACACTCTTTTTGTAGTATCTGGAAGTGGACATTTGGAGCGCCTTGACACCTATGGTGAAAAGGGAAATATCTTCCCATAAAAAGTAGACAGAAGGAATCTCAGAATCTTCTTTGGGATATATGCACGCAGCTAACAGAGTTGAACCTTTCTATTGACAGAGCAGTTTTGAAACAGTCTTTCTGTGGAATCTGCAAGTGGATATTTGGATAGCTTGGAGGATTTCGTTGGAAACGGGATTACGTATCAAAAGTAGACAGCAGCATCCTCAGAAACTTCTTTGTGATGTGTGCATTCAAGTCACAGACTTGAACATTCCCTTTCGTACAGCAGTTTTGAAACACTCTTTCTGTAGTATCTGGAAGTGAACATTAGGACAGCTTTCAGCTCTATGGTGAGAAAGGAAATATCTTCAAATAAAAACTAGACAGAAGCATTCTCATAAACTTGTTTGTGATGTGTGAACTCAGCTAACAGAAGTGGATCTTTCTTTTGATAGAGCAGTTCTGAAAAACACTTTTTGTTGAATCTGCAAGTGGACATTTGGATAGATTTGAAGATTTCCTTGGAAACGGGAATATCTTCATATCAAATCTAGACAGAAGCATTCTCAGAAACGTCTTTGTGATGTTTGCATTCAACTCATAGAGTTGAACATTCCCTTTAAGAGAGCAGCTTTGAAGCACTCTTTTTGTAGCATGTGCAAGTGGACATTTGGAGCGCCCTGAGGCCTACGGGGAAAAAGAAAATATCTTCCCATAACCACTAGACAGAAACATTCTCAGAAACTGCTTTATGACGTATGCACTCACCTAACAGAGAAGAACCTTCCTTTTGACAGAGCAGTTTTGATACACTCTTTTTGTAGAATCTGCAAGTGGATATTTGGATAGCTGTGAAGATTTCGTTGGAAACGGGAATATCTTCTTATAAAATCTAGACAGAAGCATTCTCAGAAACAGCTCTGTGATGTCTACATTCAAGTCACAGAGTTGAACATTGCCTTTCATAGAGCAGGTTTGAAACGCTCTTTTTGTAGTATATGGAAGTGGACGTTTCGGACGGTTTGAGACCCATGGTGATAAAGGGAATATCTTCCCCTACAAGCTAGAAAGAAGCATTCTGTGAAACTTGTTTGTGATGTGTGTACTCAACTAACAGAGTTGAACCTTTCTTTTTACAGAGCAGTTTTGAAACACTCTTTTTGTAGAATCTGCGAGGGGATATTTGGATAGATTTCAGCATTTCGTTGGAAACGGGAATATCTTCATATAAAATCTCGACAGAAGCATTCTCAGAAACTTCTTTGTCATATCTGCCTTCAAGTGACAGAGTTGAATATTCCCTTTCACAGAGTAGGTTTGAAACACTCTTTTTGTAGTATCTGGAAGTGGACATTTGGAGTGCCTTGACGCCTACGGTGAAAAGGGAAATATCTTCCCATAAAAACTAGACAGAAGCAATCTCAGAATCTTCTTTGGGATATATGTACGCAGCTAATAGAGTTGAACCTTTCTATTGACAGAGCAGTTTTGAAACAGTCTTTCTGTGGAATCTGCAAGGGGATATTTGGATAGCTTGGAGGATTTCGTTGGAAACGGGATTACGTATAAAAAGTAGACAGCAGCATCCTCAGAAACATCCTTGTGATGTGTGCATTCAAGTCACAGAGTTGAACATTCCCTTTCGTACAGCAGTTTTGAAACACTCTTTCTGTAGTATCTGGAAGTGAACATTAGGACAGCTTTCAGGTCTATGGTGAGAAAGGAAATATCTTCAAATAAAAACTAGACAGAAGCATTCTCATAAACTTGTTTGTGATGTGTGAACTCAGCTAACAGAGGTAGATCTTTCTTTTGATAGAGCAGTTCTGAAAAACACTTTTTGTTGAATCTGCAAGTGGACATTTGGATAGATTTGAAGATTTCGTTGGAAACGGGAATATCTTCATATCAAATCTAGACAGAAGCATTCTCAGAAACGTCTTTGCGATGTTTGCATTCAACTCATAGAGTTGAACATTCCCTTTGAGAGAGCAGCTTTGAAGCACTCTTTTTGTAGCATGTGCAAGTGGACATTTGGAGCGCCCTGAGGCCGACGGGGAAAAAGCAAATATCTTCCCATAACCACTAGACAGAAACATTCTCAGAAAATCCTTTATGACCGTATGCACTCACCTAACAGAGAAGAACCTTCCTTTTGACAGAGCAGTTTTGATACACTCTTTTTGTAGAATCTGCAAGTGGATATTTGGATAGCTGTGAAGATTTCGTTTGAAACGGGAATATCTTCCTATAAGATCTAGACAGAAGCATTCTCAGAAACTGCTCTGTGATGTCTGCATTCAAGTCACAGAGTTGAACATTACCTTTCCTAGAGCAGGTTTGAAACGCTCTTTTTGTAGTATATGGAAGTGGACGTTTCGGACGGTTTGAGGACCATGGTGATAAAGGGAATATCTTCCCCTACAAGCTAGAAAGAAGCATTCTGTGAAACTTGTTTGTGATGTGTGTACTCAACTAACAGAGTTGAACCTTTCTTTTTACAGAGCAGTTTTGAAACCCTCTTTTTGTAGAATCTGCGAGGGGATATTTGGATACATTTCAGCATTTCGTTGGAAACGGGAATATCTTCATATAAAATCTCGACAGAAGCATTCTCAGAAACTTCTTGTGATATCTGCATTCAAGTCACAGAGTTGAATATTCCCTTTCACAGAGTAGGTTTGAAACACTCTTTTTGTAGTATCTGGAAGTGGACATTTGGAGCGCCTTGACCCCTACGATGAAAAGGGAAATATCTTCCCATAAAAACTAGACAGAAGCAATCTCAGAATCTTCTTTGGGATACATGCACGCAGCTAACAGAGTTGAACCTTTCTATTGACAGAGTAGTTTTGAAACAGTCTTTCTGTGGAATCTGCAAGTGGATATTTGGATAGCTTGGAGGATTTCGTTGGAAACGGGATTATGTATAAAAAGTAGACAGCAGCATCCTCAGAAACTTCTTTGTGATGTGTGCATTCAAGTCACAGAGTTGAACATTCCCTTTCGTACAACAGTTTTGAAACACTCTTTCTGTAGCATCTGGAAGTGAACATTAGGACAGCTTTCAGGTCTATGGTGAGAAAGGAAATATCTTCAAATAAAAACTAGACAGAAGCATTCTCATAAACTTGTTTGTGATGTGTGAACTCAGCTAACAGAGGTGGATCTTTCTTTTGATACAGCAGTTTTGAAAAACACTTTTTGTTGAATCCGCAAGTGGACATTTGGATAGATTTGAAGATTTCATTGGAAACGGGAATATCTTCATATCAAATCTAGACAGAAGCATTCTCAGAAACGTCTTTGTCCTGTTTGCATTCAACTCATAGAGTTGAACATTCCCTTTCAGAAAGCAGCTTTGAAACACTCTTTTTGTAGTATGTGCAAGTGGATATTTGGAGCGCTCTGAGGCCTACGGTGAAAAAGAAAATATCTTCCCATAACCACTAGACAGAAACATTCTCAGAAACTCCTTTATGACGTATGCACTCACCTAACAGAGAAGAACCTTCCTTTTGACAGAGCAGTTTTGATACACTCTTTTTGTAGAATCTGCAAGTGGATATTTGGATAGCTGTGAAGATTCCGTTGGAAACGGGAATATCTTCCTATAAAATCTAGACAGAAGCATTCTCAGAAACTGCTCTGTGATGTCTGTATTCAAGTCACAGAGTTGAACATTGCCTTTCATAGAGCAGGTTTGAAACGCTTTTTTGTAGTATATGGAAGTGGATGTTTCGGACGGTTGGAGGCCCATGGTGATAAAGGGAATATCTTCCCCTACAAGCTAGAAAGAAGCATTCTGTGAAACTTGTTTGTGATGCGTGTACTCAACTAACAGAGTTGAACCTTTCTTTTTACAGAGCAGTTTTGAAACACTCTTTTTGTAGAATCTGCGAGGGGATATTTGGATAGATTTCAGGATTTCGTTGGAAACGGGAATATCTTCATATAAAATCTCGACAGAAGCATTCTCAGAAACTTCTTTGTGATATCTGCATTCAAGTCACAGAGTTGAATATTCCCTTTCACAGAGTAGGTTTGAAACACTCTTTTTGTAGTATCTGGAAGTTGACATTTGGTGCGCCTTGACGCCTACGGTGAAAAGGGAAATATCTTCTCATAAAAAGTAGACAGAAGCAATCTCAGAATCTTCTTTGGGATATATGCACGCAGCTAACAGAGTTGAACCTTTCTATTGACAGAGCACTTTTGAAACAGTCTTTCTGTGGAATCTGCAAGTGGATATTTGGATAGCTTGGAGGATTTCGTTGGAAACGGGATTACGTATAAAAAGTAGACAGCAGCATCCTCAGAAACTTCTTTGTGATGTGTGCATTCAAGTCACAGAGTTGAACATTCCCTTTCGTATAGCAGTTTTGAAACACTCTTTCTGTAGTATCTGGAAGTGAACATTAGGACAGCTTTCAGGTCTATGGTGAGAAAGGAAATATCTTCAAATAAAAACTAGACAGAAGCATTCTCATAAACTTGTTTGTGATGTGTGAACTCAGCTAACGAACGTGGATCTTTCTTTTGATAGAGCAGTTCTGAAAAACACTTTTTGTTGAATCTGCAAGTGGACATTTGGATAGATTTGAAGATTTCGTTGGAAACGGGAATATCTTCATATCAAATCTAGACAGAAGCTTTCTCAGAAACGTCTTTGTGATGTTTGCATTCAACTCATAGAGTTGAACATTCCGTTTCAGAGAGCAGCTTTGAGGCACTCTTTTTGTAGTATGTGCAAGTGGATATTTGGAGCACTCTGAGGCCTACGGTGAAAAAGCAAATATCTTCCCATAACCACTAGACAGAAACATTCTCAGAAACTCCTTTATGACGTATGCACTCACCTAACAGAGAAGAACCTTCCTTTTGACAGAGCAGTTTTGATACACTCTTTTTGTAGAATCTGCAAGTGGATATTTGGATAGCTGTGAAGATTTCGTTGGAAACGGGAATATCTTGCCTATAAAATCTAGACAGAAGCATTCTCAGAAACTGCTATCTGATGTCTGCATTCAAGTCACAGAGTTGAACATTGCCTTTCCTAGAGCAGGTTTGAAACGCTCTTTTTGTAGTATATGGAAGTGGACGTTTCGGACGGTTTGAGGCCCATGGTGA
Source organism: Homo sapiens (assembly GCF_000001405.40). Lineage (NCBI taxonomy): Eukaryota > Metazoa > Chordata > Mammalia > Primates > Hominidae > Homo > Homo sapiens. Next base: position 16,822,823 of record NC_000013.11, read on the forward strand.
TAAAGGGAATATCTTCCCCTACAAGCTAGAAAGAAGCATTCTGTGAAACTTGTTTGTGATGTGTGTACTCAACTAACAGAGTTGAACCTTTCTTTTCACAGAGCAGTTTTGAAACACTCTTTTTGTAGAATCTGCGAGGGGATATTTGGATAGATTTCAGGATTTCGTTGGAAACGTGAATATCTTCATATAAAATCTCGACAGAAGCATTCTCAGAAACTTCTTTGTGATATGTGCATTCAAGTCACAGAGTTGAATATTCCCTTTCACAGAGTAGGTTTGAAACACTCTTTTTGTAGTATCTGGAAGTGGACATTTGGAGCGCCTTGACACCTACGGTGAAAAGGGAAATATCTTCCCATCAAAACTAGACAGAAGCAATCTCAGAATCTTCTTTGGGATATATGCACGCAGCTACCAGAGTTGAACCTTTCTATTGACAGAGCAGTTTTGAAACAGTCTTTCTGTGGAATCTGCAAGTGGATATTTGGATAGCTTGGAGGATTTCGTTGGAAACGGGATTACGTATAAAAAGTAGACAGCAGCATCCTCAGAAACTTCTTTGTGATGTGTGCATCCAAGTCACAGAGTTGAACATTCCCTTTCGTACAGCAGTTTTGAAACACTCTTTCTGTAGTATCTGGAAGTGAACATTAGGACAGCTTTCAGCTCTATGGTGAGAAAGGAAATATCTTCAAATAAAAACTAGACAGAAGCATTCTGATAAACTTGTTTGTGAAGTGTGATCTCAGCTAACAGAGGTGGATCTTTCTTTTGATAGAGCAGTTCTGAAAAACACTTTGTATGAATCTGCAAGTGGACATTTGGATAGATTTCAAGATTTCGTTGGAAACGGGAATATCTTCATATCAAATCTAGACAGAAGCATTCTCAGAAACGTCTTTGTGATGTTTGCATTCAACTCATAGAGTTGAACATTCCCTTTCAGAGAGCAGCTTTGAAGCACTCTTTTTGTAGTATGTGCAAGTGCATATTTGGAGCGCTCTGAGGCCTACGGTGAAAAAGCAAATATCTTCCCATAACCACTAGACAGAAACATTCTCAGAAACTCCTTTATGATGTATGCACTCACCTAACAGAGAAGAACCTTCCTTTTGACAGAGCAGTTTTGATACACTCTTTTTGTAGAATCTGCAAGTGGATATTTGGATAGCTGTGAAGATTTCGTTGGAAACGGGAATATCTTCATATAAAATCTAGACAGAAGCATTCTCAGAAACTGCTCTGTGAAGTCTGCATTCAAGTCACAGAGTTGAACATTGCCTTTCATAGAGCAGGTTTGAAACGCTCTTTTTGTAGTATATGGAAGTGGACGTTTCGGACGGTTTGAGGCCCATGGTGATAAAGGGAATATCTTCCCCTACAAGCTAGAAAGAAGCATTCTGTGAAACTTGTTTGTGATGTGTGTCCTCAACTAACAGAGTTGAACCTTTCTTTTTACAGAGCAGTTTTGAAACACTCTTTTTGTAGAATCTGCGAGGAGATATTTGGATAGATTTCAGGATTTTGTTGGAAACGGGAATATCTTCATATAAAATCGCGACAGAGGCATTCTCAGAAACTTCATTGTGATATCTGCATTCAAGTCACAGAGTTGAATATTCCCTTTCACAGAGTAGGTTTGAAACACTCTTTTTGTAGTATCTGTAAGTGGACATTTGGAGTGCCTTGACACCTACGGTGAAAAGGGAAATATCTTCCCCTAAAAACTAGACAGAAGCAATCTCAGAATCTTCTTTGGGATATATGCATGCAGCTAACAGAGTTGAACCTTTCTATTGACAGAGCAGTTTTGAAACAGTCTTTCTGTGGAATCTGCAAGTGGATATTTGGATAGCTTGGAGGATTTCATTGGAAACGGGATTACGTATAAAAAGTAGACAGCAGCATCCTCAGAAACTTCTTTGTGATGTGTGCATTCAAGTCACAGAGTTGAACATTCCCTTTCGTACAGCAGTTTTGAAACACTCTTTCTGTAGTATCTGGAAGTGAACATTAGGACAGCTTTCAGGTCTATGGTGAGGAAGGAAATATCTTCAAATAAAAACTAGACAGAAGCATTCTCATAAACTTGTTTTGATGTGTGAACTCAGCTAACAGAGGTGGATCTTTCTTTTGATACAACACTTTTGAAAAACACTTTTTGTTGAATCTGCAAGTGGACATTTGGATAGATTTGAAGATTTCTTTGGAAACGGGAATATCTTCATATCAAATCTAGACAGAAGCATTCTCAGAAACGTCTTTGTGATGCTTGCATTCAACTCATAGAGTTGAACATTCCCTTTCAGAGAGCAGCTTTGAAGCACTCTTTTTGTAGTATGTGCAAGTGGAGATTTGGAGCGCTTTGAGGCCTACGGGGAAAAAGCAAATATCTTCCCATAACCACTAGACAGAAACATTCTCAGAAACTCCTTTATGACGTATGCACTCACCTAACAGAAAAGAACCTTCCTTTTGACAGAGCAGTTTTGATACACGCTTTTTGTAGAATCTGCAAGTGGATATTTGTATAGCTGTGAAGATTTCGTTGGAAACGGGAATATCTTCCTATAAAATCTAGACAGAAGCATTCTCAGAAACTGCTCTGTGATGTCTGCATTCAAGTCACACAGTTGAACATTGCCTTTCATAGAGCAGGTTTGAAACGCTCTTTTTGTAGTATATGGAAGTAGACGTTTCGGACGGTTTGAGGCCCATGGTGATAAAGGGAATATCTTCCCCTACAAGCTAGAAAGAAGCATTCTGTGAATCTTGTTTGTGATGTGTGTACTCAACTAACAGAGTTGAACCTTTCTTTTTATAGAGCAGTTTTGAAACACTCTTTTTGTAGAATCTTCGAGGGGATATTTGGATAGATTTCAGGATTTCGTTGGAAACGGGAATATCTTCATATAAAATCTCGACAGAAGCATTCTCAGAAACTTCTTTGTGATATCTGCATTCAAGTCACAGAGTTGAATATTCCCTTTCACAGAGTAGGTTTGAAACACTCTTTTTGAAGTATCTGGAAGTGTACATTTGGAACGCCTTGACGCCTACGGTGAAAAGGAAAATATCTTCCCATAAAAACTAGACAGAAGCAATCTCAGAATCTTCTTTGGGATATATGCACGCAGCTAACAGAGTTGAACCTTTCTATTGACAGAGCTGTTTTGAAACAGTCTTTCTGTGGAATCTGCAAGTGGATATTTGGATAGCTTGGAGGATTTCGTTGGAAACGGGATTACGTATAAAAAGTAGACAGCAGCATCCTCAGAAACTTCTTTGTGATGTGTGCATTCAAGTCACAGAGTTGAACATTCCCTTTCGTACAGCAGTTTTGAAACACTCTTTCTGTAGTATCTGGAAGTGAACATTAGGACAGCTTTCAGGTCTATTTTGAGAAAGGAAATATCTTCAAATAAAAACTAGACAGAAGCATTCTCATAAACTTGTTTGTGATGTGTGAACCCAGCTAACAGAGGTGGATCTTTCTTTTGATAGAGCAGTTCTGAAAAACACTTTTTGTTGAATCTGCAAGTGGACATTTGGATAGATTTGATGATTTCGTTGGAAACGGGAATATCTTCATATCAAATCTAGACAGAAGGATTCTCAGAAACGTCTTTGTGATGTTTGCATTCAACTCATAGAGTTGAACATTCCGTTTCAGAGAGCAGCTTTGAAGCACTCTTTTTGTAGTATGTGCAAGTGGATATTTGGAGCGCTCTGAGGCCTAAGGTGAAAAAGCAAATATCTTCCCATAACCACTAGACAGAAACATTCTCAGAAACTCCTTTATGACGTATGTACTCATCTAACAGAGAAGAACCTTCCTTTTGACAGAGCAGTTTTGATACACTCTTTTTGTAGAATCTGCAAGTGGATATTTGGATAGCTGTGAAGATTTCGTTGGAAACGGGAATATCTTCCTATAAAATCTAGACAGAAGCATTCTCAGAAACTGCTCTGTGATGTCTGCATTCAAGTCACAGAGTTGAACATTGCCTTTCCTAGAGCAGTTTAGAAACGCTCTTTTTGTAGTATATGGAAGTGGACGTTTCGGACGGTTTGAGGCCCATGGTGATAAAGGGAATATCTTCCCCTACAAGCTAGAAAGAAGCATTCTGTGAAACTTGTTTGTGATGTGTGTACTCAACTAATAGAGTTGAAACTTTCTTTTTACAGAGCAGTTTTGAAACACTCTTTTTGTAGAATCTGCGAGGGGATATTTGGATAGATTTCTGGATTTCGTTGGAAAGGGGAATATCATCATATAAAATCTCGACAGAAGCATTCTCAGAAACTTCTTTGTGATATGTGCATTCAAGTCACAGAGTTGAATATTCCCTTTCACAGAGTAGGTTTGAAACACTCTTTTTGTAGTATCTGGAAGTGGACATTTGGAGCGCCTTGACGCCTACGGTGAAAAGGGAAAGATCTTCCCATAAAAACTAGACAGAAGCAATCTCAGAATCTTCTTTGGGATATATGCACGCAGCTAACAGAGTTGAACCTTTCTATTGACAGAGCAGTTTTGAAACAGTCTTTCTGTGGAATCTGGAAGTGGATATATGGATAGCTTGGAGGATTTCGTTGGAAACGGGATTACGTATAAAAAGTAGACAGCAGCATCCTCAGAAACTTCTTTGTGATGTGTGCATTCAAGTCACAGAGTTGAACATTCCCTTTCGTACAGCAGTTTTGAAACACTCTTTCTGTAGTATCTGGAAGTGAACATTAGGACAGCTTTCAGGTCTATGGTGAGAAAGGAAATATCTTTAAATAAAAACTAGACAGAAGCATTCTCATAAACTTGTTTGTGATGTGTGAACTCAGCTAACAGAGGTGGATCTTTCTTTTGATACAGCAGTTTTGAAAAACACTTTTTGTTGAATTTGCAAGTGGACATTTGGATAGATATGAAGATTTCGTTGGAAACGGGAATATCTTCATATCAAATCTAGACAGAAGCATTCTCAGAAACGTCTTTGTCATGTTTGCATTCAACTCATAGAGTTGAACATTCCCTTTCAGAGAGCTGCTTTGAAACACTCTTTTTGAAGTATGTGCAAGTGGATATTTGGAGCGCTCTGAGGCCTACGGTGAAAAAGCAAATATCTTCCCATAACCACTAGACAGAAACATTCTCAGGAACTCCTTTATGACGTATGCACTCACCTAACAGAGAAGAACCTTCCTTTTGACAGAGCAGTTTTGATACACTCTTTTTGTAGAATCTGCAAGTGGATATTTGGATAGCTGTGAAGATTTCGTTGGAAACGGGAATATCTTCCTATAAAATCTAGACAGAAGCATTCTCAGAAACTGCTCTGTGATGTCTGCATTCAAGTCACAGAGTTGAACATTGCCTTTCATAGAGCAGGTTTGAAACGCTCTTTTTGTAGTATATGGAAGTGGACGTTTCGGACGGTTTGAGGCCCATGGTGATAAAGGGAATATCTTCCCCTACAAGGTAGAAAGAAGCATTCTGTGAAACTTGTTTGTGATGTGTGTACTCAACTAACAGAGTTGAACCTTTCTTTTTACAGAGCAGTTTGGAAACACTCTTTTTGTAGAATCTGCGAGGGGATATTTGGATAGATTTCAGGATTTCGTTGGAAACGGGAATATCTTCATAAAAAATCTCGACAGAAGCACTCTCAGAAGCTTCTTTGTGATATGTGCATTCAAGTCACAGAGTTGAATATTCCCTTTCACAGAGTAGGTTTGAAACACTCTTTTTCTAGTATCTGGAAGTGGACATTTGGAGCGCCTTGACACCTACGGTGAAAAGGGAAATATCTTCCCCTAAAAACTAGACAGAAGCAATCTCAGAATTTTCTTTGGGATATATGCACACAGCTAACAGAGTTGAACTTTTCTATTGACAGAGCAGTTTTGAAACAGTCTTTCTGTGGAATCTGCAAGTGGATATTTGGATAGCTTGGAGGATTTCGTTGGAAACGGGATTATGTATAAAAAGTAGACAGCAGCATCCTCAGAAACTTCTTTGTGATGTATGCATTCAAGTCCCAGAGTTGAACATTCCCTTTCGTACAGCAGTTTTGAAACACTCTTTCTGTAGTATCTGGAAGTGAACATTAGGACAGATTTCAGGTCTATGGTGAGAAAGGAAATATCTTCAAATAAAAACTAGACAGAAGCATTCTCATAAACTTGTTTGTGATGTGTGAACTCAGCTAAAAGAGGTGGATCTTTCTTTTGATAGAGCAGTTCTGAAAAACACTTTTTGTTGAATCTGCAAGTGGACATTTGGATGGATTTGAAGATTTCTTTGGAAACGGGAATATCTTCATATCAAATCTAGACAGAAGCATTCTCAGAAACGTCTTTGTGATGTTTGCATTCAACTCATAGAGTTGAACATTCCCTTTCAGAGAGCAGCTTTGAAGCACTCTTTTTGTAGTATGTGCAAGGGGATATTTGGAGCTCTCTGAGGCCTAAGGTGAAAAAGCAAATATCTTCCCATAACCACTAGACAGAAACATTCTCAGAAACTCCTTTATGACGTATGCACTCACCTAACAGAGAAGAACCTTCCTTTTGACAGAGCAGTTTTGATACACTCTTTTTGGAGAATCTGCAAGTGGATATTTGGATAGCTGTGAAGATTTCGTTGGAAACGGGAATATCTTCCTATAAAATCTAGACAGAAGCATTCTCAGAAACTGCTCTGTGATGTCTGCATTCAAGTCACAGAGTTGAACATTGCCTTTCATAGAGCAGGTTTGAAATGCTCTTTTTGTAGTATATGGAAGTGGATGTTTCGGACGGTTTGAGGCCCATCGTGATAAAGGGAATATCTTCCCCTACAAGCTAGAAAGAAGCATTCTGTGAAACTTGTTTGTGATGTGTGTACTCAACTAACAGAGTTGAACCTTTCTTTTTACAGAGCAGTTTTGAAACACTCTTTTTGTAGAATCTGCGAGGGGATATTTGGATACATTTCAGCATTTCGTTGGAAACGAGAATATCTTCATATAAAATCTCGACAGAAGCATTCTCAGAAACTTCTTTGTGATATGTGCATTCAAGTCACATAGTTGAATATTCCCTTTCACAGAGTAGGTTTGAAACACTCTTTTTGTAGTATCTGGAAGTGGACATTTGGAGCGCCTTGACACCTACGGTGAAAAGGGAAGTATCTTCCCATCAAAACTAGACAGAAGCAATCTCAGAATTTTCTTTGGGATATATGCACACAGCTAACAGAGTTGAACTTTTCTATTGACATAGCAGTTTTGAAACAGTCTTTCTGTGGAATCTGCAAGTGGATATTTGGATAGCTTGGAGGATTTCGTTGGAAACGGGATTACGTATAAAAATTAGACAGCAGCATCCTCAGAAACTTCTTTGTGATGTGTGCATTCAAGTCACAGAGTTGAACATTCCCTTTCGTACAGCAGTTTTGAAACACTCTTTCTGTAGTAACTGGAAGTGAACATTAGGACAGCTTTCAGGTCTATGGAGAGAAAGGAAATATCTTCAAATAAAAACTAGACGGAAGCATTCTCATAAACTTGTTTGTGATGTGTGAACTCTGCTAACAGAGGTGGATCTTTCTTTTGATAGAGCAGTTCTGAAAAACACTTTTTGTTGAATCTGCAAGTGGACATTTGGATAGATTTGAAGATTTCGTTGGAAACGGGAATATCTTCATATCAAATCTAGACAGAAGCATTCTCAGAAACGTCTTTGTGATATTTGCATTCAACTCATAGAGTTGAACATTCCCTTTCAGAGAGCAGCTTTGAAGCACTCTTTTTGTAGTATGTGCAAGTGGATATTTGGATCGCTCTGAGGCCTAAGGTGAAAAAGCAAATATCTTCCCATAACCACTAGACAGAAACATTCTCAGAAACTTCTTTATGACGTATGTACTCAACTAGCAGAGAAGAACTTTCCTTTTGACAGAGCATTTTTGATACACTCTTTTTGTAGTATCTGCAAGTGAATATTTGGATAGCTGTGAAGATTTCGTTGGAAACAGGAATATCTTCATATGAAATCTAGACAGAAGCATTCTCAGAAACTGCTCTGTGATGTCTGCATTCAAGTCACAGAGTTGAACACTGCCTTTCCTAGAGCAGGTTTGAAACGCTCTTTTTGTAGTATATGGAAGTGGACGTTTCGGACGGTTTGAGGCCCATGGTGATAAAGGGAATATCTTCACCTACAAGCTAGAAAGAAGCATTCTGTGAAACTTGTTTGTGATGTGTGTACTCAACTAACAGACTTGAACCTTTCTTTTTACAGAGCAGTTTTGAAACACTCTTTTTGTAGAATCTGCGAGGGGATATTTGGATAGATTTCAGGATTTCGTTGGAAACGGGAATATCTTCATATAAAATCTCGACAGAAGCATTCTCAGAAACTTCTTTGTGATATGTGCATTCAAGTCACAGAGTTGAATATTCCCTTTCACAGAGTAGGTTTGAAACACTCTTTTTGTAGTATCTGGAAGTGGACATTCGGAGCGCCTTGACGCCTACGGTGAAAAGGGAAATATCTTCCCATAAAAACTAGACAGAAGCAATCTCAGAATCTTCTTTGGGATATATGCACGCAGCTAACAGAGTTGAACCTTTCTATTGACAGAGCAGTTTTGAAACATTCTTTCTGTGGAATCTGCAAGTGGATATTTGGATAGCTTGGAGGATTTCGTTGGAAACGGGATTACGTATAAAAAGTAGACAGCAGCATCCTCAGAAACTTCTTTGTGATATGTGCATTCAAGTCACAGAGTTGAACATTCCCTTTCATACAGCAGTTTTGAAACACTCTTTCTGTAGTATCTGGAAGTGAACTTTAAGAGAGCTTTCAGGTATATTGTGAGAAAGGATATATCTTCAAATAAAAGCTAGACAGAAGCATTCTCATAAACTTATTTGTGATGTGTGAACTCAGCTAACAGAGGTGGATCTTTCTTTTGATAGAGCAGTTCTGAAAAACACTTTTTGTTGAATCTGCAAGTGGACATTTGGATAGATTTGAAGATTTCGTTGGAAACGGGAATATCTTCATATCAAATCTAGACAGAAGCATTCTCAGAAACGTCTTTGTGATGTTTGCATTCAACTCATAGAGTTGAACATTCCCTTTCAGAGAGCAGCTTTGAAGCACTCTTTTTGTAGCATGTGCAAGTGGATATTTGGAGCCCTCTGAGGCCTACGGTGAAAAAGCAAATATCTTCCCATAACCACTAGACAGAAACATTCTCAGAAACTCCTTTATGACGTATGCACTCACCTAACAGAGAAGAACCTTCCTTTTGACAGAGCAGTTTTGATACACTCTTTTTGTAGAATCTGCAAGTGGATATTTGGATAGCTGTGAAGATTTCGTTGGAAACCGGAATATCTTCCTATAAAATCTAGACAGAAGGATTCTCAGAAACTGCTCTGTGATGTCTGCATTCAAGTCACAGAGTTGAAAATTGCCTTTCATAGAGCATGTTTGAAAGGCTCTTTTTGTAGTATATGGAAGTGGACGTTTCGGACGGTTTGAGGCCCATGGTGATAAAGGGAATATCTTCCCCTACAAGCTAGAAAGAAGCATTCTGTGAAACTTGTTTGTGATGTGTGTACTCAACTAACAGAGTTGAACCTTTCTTTTCACAGAGCAGTTTTGAAACACTCTTTTTGTAGAATCTACGAGGGGATATTTGGATAGATTTCAGCATTTCGTTGGAAACGGGAATATCTTCATATAAAATCTCGACAGAAGCATTCTCAGAAACTTCTTTGTGATATGTGCATTCAAGTCACAGAGTTGAATATTCCCTTTCACAGAGTAGGTTTGAAACACTCTTTTTGTAGTATCTGTAAGTGGACATTTGGAGCGCCTTGACACCTACGGTGAAAAGGGAAATATCTTCCCATAAAAACTAGACAGAAGCAATCTCAGAATCTTCTTTGGGATATATGCACGCAGCTAACAGAGTTGAACCTTTCTATTGACAGAGCAGTTTTGAAACAGTCTTTCTGTGGAATCTGCAAGTGCATATTTGGATAGCTTGGAGGATTTCGTTGGAAACGGGATTACGTATAAAAAGTAGACAGCAGCCTCCTCAGAAACTTCTTTGTGATGTGTGCATTCAAGTCACAGAGTTGAACATTCCCTTTCGTACAGCAGTTTTGAAACACTCTTTCTGTAGTATCTGGAAGTGAACATTAGGACAGCTTTCAGGTCTATGGTGAGAAAGGCAATATCTTCAAATAAAAACTAGACAGAAGCATTCTCATAAAATAGTTTGTGATATGTGAACTCAGCTAACAGACGTGGATCTTTCTTTTGATACAGCAGTTTTGAAAAACACTTTTTGTTGAATCTGCAAGTGGACATTTGGATAGATTTGAAGATTTCATTGGAAACGGGAATATCTTCATATCAAATCTAGATAGAAAGCATTCTCAGAAACGTCTTTGTGATGTTTGCATTCAACTCATAGAGTTGAACATTCCCTTTCAGAGAGCAGCTTTGAAGCACTCTTTTTGTAGTATGTGCAAGTGGATATTTGGAGCGCTCTGAGGCCTACGGTGAAAAAGCAAATATCTTCCCATAACCACTAGGCAGAACTTTCTCAGAAACTCCTTTATGACGTATGTACTCACCTAACAGAGAAGAACCTTCCTTTTGACAGAGCAGTTTTGATACACTCTTTTTGTAGAATCTGCAAGTGGATATTTGGATACCTGTGAAGATTTCGTTGGAAACGGGAATATCTTCCTATAAAATCTAGACAGAAGCATTCTCAGAAACTGCTCTGTGATGTCTGCATTCAAGTCACAGAGTTGAACATTGCCTTTCATAGAGCAGGTTTGAAACACTCTTTTTGTAGTATATGGAAGTGGACGTTTCGGACGGTTTGAGGCCCATGGTGATGAAGGGAATATCTTCCCCTACAAGCTAGAAAGAAGCATTCTGTGAAACTTGTTTGTGATGTGTGTACTCAACTAACAGAGTTGAACCTTTCTTTTTACAGAGCAGTTTTGAAACACTCTTTTTGTAGAATCTGCGAGGGGATATTTGGATAGATTTCAGGATTTCGTAGGAAACGGGAATATCTTCATAGAAAATCTCGACAGAAGCATTCTCAGAAAGTACTTTGTGATATCTGCATTCAAGTCACAGAGTTGAATATTCCCTTTCACAGAGTAGGTTTGAAACACTCTTTTTGTAGTATCTGGAAGTGGTCATTTGGAGCGCCTTGACGTCTACGGTGAAAAGGGAAATATCTTCCCATAAAAACTAGACAGCAGCAATCTGAGAATCTTCTTTGGGATACATGCACGCAGCTAACAGAGTTGAACCTTTCTATTGACAGAGCAGTTTTGAAAAAGTCTTTCTGTGGAATCTGCAAGTGGATATTTGGATAGATTGGAGGATTTCGTTGGAAACGGGATTACGTATAAAAAGTAGACAGCAGCATCCTCAGAAACTTCTTTGTGATGTGTGCATTCAAGTCACAGGGTTGAACATTCCCTTTCGTACAGCAGTTTTGAAACACTCTTTCTGTAGTATCTGGAAGTGAACATTAGGACAGCTTTCAGGTCTATGGTGAGAAAGGAAATATCTTCAAATAAAAACTAGACAGAAGCATTCTCATAAACTTGTTTGTGATGTGTGAACTCAGCTAACAGAGGTGGATCTTTCTTTTGATAGAGCAGTTCTGAAAAACACTTTTTGTTGAATCTGCAAGTGGACATTTGGATAGATTTGAAGATTTCGTAGGAAACGGGAATATCTTCATATCAAATCTAGACAGAAGCATTCTCAGAAACGTCTTTGCGATGTTTGCATTCAACTCATAGAGTTGAACATTCCGTTTCAGAGAGCAGCTTTGAGGCACTCTTTTTGTAGTATGTGCAAGTGGATATTTGGAGCGCTCTGAGGCCTTCGGTGAAAAAGCAAATATCTTCCCATAACCACTAGACGGAAACATTCTCAGAAACTCCTTTATGACGTATGCACTCACCTAACAGAGAAGAACCTTCCTTTTGACAGAGCAGTTTTGATACACTCTTTTTGTAGAATCTGCAAGTGGATCTTTGGATAGCTGTGAAGATTTCGTTGGAAACGGGAATATCTTCCTATAAAATCTAGACAGAAGCATTCTCAGAAACTGCTCTGTTCTGTCTGCATTCAAGTCACAGAGTTGAACATTGCCTTTCATAGAGCAGGTTTGAAACGCTCTTTTTGTAGTATATGGAAGTGGACGTTTCGGACGGTTTGAGGCCCATGGTGATAAAGGGAATATCTTCCCCTACAAGCTAGAAAGAAGCATTCTGTGAAACTTGTTTGTGATGTGTGTACTCAACTAACAGAGTTGAACCTTTCTTTTTACAGAGCAGTTTTGAAACACTCTTTTTGTAGAATCTGCAAGGGGATATTTGAATAGATTTCAGGATTTCGTTGGAAAGGGGAATATCTTCATATAAAATCTCGACAGAAGCGTTCTCAGAAACTTCTTTGTGATATGTGCATTCAAGTCAAAGAGTTGAATATTCGTTTTAACAGAGTCGGTTTGAAACACTCTTTTTGTAGTATCTGGAAGTGGACATTTGGAGCGCCTTGACGCCTACGGTGAAAAGGGAAATATCTTCCAATAAAAACTAGACAGAAGCAATCTCAGAATCTTCTTTGGGATATATGCACGCAGCTAACAGAGTTGAACCTTTCTATTGACAGAGCAGTTTTGAAACAGTCTTTCTGTGGAATCTGCAAGTGGACATTTGGATAGCTTGGAGAATTTCGTTGGAAACGGGATTACGTATAAAAAGTAGACAGCAGCATCCTCAGAAACTTCTTTGTGATGTGTGCATTCAAGTCACAGAGTTGAACATTCCCTTTCGTACAGCAGTTTTGAAACACTCTTTCTGTAGTATCTGGAAGTGAACATTAAGACAGCATTCAGGTCTATGGTGAGAAAGGAAATATCTTCAAATAAAAACTAGACAGAAGCATTCTCAAGAACTTGTTTGTGATGTGTGAACTCAGCTAACAGAGGTGGATGTTTCTTTTGATAGAGCAGTTCTGAAAAACACGTTTTGTTGAATCTGCAAGTGGACATTTGGATAGATATGAAGATTTCGTTGGAAACGGGAATATCTTCATATCAAATCTAGACAGAAGCATTCTCGGAAACGTCTTTGTCACGTTTGCATTCAACTCATAGAGTTGAACATTCCGTTTCAGAGAGCAGCTTTGAAGCACTCTTTTTGTAGTATGTGCAAGGGGATATTTTGAGCGCTGTGAGGCCTACGGTGAAAAAGCAAATATCTTCCCATAACCACTAGACAGAAACATTCTCAGAAACTCCTTTATGACGTATGCACTCACCTAACAGAAAAGAACCTTCCTTCTGACAGAGCAGTTTTGATACACTCTTTTTGTAGAATCTGCAAGTGGATATTTGGATAGCTGTGAAGATTTCGTTGGAAACGGGAATATCTTCCTATAAAATCTAGACAGAAGCATTCTCTGAAACTGCTCTGGGATGTCTGCATTCAAGTCACGGAGTTGAACATTGCCTTTCCTAGAGCAGGTTTGAAACGCTCTTTTTGTAGTATATGGAAGTGGACGTTTCGGACTGTTTGAGGCCCATGGTGATAAAGGGAATATCTTCCCCTACAAGCTAGAAAGAAGCATTGTGTGAAACTTGTTTGTGATGTGTGTACTCAACTAACAGAGTTGAACCTTTCTTTTTACAGAGCAGTTTTGAAACACTCTTTTTGTAGAATCTGCAAGGGGATATTTGGATAGATTTCAGGATTTCATTGGAAACGGGAATATCTTCATATAAAATCTCGACAGAAGCATTCTCAGAAACTTCTTTGTGATATCTGCATTCAAGTCACAGAGTTGAATATTCCCTTTCACAGAGTAGGTTTCAAACACTCTTTTTATAGTATCTGGAAGTGGACATTTGGAGCGCCGTGACGCCTACGGTGAAAAGGGAAATATCTTCCCATAAAAACTAGACAGAAGCAATCTCAGAATCTTCTTTGGGATATATGCACGCAGCTAACAGAGTTGTACCTTTCTATTGACAGAGCACTTTTGAAACAGTCTTTCTGTGGAATCTGCAAGTGGATATTTGGATAGCTTGGAGGATTTCATTGGAAACGGGATTACATATAAAAAGTAGACAGCAGCATCCTCAGAAACTTCTTTGTGATGTGTGCATTCAAGTCACAGAGTTGAACATTCCCTTTCATACAGCAGTTTTGAAACACTCTTTCTGTAGTAACTGGAAGTGAACATTAGGACAGCTTTCAGGTCTATGGTGAGAAAGGAAATATCTTCAAATAAAAACTAGACAGAAGCATTCTCATAAACTTGTTCGTGATGTGTGAACTCAGCTAACACACGTGGATCTTTCTTTTGATAGAGCAGTTCTGAAAAACAGTTTTTGTTGAATCTGCAAGAGGACATTTGGATAGATTTGAAGATTTCGTTGGAAACGGGAATATCTTCATATCAAATCTAGACAGAAGCATTCCCAGAAACGTCTTTGTGATGTTTGCATTCAACTCATAGAGTTGAACATTCCGTTTCAGAGAGCATCTTTGAAGCACTCTTTTTGTAGTATGTGCAAGTGGATATTTGGAGCGCTCTGAGGCCTACGGGGAAAAAGCAAATATCTTCCCATAACCACTAGACTGAAACATTCCCAGAAACTCCTTTATGACGTATGCACTCACCTAACAGAAAAGAACCTTCCTTTTGACAGAGCAGTTTTGATACACTCTTTTTGTAGAATCTGCAAGTGGATATTTGGATAGCTGTGAAGATTTCGTTGGAAACGGGAATATCTTCCTATAAAATCTAGACAGAAGCATTCTCAGAAACTGCTCTGTGATGTCTGCATTCAAGTCACAGAGTTGAACGTTGCCTTTCATAGAGCAGGTTTGAAACGCTCTTTTTGTAGTATATGGAAGTGGACTTATCGGACGGTTTGAGGCCCATGGTGATAAAGGGAATATCTTCCCCTACAAGCTAGAAAGAAGCATTGTGTGAAACTTATTTGTGATGTGTGTACTCAACTAACAGAGTTGAACCTTTCTTTTTACAGAGCAGTTTTGAAACACTCTTTTTGTAGAATCTGCGAGGGGATATTTGGATAGATTTCAGCATTTCGTTGGAAACGGGAATATCTTCATATAAAATCTCGACAGAAGCATTCTCAGAAACTTCTTTATGATATCTGCATTCAAGTCACAGAGTTGAATATTCCCTTTCACAGAGTAGGTTTGAAACACTCTTTTTGTAGTATCTGGAAGTGGACATTTGGAGCGCCTTGACCCCTACGGAGAAAAGGGAAATATCTTCCCATAAAAACTAGACAGAAGCAATCTCAGAATCTTCTTTGGGATATATGCACGCAGCTAACAGAGTTGAACCTTTCTATTGACAGAGCAGTTTTGAAACAGCCTTTCTGTGGAATCTGCAAGTGGATATTTGGATAGCTTGGAGGATTTCGTTGGAAACGGGATTACGTATAAAAAGTAGACAGCAGCATCCTCAGAAACTCCTTTGTGATGTGTGCATTCAAGTCACATAGTTGAACATTCCCTTTCGTACAGCAGTTTTGAAACACTCTTTCTGTAGTATCTGGAAGTGAACATTAGGACAGCTTTCAGCTCTATGGTGAGAAAGGAAATATCTTCAAATAAAAACTAGACAGAAGCATTCTCATAAACTTGTTTGTGATGTGTGAACTCGGCTAACACAGGTGGATCTTTCTTTTGATTGAGCAGTTCTGAAAAACACGTTTTGTTGAATCTGCAAGTGGACATTTGGATAGATTTGAAGATTTCGTTGGAAACGGGAATATCTTCATATCAAATCTAGAGAGAAGCATTCTCAGAAACGTCTTTGTGATGTTTGCATTCAACTCATAGAGTTGAACATTCCCTTTCAGAGAGCAGCTCTGAAGCACTCTTTTTGTAGTATGTGCAAGGGGATATTTGGAGCGCTCTGAGGCCTACGGTGAAAAAGCAAATATCTTCCCATAACGACTAGACAGAAACATTCTCAGAAACTCCTTTACGACGTATGCACTCACCTAACAGAGAAGAACCTTCCTTTTGACAGAGCAGTTTTGATACACTCTTTTTGTAGAATCTGCAAGTGGATATTTGGATAGCTCTGAAGATTTCGTTGGAAACGGGAATATCTTCCTATAAAATCTAGACAGAAGCATTCTCAGAAACTGCTCTGTGATGTCTGCATTCAAGTCACAGAGTTGAACATTACCTTTCATAGAGCAGGTTTGAAACGCTCTTTTTGTAGTATATGGAAGTGGACGTTTCGGACGGTTTGAGGCCCATGGTGATAAAGGGAATATCTTCCCCTACAAGCTAGAAAGAAGCATTCTGTGAAACTTGTTTGTGATGTGTGTACTCAACTAACAGAGTTGAACCTTTCTTTTTACAGAGCAGTTTTGAAACACTCTTTTTGTAGAATCTGCGAGGTGATATTTGGATAGATTTCAGGATTTCGTTGTAAACGGGAATATCTTCATATAAAATCTCGACAGAAGCATTCTCAGAAACTTCTTTGTGATATGTGCATTCAAGTCACAGAGTTGAATATTCCCTTTCACAGAGTAGGTTTGAAACACTCTTTTTGTAGTATCTGGAAGTGGACATTTGGAGCGCCTTGACACCTACGGTGAAAAGGGAAATATCTTCCCACAAAAACTAGACAGAAGCATCCTCAGAAACATCCTTGTGATGTGTGCATTCAAGTCACAGAGTTGAACATTACCTTTCGTACAGCAGTTTTGAAACACTCTTTCTGTAGTATCTGGAAGTGAACTTTAGGACAGCTTTCAGGTCTATAGTGAGAAAGGATATATCTTCAAATAAAAACTAGACAGAAGCATTCTCATAAACTTCTTTGTGATGTGTGAACTCACCTAACAGAGGTGGATCTTTCTTTTGATAGAGCAGTTCTGAAAAACACTTTTTGTTGAATCTGCAAGTGGACATTTGGATAGATATGAAGATTTCGTTGGAAACGGGAATATCTTCATATCAAATCTAGACAGAAGCATTCTCAGAAACGTCTTTGTGATGTTTGCATTCAACTCATAGAGTTGAACATTCCCTTTCAGAGAGCAGCTTTGAAGCACTCTTTTTGTAGTATGTGCAAGTGGACATTTGGAGCGCTCTGAGGCCTAAGGTGAAAAAGCAAATATCTTCCCATAACCACTAGACAGAAACATTCTCAGAAACTTCTTTATGACGTATGTACTCAACTAGCAGAGAAGAACTTTCCTTTTGACAGAGCTTTTTTGATACACTCTTTTGTAGTATCTGCAAGTGGATATTTGGATAGCTGTAAAGATTTCGTTGGAATCGGGAATATCTTCCTATAAAGTCAGGACAGAAGCATTCTCAGAAACTGCTCTGTGATGTCTGCATTCAAGTCACAGAGTTGAACATTGCCTTTCATAGAGCAGGTTTCAAACACTCTTTTGTTAGTATATGGAAGTGGACGTTTCGGACGGTTTGAGGCCCATGGTGATAAAGGAAATTTCTTCCCCTACAAGCTAGAAAGAAGCATTCTGTGAAACTTGTTTGTGATGTGTGTACTCCACTAACAGAGTTGAACCTTTCTTTTTACAGAGCAGTTTTGAAACACTCTTTTTGTAGAATCTGCGAGGGGATATTTGGATAGATTTCAGGATTTCGTTGGAAACGGGAATATCTTCATATAAAATCTCGACAGAAGCATTCTCAGAAACTTCTTTGTGATATCTACATTCAAGTCACAGGGTTGAATATTCCCTTTCACAGAGTAGGTTTGAAACACTCTTTTTGTAGTATCTGGAATTGGACATTTGGAGCACCTTGACACCTACGGTGAAAAGGGAAATATCTTCCCATAAAAACTAGACAGAAGCAATCTCAGAATCTTCTTTGGGATATATGCACGCAGCTAACAGAGTTGAACCTTTCTATTGACAGCAGTTTTGAAACAGTCTTTCTGTGGAATCTGCAAGTGGATATTTGGATAGCTTGGAGGATTTCGTTGGAAACAGGATTACGTATAAAAAGTAGACAGCAGCATCCTCAGAAACTTCTTTGGGATGTGTGCATTCAAGTCACAGAGTTGAACATTCCCTTTCGTACAGCAGTTTTGAAACACTCTTTATGTAGTATCTGGAAGTGAACATTAGGACAGCTTTCAGGTCTATGGTGAGAAAGGAAATATCTTCAAATAAAAACTAGACAGAAGCATTCTCATAAACTTGTTTGTGATGTGTGAACTCAGCTAACAGAGGTGGATCTTTCTTTTGATAGAGCAGTTCTGAAAAACACTTTTTGTTGAATCTGCAAGTGGCCATTTGGATAGATTTGAAGATTTCGTTGGAAACGGGAATATCTTCATATCAAATCTAGACAGAAGCATTCTCAGAAACGACTTTGTGATGTTAGCATTCAACTCATAGAGTTGAACATTCCCTTTCAGAGAGCAGCTTTGAAGCACTCTTTTTGTAGTATGTGCAAGTGGACATTTGGAGCGCTTTGAGGCCTACAGGGAAAAAGCAAATATCTTCCCATAACCACTAGACAGGAACATTCTCAGATTACTCCTTTATGACGTATGTACTCAACTAACAGAGAAGAACCTTCCTTTTGACAGAGCAGTTTTGATACACTCTTTTTGTAGAATCTGCAAGTGGATATTTGGATAGCTGTGAAGATTTCTTTGGAAACGGGAATATCTTCCTATAAAATCTAGACAGAAGCATTCTCAGAAACTGCTCTGTGATGTCTGCATTCAAGTCACAGAGTTGAACATTGCCTTTCATAGAGCAGGTTTGAAACGCTCTTTTTGTAGTATATGGAAGTAGACGTTTCGGACGGTTTGAGGCCCATGGTGATAAAGGGAATATCTTGCCCTACAAGCTAGAAAGAAGCATTCTGTGAAACTTGTTTGTGATGTGTGTACTCAACTAACAGAGTTGAACCTTTCTTTTTACAGAGCAGTTTTGAAACACTGTTTTTGTAGAATCTGCGAGGGGATATTTGGAGAGACTTCAGGATTTCGTTGGAAACGGGAATATCTTCATATAAAATCTCGACAGAAGCATTCTCAGAAACTTCCTTGTGATATGTGCATTCAAGTCACAGAGTTGAATATTCCCTTTCACAGAGTAGGTTTGAAACACTCTTTTTGTAGTATCTGGAAGTGGACATTTGGAGCGCCTGGACGCCTACGGTGAAAAGGCAAATATCTTCCCATAAAAACTAGACAGAAGCATTCTGTGAAACTTGTTTGTGATGTGTGTACTCAAGTAACAGAGTTGAACCTTTCTATTGACAGAACAGTTTTGAAACAGTCTTTCTGTGGAATCTGCAAGTGGATATTTGGATAGCTTGGAGGATTTCGTTGGAAACGGGATTACGTATAAAAAGTAGACAGCAGCATCCTCAGAAACTTCCTTGTGATGTGTGCATTCAAGTCACAGAGTTGAACATTCCCTTTCGTACAGCAGTTTTGAAACACTCTTTCTGTAGTATCTGGAAGTGAACATTAGGACAGCTTTCAGGTCTATGGTGAGAAAGGAAATACCTTCAAATAAAAACTAGACAGAAGCATTCTCATAAACTTGTTTGTGATGTGTGAACTCAGCTAACAGACGTGGATCTTTCTTTTGATACAGCAGTTTTGAAAAACACTTTTTGTTGAATCTGCAAGTAGACATTTGGATAGATTTGAAGATTTCGTTGGAAACGGGAATATCTTCATATCAAATCTAGACAGAAGCATTCTCAGAAACGTCTTTGTGATGTTTGCATTCAACTCATAGAGTTGAACATTCCCTTTCAGAGAGCAGCTTTGAAGCACTCTTTTTGAAGCATGTGCAAGTGGACATTTGGAGCGCCCTGAGGCCTACGGGGAAAAAGCAAATATCTTCCCATAACCACTAGATAGAAACATTCTCAGAAACTGCTTTATGACGTATGCACTCACCTAACAGAGAAGAACCTTCCTTTTGACAGAGCAGTTTTGATACACTCTTTTTGTAGAATCTGCAAGTGGATATTTGGATAGCTGTGAAGATTTCTTTGGAAACGGGAATATCTTCCTATAAAATCTAGACAGAAGCATTCTCAGAAACTGCTCTGTGATGTCTGCATTCAAGTCACAGAGTTGAACATTGCCTTTCATAGAGCAGGTTTGAAACGCTCTTTTTGTAGTATATGGAAGTGGACTTATCGGACGGTTGGAGGCCCATGGTGCTAAAGGGAATATCTTCCCCTACAAGCTAGAAAGAAGCATTCTGTGAAACTTGTTTGTGATGTGTGTACTCAACTAACAGAGTTGAACCTTCCTTTTTACAGAGCAGTTTTGAAACACTCTTTTTGTAGAATCTGCGAGGGGATATTTGGATAGATTTCAGGATTTCGTTGGAAACGGGAATATCTTCATATAAAATCTCGACAGAAGCATTCTCAGAAACTTCTTTGTGATATGTGCATTCAAGTCACAGAGTTGAATATTCCCTTTCACAGAGTAGGTTTGAAACACACTTTTTGTAGTATCTGGAAGTGGACATTTGGAGCGCCTTTACACCTACGGTGAAAAGGGAAATATCTTCTCATAAAAAGTAGACAGAAGCAATCTCAGAATCTTCTTTGGGATATATGCACGCAGCTAACAGAGTTGAACCTTTCTATTGACAGAGCAGTTTTGAAACAGTCTTTCTGTGGAATCTGCAAGTGGATACTTGGATAGCTTGGAGGATTTCGTTGGAAACGGGATTACGTATAAAAAGTAGACAGCAGCATCCTCAGAAACATCCTTGTGATGTGTGCATTCAAGTCACAGAGTTGAACATTCCCTTTCGTACAGCAGTTTTGAAACACTCTTTCTGTAGTATCTGGAAGTGAATTTTAGGACAGCTTTCAGGTCTATAGTGAGAAAGGATATATCTTCAAATAAAAACTAGACGGAAGCATTCTGATAAACTTGTTTGTGAAGTGTGATCTCAGCTAACAGAGGTGGATCTTTCTTTTGATAGAGCAGTTCTGAAAAACACTTTGTTGAATCTGGAAGTGGACATTTGGATAGATTTGAAGATTTCGTTGGAAACGGGAATATCTTCATATCAAATCTAGACAGAAGCATTCTCAGAAACGTCTTTGTCATGTTTGCATTCAACTCATAGAGTTGAACATTCCCATTCAGAGAGCAGCTTTGAAACACTCTTTTTGTAGTATGTGCAAGTGGATATTTGGAGCGCTCTGAGGCCTACGGTGAAAAAGCAAATATCTTCCCATAACCACTAGACAGAAACATTCTCAGAAACTCCTTTATGACGTATGCACTCACCTAACAGAGAAGAACCTTCCATTTGACAGAGCAGTTTTGATACACTCTTTTTGTAGAATCTGCAAGTGGATATTTGGATAGCTGTGAAGATTTCGCTGGAAACGGGAATATCTTCCTGTAAAATCTAGACAGAAGCATTCTCAGAAACTGCTCTGTGATGTCTGCATACAAGTCACAGAGTTGAACATTGCCTTTCATAGAGCAGGTTTGAAACGCTCTTTTTGTAGTATATGTAAGTAGACGTTTCGGACGGTTTGAGGCCCATGGTGATAAAGGGAATATCTTCCCCTACAAGCTAGAAAGAAGCATTGTGTGAAACTTGTTTGTGATGTGTGTACTCAACTAACAGAGTTGAACGTTTGTTTTTACAGAGCAGTTTTGAAACACTCTTTTTGTAGAATCTGCGAGGGGATATTTGGATACATTTCAGGATTTCGTTGGAAACGGGAATATCTTCATATAAAATCTCGACAGAAGCATTCTCAGAAACTTCTTTGTGATATCTGCCTTTAAGTCACAGAGTTGAATATCCCCTTTCACAGAGTAGGTTTGAAACACTCTTTTTGTAGTATCTGGAAGTGGACATTTGGAGCGCCTTGACACCTACGGTGAAAAGGGAAATATCTTCCCATAAAAACTAGACAGAAGCAATCTCAGAATCTTCTTTGTGATATATGCACGCAGCTAACAGAGTTGAACATTTCTATTGACAGAGCAGCTTTGAAACACTCTTTTGTGGAATCTGCAAGTGGATATTTGGATAGCTTGGAGGATTTCGTTGGAAACGGGATTACGTATAAAAATTAGACAGCAGCATCCTCAGAAACTTCCTTGTGATGTGTGCATTCAAGTCACAGAGTTGAACATTACCTTTCGTACAGCATTTTTGAAACACTCTTTCTGTAGTATCTGGAAGTGAACTTTATGAGAGCTTTCAGGTCTATAGTGAGAAAGGATATATCTTCAAATAAAAACTAGACAGAAGAGTTCTGATAAACTTGTTTGCGAAGTGTGAACTCAGGTAACAGAGGTGGATCTTTCTTTTGATACAGCAGTTTTGAGAAACACTTTGTTGAATCTGCAAGTGGACATTTGGATAGATTTGAAGATTTCGTTGGAAACGGGTATATCTTCATATCAAATCTAGACAGAAGCATTCTCAGAAACGTCTTTGTGATGTTTGCATTCAACTCATAGAGTTGAACATTCCCTTTCAGAGAGCAGCTTTGAAGCACTCTTTTTGTAGTATGTGCAAGTTGATATTTGGAGCGCTCTGAGGCCTAAGGTGAAAAAGCAAATATCTTCCCATAACCACTAGACAGAAACATTCTCAGAAACTCCTTTATGACGTATGCACTCACCTAACAGAGAAGAACCTTCCTTTTGACTGAGCAGGTTTGATACACTCTTTTTGTAGAATCTGCAAGTGGATATTTGGATAGCTGTGAAGATTTCGTTGGAAACGGGAATATCTTCCTATAAAATCTAGACAGAAGCATTCTCAGAAACTGCTCTGTGATGTCTGCATTCAAGTCACAGAGTTGAACATTGCCTTTCATAGAGCAGGTTTGAAATGCTCTTTTTGTAGTATATGGAAGTGGATGTTTCGGACGGTTGGAGGCCCATGGTGATAAAGGGAATATCTTCCCCTACAAGCTAGAAAGAAGCATTGTGTGAAACTTGTTTGTGATGTGTGTACTCAACTAACAGAGTTGAACCTTTCTTTTTACAGAGCAGTTTTGAAACACTCTTTTTGTAGAATCTGCGAGGGGATATTTGGATAGATTTCAAGATTTCGTTGGAAACGGGAATATCTTCATATAAAATCTCGACAGATGCATTCTGAGAAACTTCTTTGTGATATGTGCATTCTAGTCACAGAGTTGAATATTCCCTTTCACAGAGTAGGTTTGAAACACTCTTTTTGTAGTATCTGGAAGTGGACATTTGGAGCGCCTTGACGCCTACGGTGAAAAGGGAAATATCTTCCCATAAAAACTAGACAGAAGCAATCTCAGAATCGTCGTTGGGATATATGCACGCAGCTAACAGAGTTGAACCTTTCTATAGACAGAGCAGTTTTGAAACAGTCTTTCTGTGGGATCTGCAAGTGGATATTTGGATAGCTTGGAGGATTTCGTTAAAAACGGGATTACGTATAAAAAGTAGACAGCAGCATCCTCAGAAACTTCTTTGTGATGTGTGCATTCAAGTCACAGAGTTGAACATTCCCTTTCGTACAGCAGTTTTGAAACACTCTTTCTGTAGTATCTGGAAGTGAACATTAGGACAGCTTTCAGCTCTATGGTGAGAAAGGAAATATCTTCAAACAAAAACTAGACAGAAGCATTCTCATAAACTTGTTTGTTATGTGTGAACTCAGCTAACAGAGGTGGATCTTTCTTTTGATAGAGCAGTTCTGAAAAACACGTTTTGTTGAATCTGCAAGTGGACATTTGGATAGATTTGAAGATGTCGTTGGAAACGGGAATATCTTCATATCAAATCTAGACAGAAGCATTCTCAGAAACGTCTTTGTGATGTTTCCATTCAACTCATAGAGTTGAACATTCCCTTTCAGAGAGCAGCTTTGAAGCACTCTTTTTGTAGTATGTGCAAGTGGATATTTGGAGCGCTCTGAGGCCTACGGTGAAAAAGCAAATATCTTCCCATAACCAGTAGACAGAAACATTCTCAGAAACTCCTTTATGACGTATGTACTCAACTAACAGAGAAAAACCTTCCTTTTGACAGAGCAGTTTTGATACACTCTTTTTGTAGAATCTGCAAGTGGATATTTGGATAGCTGTGAAGATTTCGTTGGAAACGGGAATATCTTCCTATAAAATCTAGACAGAAGCATTCTCAGAAACTGCTCTGTGATGTCTGCATTCAAGTCACAGAGTTGAACATTGCCTTTCATAGAGGAGGTTTCAAACACTCTTTTTGTAGTATATGGAAGTGGACGTTTCAGACGGTTTGAGGCCCATGGTGATAAAGGGAATATCTTCCCCTACAAGCTAGAAAGAAGCATTCTGTGAAACTTGTTTGTGATGTGTGTACTCAACTAACAGAGTTGAACCTTTCTTTTTACAGAGCAGTTTTGAAACACTCTTTTTGTAGAATCTGCGAGGGTATATTTGGATACATTTCAGGATTTCGTTGGAAACGGGAATATCTTCATATAAAATCTCGACAGAAGCATTCTCAGAAACTTCTTTGTGATATGTGCATTCAAGTCACAGAGTTGAATATTCCCTTTCACAGAGTAGGTTTGAAACACTCTTTTTGTAGTATCTGGAAGTGGATATTTGGAGCGCCTTGACGCCTACGGTGAAAAGGGAAATATCTTCCCATAAAAACTAGACAGAAGCAATCTCAGAATCTTCTTTGGGATATATGCACGCAGTTAACAGAGTTGAACCTTTCTATTGACAGAGCAGTTTTGAAACAGTCTTTCTGTGGAATCTGCAAGTGGATATTTGGATAGCTTGGAGGATTTCGTTGGAAACGGGATTACCGTATAGAAAGTAGACAGCAGCATCGTCAGAAACTTCTTTGTGATGTGTGCATTCAAGTCACAGAGTTGAACATTCCCTTTCGTACAGCAGTTTTGAAACACTCTTTCTGTAGTATCTGGAAGTGAACATTAGGACAGCTTTCAGCTCTATGGTGAGAAAGGAAATATCTTCAAATAAAAACTAGACAGAAGCATTCTCATAAACTTGTTTGTGATGTGTGAAATCAGCTAACAGACGTGGATCTTTCTTTTGATATAGCAGTTTTGAAAAACACTTTTTGTTGAATCTGCAAGTGGACATTTGGATAGATTTGAAGATTTCGTTGGAAACGGGAATATCTTCATATCAAATCTAGACAGAAGCATTCTCGGAAACGTCTTTGTGATGTTTGCATTCAACTCATAGAGTTGAACATTCCGTTTCAGAGAGCAGCTTTGAAGCACTCTTTTTGTAGTATGTGCAAGGGGATATTTGGAGCGCTCTGAGTCCTAAGGTGAAAAAGCAAATATCTTCCCATAACCAATAGACAGAAACATTCTCAGAAACCCCTTTATGACGTATGTACTCAAATAACAGAGAAGGACCGTCCTTTTGACAGAGCAGTTTTGATACACTCTTTTTGTAGAATCTGCAAGAGGATATTTGGATAGCTGTGAAGATTTCGTTGGAAACGGGAATACCTTCCTATAAAATCTAGACAGAAGCATTCTCAGAAACTGCTCTGTGATGTCTGCATTCAAGTCACAGAGTTGAACATTGCCTTTCCTAGAGCAGGTTTGAAACGCTCTTTTTGTAGTATATGGAAGTGGATGTTTCGGACGGTTGGAGGCCCATGGTGATAAAGGGAAAATCTTCCCCTACAAGCTAGAAAGAAGCATTCTGTGAAACTTGTTTGTGATGTGTGTACTCAACTAACACAGTTGAACCTTTCTTTTTACAGAGCAGTTTTGAAACACTCTTTTTGTAGAATCTGCGAGGGGATATTTGGATAGATTTCAGGATTTCGTTGGAAACGGGAATATCTTCATATAAAATCTCGACAGAAGCATTCTCAGAAACTTCTTTGTGATATCTGCATTCAAGTCACAGAGTTGAATATTCCCTTTCACAGAGTAGGTTTGAAACACTCTTTTTGTAGTATCTGGAAGTGGACATTTGGAGCGCCGTGACACCTACGGTGAAAAGGGAAATATCTTCCCATAAAAACTAGACAGAAGCAATCTCAGAATCTTCTTTGGGATATATGCACGCAGCTAACAGAGTTGAACCTTTCTATTGACAGAGCAGTTTAGAAACAGTCTTTCTGTGGAATCTGCAAGTGGATATTTGGATAGCTTGGAGGATTTCGTTGGAAACGGGATTACGTATAAAAAGTAGACAGCAGCATCCTCAGAAACTTCTTTGTGATGTGTGCATTCAAGTCACAGAGTTGAACATTCCCTTTCGTACAGCAGTTTTGAAACACTCTTTCTGTAGTATCTGGAAGTGAACATTAGGACAGCTTTCAGGTCTATGGGGAGAAAGGAAATATCTTCAAATAAAAACTAGACAGAAGCATTCTCATAAACTTCTTTGTGATGTGTGAACTCAGCTAACAGAGGTGGATCTTTCTTTTGATAGAGCAGTTCTGAATAACACTTTTTGTTGAATCTGCAAGTGGACATTTGGATAGATTTGAAGATTTCGTTGGAAACGGGAATATCTTCATATCAAATCTAGACAGAAGCATTCTCAGAAACGTCTTTGTGATGTTTGCATTCAACTCATAGAGTTGAACATTCCGTTTCAGAGAGCAGCTTTGAGGCACTCTTTTTCTAGTATGTGCAAGTGGATATTTGGAGCGCTCTGAGGCCTACGGTGAAAAAGCAAATATCTTCCCATA
Source organism: Homo sapiens (assembly GCF_000001405.40). Taxonomy (NCBI): domain Eukaryota; kingdom Metazoa; phylum Chordata; class Mammalia; order Primates; family Hominidae; genus Homo; species Homo sapiens. The sequence goes on from NC_000013.11 coordinate 16,849,607, forward strand.
ACCACTAGACCGAAACATTCTCAGAAACTCCTTTATGACGTATGCACTCACCTAACAGAGAAGAACCTTCCTTTTGACAGAGCAGTTTTGATACACTCTTTTTGTAGAATCTGCAAGTGGATACTTGGATAGCTGTGAAGATTTCGTTGGAAACGGGAATATCTTCCTATAAAATCTAGACAGAAGCATTCTCAGAAACTGCTATGTGATGTCTGCATTCAAGTCACAGAGTTGAACATTGCCTTTCCTAGAGCAGGTTTGAAACACTCTTTTTGTAGTATATGGAAGTGGACGTTTCGGACGGTTTGAGGCCCATGGTGATAAAGGGAATATCTTCCCCTACAAGCTAGAAAGAAGCATTCTGTGAAACTTGTTTGTGATGTGTGTACTCAACTAACAGAGTTGAACCTTTCTTTTTACAGAGCAGTTTTGAAACACTCTTTTTGTAGAATCTGCGAGGGGATATTTGTATAGATTTCAGGATTTCGTTGGAAACGGGAATATCTTCATATAAAATCTCGACAGAAGCATTCTCAGAAACTTCTTTGTGATATGTGCATTCAAGTCACAGAGTTGAATATTCCCTTTCACAGAGTAGGTTTGAAACACTCTTTTTGTAGTATCTGGAAGTGGACATTTGGGGCGCCTTGACGCCTATGGTGAAAAGGGAAATATCTTCCCATAAAAACTAGACAGAAGCAATCTCAGAATCTTCTTTGGGATATATGCACGCAGCTAACAGAGTTGAACCTTTCTATTGACAGAGCAGTTTTGAAACAGTCTTTCTGTGGAATCTGCAAGTGGATATTTGGATAGCTTGGAGGATTTCGTTGGAAACGGGATTACGTATAAAAAGTAGACTGCAGCATCCTCAGAAACTTCTTTGTGATGTGTGCATTCAAGTCACAGTGTTGAACATTCCCTTTCGTACAGCAGTTTTGAAACACTCTTTCTGTAGTATCTGGAAGTGAACATTAGGACAGCTTTCAGGTATATGGTGAGAAAGGAAATATCTTCAAATAAAAACTAGACAGAAGCATTCTCATAAACTTGTTCGTGATGCGTGAACTCAGCTAACACACGTGGATCTTTCTTTTGATAGAGCAGTTCTGAAAAACACTTTTTGTTGAATCTGCAAGAGGACATTTGGATAGATTTGAAGATTTCGTTGGAAACGGGAATATCTTCATATCAAATCTAGACAGAGGCATTCTCAGAAACGTCTTTGTGATGTTTGCATTCAACTCATAGAGTTGAACATTCCCTTTCAGAGAGCAGTTTTGAAGCACTCTTTTTGTAGTATGTGCAAGTGGATATTTGGAGCGCTCTGACGCCTACGGGGAAAAAGCAAATATCTTCCCATAACCACTAGACAGAAACATTCTCAGAAACTCCTTTATGACGTATGCACTCACCTAACAGAAGAAGAACCTTCCTTTTGACAGAGCAGTTTTGATACACTCTTTTTGTAGAATCTGCAAGAGGATATTTGGATAGCTGTGAAGATTTCGTTGGAAACGGGAATATCTTCCTATAAAATCTAGACAGAAGCATTCTCAGAAACTGCTCTGTGATGTCTGCATTCAAGTCACAGTGTTGAACGTTGCCTTTCATAGAGCAGGTTTCAAACACTCTTTTTTTAGTATATGGAAGTGGACGTTTCGGACGGTTTGAGGACCATGGTGATAAAGGAAATATCTTCCCCTACAAGCTAGAAAGAAGCATTGTGTGAAACTAGTTTGTGATGTGTGTACTCAACTAACAGAGTTGAACCTTTCTTTTTACAGAGCAGTTTTGAAACACTCTTTTTGTAGAATCTGCGAGGGGATATTTGGATACATTTCAGGATTTCGTTGGAAACGGGAATATCTTCATATAAAATGTCGACAGAAGCATTCTCAGAAACTTCTTTGTGATATCTGCCTTCAAGTCACAGAGGTGAATATTCCCTTTCACAGAGTAGGTTTGAAACACTCTTTTTGTAGTATCTGGAAGTGGACATTTGGAGCGCCTTGACGCCTACGGTGAAAAGGGAAATATCTTCCCATAAAAACTAGACAGAAGCAATCTCAGAATCTTCTTTGGGATATATGCACGCAGCTAACAGAGTTGAACCTTTCTATTGACAGAGCAGTTTTGTAACAGTTTTTCTGTGGAATCTGCAAGTGGATATTTGGATAGCTTGGAGGATTTCGTTGGAAACGGGTTTACGTATAAAAAGTAGACAGTAGCATCCACAGAAACTTCTTTGTGATGTGTGCATTCATGTCACAGTGTTGAACATTCCCTTTCGTACAGCAGTTTTGAAACACTCTTTCTGTAGTATCTCTAAGTGAACATTAGGACATCTTTCAGGTCTATGGTGAGAAAGGAAATATCTTCAAATAAAAACTAGACAGAAGCATACTCATAAACTTGTTTGTGATGTGTGCACTCAGCTAACAGAGGTGGATCTTTCTTTTGATAGAGCAGTTCTGAAAAACACTTTTTGTTGAATCTGCAAGTGGACATTTGGATAGATTTGAAGATTTCGTTGGAAACGGGAATATCTTCATATCAAATCTAGACAGAAGCATTCTCAGAAACGTCTTTGTGATGTTTGCATTCAACTCATGGAGTTGAACATTCGGTTTCAGAGAGCAGCTTTGAGGCACTCTTTTTGTAGTATGTGCAAGTGGATATTTGGAGCGCTCTGAGGCCTACGGTGAAAAAGCAAATATCTTCCCATAACCACTAGACAGAAACATTCTCAGAAACTCCTTTATGACGTATGCACTCACCTAACAGAAAAGAACCTTCCTTTTGACAGAGCAGTTTTGATACACTCTTTTTGAAGAATCTGCAAGTGGATATTTGGATAGCTGTGAAGATTTCGTTGGAAACGGGAATATCTTCCTATAAAATCTAGACAGAAGCATTCTCAGAAACTGCTCTGTGATGTCTGCATTCAAGTCACAGAGTTGAACATTGCTTTTCATAGAGCGGGTTTGAAACGCTCTTTTTGTAGTATATGGAAGTAGACGTTTCGGACGGTTTGAGGCCCATGGTGATAAAGGGAATATCTTCCCCTACAAGCTAGAAAGAAGCATTCTGTGAAACTTGTTTGTGATGTGTGTACTCAACTAACAGAGTTGAACCTTTCTTTTTACAGAGCAGTTTTGAAACACTCTTTTTGTAGAATCTGCGAGGGGATATTTGGATAGATTTCACGATTTCGTTGGAAACGGGAATATCTTCATATAAAATCTCGACAGAAGCATTGTCAGAAACTTCTTTGTGATATGTGCATTCAAGTCACAGAGTTGAATATTCCCTTTCACAGAGTAGGTTTGAAACACCCTTTTTGTAGTATCTGGAAGTGGACATTTGGAGCGCCTTGACACCTACGGTGAAAAGGGAAATATCTTCCCATAAAAACTAGACAGAAGCAATCTCAGAATCTTCTTTGGGATATATGCACGCAGCTAACAGAGTTGAACCTTTCTATTGACAGAGTAGTTTTGAAACAGTCTTTCTGTGGAATCTGCAAGTGGATATTTGGATAGCTTGGAGGATTTCGTTGGAAACGGGATTACGTATAAAAAGTAGACAGCAGCATCCTCAGAAACTTCTTTGTGATGTGTGCATTCAAGTCACAGAGTTGAACATTCCCTTTTGTACAGCAGTTTTCAAACACTCTTTCTGTAGTATCTGGAAGTGAACATTAGGACAGCTTTCAGCTCTATGGTGAGAAAGGAAATATCTTCAAATAAAAACTAGACAGAAGCATTCTCATAAACTTGTTTGTGATGTGTGAACTCAGCTAACAGAGGTGGATCTTTCTTTTGATAGAGCATTTCTGAAAAACACTTTTTGTTGAATCTGCAAGTGGACATTTGGATAGATTTGAAGATTTCGTTGGAAACGGGAATATCTTCATATCAAATCTAGACAGCAGCATTCTCAGAAACGTCTTTGTGATGTTTGCATTCAACTCATAGAGTTGAACATTCCCTTTCAGAGAGCAGCTTTGAAGCACTCTTTTTGTAGTATGTGCAAGTGGATATTTGGAGCGCTCTGAGGCCTACGGTGAAAAAGCAAATATCTTCCCATAACCACTAGGCAGAAACATTCTCAGAAACTCCTTTATGACGTATGCACTCACCTAACAGAGAAGAACCTTCCTTTTGACACAGCAGTTTTGATACACTCTTTTTGTAGAATCTGCAAGTGGATATTTGGATAGCTGTGAATATTTCGTTGGAAACGGGAATATCTTCCTATAAAATCTAGACAGAAGCATTCTCAGAAACTGCTCTGTGATGTCTGTATTCAAGTCACAGAGTTAAACATTGCCTTTCATAGAGCAGGTTTGAAACGCTCTTTTTGTAGTATATGGAAGTGGATGTTTCGGACGGTTGGAGGCCCATGGTGATAAAGGGAATATCTTCCCCTACAAGCTAGAAAGAAGCATTCTGTGAAACTTGTTTGTGATGTGTGTACTCAACTAACAGAGTTGAACCTTTCTTTTTACAGAGCAGTTTTGAAACACTCTTTTTGTAGAATCTGCGAGCGGATATTTGGATACATTTCAGCATTTCGTTGGAAACGGGAATATCTTCATATAAAATCTCGACAGAAGCATTCTCAGAAACTTCTTTGTGATATGTGCATTCAAGTCACAGAGTTGAATATTCCCTTTCACACAGTAGGTTTGAAACACTCTTTTTGTAGTATCTGGAAGTGGACATTTGGAGCGCCTTGACGCCTACGGTGAAAAGGGAAATATCTTCCCATAAAAACTAGACAGAAGCAATCTCAGAATCTTCTTTGGGATATATGCACGCAGCTAACAGAGTTGAACCTTTCTATTGACAGAGCAGTTTTGAAACAGTCTTTCTGTGGAATCTGCAAGTGGATATTTGGATAGCTTGGAGGATTTCGTTGGAAAAGGGATTACGCATAAAAAGTAGACAGCAGCATCCTCCGAAACTTCTTTGTGATGTGTGCATTCAAGTCACAGAGTTGAACATTCCCTTTCGTACAGCCGTTTTGAAACACTCTTTCTGTAGTATCTGGAAGAGAACATTAGGACAGCTTTCAGCTCTATGGTGAGAAAGGAAATATCTTCAAATAAAAACTAGACAGAAGCATTCTCATAAACTTGTTTGTGAAGTGTGAACTCAGCTAACACAGGTGGATCTTTCTTTTGATACAGCAGTATTGAAAAACACTTTGTTGAATCTGCAAGTGGACATTTGGATAGATTTGAAGATTTCGTTGGAAACGGGAATATCTTCATATCAAATCTAGACAGAAGCATTCTCAGAAACGTCTTTGCGATGTTTGCATTCAACTCATAGAGTTGAACATTCCGTTTCAGAGAGCAGCTTTGAGGCACTCTTTTTGTAGTATGTGCAAGTGGATATTTGGAGCGCTCTGAGGCCTACGGTGAAAAAGCAAATATGTTCCCATAACCACTAGACAGAAACATTCTCAGAAACTCCTTTATGATGTATGCACTCACCTAACAGAGAAGAACCTTCCTTTTGACAGAGCAGTTTTGATACACTCTTTTTGTAGAATCTGCAAGTGGATATTTGGATAGCTGTGAAGGTTTCGTTGGAAACGGGAATATCTTCCTATAAAATCTAGACAGAAGCATTCTCAGAAACTGCTCTGTGATGTCTGCATTCAAGTCACAGAGTTGAACATTGCCTTTCATAGAGCAGGTTTGAAACGCTCTTTTTGTAGTACATGGAAGTAAACGTTTCGGACGGTTTGAGGCCCATGGTGATAAAGGGAATATCTTCCCCTACAAGCTAGAAGGAGCATTCTGTGAAACTTGTTTGTGATGTGTGTACTCAACTAACAGAGTTGAACCTTTCTTTTTACAGAGCAGTTTTGAAACACTCTTTTTGTAGAATCTGCGAGGGGATATTTGGATAGATTTCAGGATTTCGTTGGAAACTGGAATATCTTCATAGAAAATCTCGACAGAAGCATTCTCAGAAACTTCTTTGTGATATGTGCATTCAAGTCACAGAATTGAATATTCCCTTTCACAGAGTAGGTTTGAAACACTCTTTTTGTAGTATCCGGATGTGGACATTTGGAGCACCTTGACGCCTACGGTGAAAAGGGAAATATCTTCCCATAAAAACTAGACAGAAACAATCTCAGAATCTTCTTTGGGATATATGCACGCAGCTAACAGAGTTGAACCTTTCTATTGACAGAGCAGTTTTGAAACAGTCTTTCTGGGGAATCTGCAAGTGGATATTTGGATAGCTTGGAGGATTTCGTTGGAAACGGGATTACGTATAAAAAGTAGACAGCAGCATCCTCAGAAACTTCTTTGTGATGTGTGCATTCAAGTCACAGAGTTGAACATTCCCTTTCGTACAGCAGTTTTGAAACACTCTTTCTATAGTATCTGGAAGTGAACATTAGGACAGCTTTCAGCTCTATGGTGAGAAAGGAAATATCTTCAAATAAAAACTAGACAGAAAGCATTCTCATAAACTTGTTTGTGATGTGTGAACTCAGCTAACAGAGGTGGATCTTTCTTTTGATAGAGCAGTTCTGAAAAACACTTTTTGTTGAATCTGCAAGTGGACATTTCGATAGATTTGAAGATTTCGTTGGAAACGGGAATATCTTCATATCAAATCTAGACAGAAGCATTCTCAGAAACGTCTTTGTGATGTTTGCATTCAACTCATAGAGTTGAACATTCCGTTTCAGAGAGCAGCTTTGAGGCACTCTTTTTGTAGTATGTGCAAGTGGATATTTGGAGCGCTCTGAGGCCTACGGTGAAAAAGCAAGTATCTTCCCATAACCACTAGACAGAAACATTCTCAGAAACTCCTTTATGACGTATGCACTCACCTAACAGAGAAGAACCTTCCTTTTGACAGAGCAGTTTTGATACACTCTTTTTGTAAAATCTGCAAGTGGATATTTGGATAGCTGTGAAGATTTCGTTGGAAACGGGAATATCTTCCTATAAAATCTAGACAGAAGCATTCTCAGAAACTGCTCTGTGATGTCTGCATTCAAGTCACAGAGTTGAACATTGCCTTTCATAGAGCAGGTTTGAAACGCTCTTTTTGTAGTATATGGAAGTAGACGTTTCGGACGGTTTCAGGCCCATGGTGATAAAGGGAATATCTTCCCCTACAAGCTAGAAAGAAGCATTCTGTGAAACTTGTTTGTGATGTGTGTACTCAACTAACAGAGTTGAACCTTTCTTTTTACAGAGCAGTTTTGAAACACTCTTTTTGTAGAATCTGCGAGGGGATATTTGGATACATTTCAGCATTTCATTGGAAACGGGAATATCTTCATATAAAATCTCGACAGAAGCATTCTCAGAAACTTCTTTGTGATATGTGCATTCAAGTCACAGATTTGAATGTTCCCTTTCACAGAGAAGGTTTGAAACACTCTTTTTGTAGTATCTGGAAGTGGACATTTGGAGCGCCTTGACGCCTACGGTGAAAAGGGAAATATCTTCCCATAAAAACTAGACAGAAGCCATCTCAGAATCTTCTTTGGGATATATGTACGCAGCTAATAGAGTTGAACCTTTCTATTGACAGAGCAGTTTTGAAACAGTCTTTCTGTGGAATCTGCAAGTGGATATTTGGATAGCTTGGAGGATTTCGTTGGAAACGGGATTACGTATAAAAAGTAGACAGCAGCATCCTCTGAAACTTCTTTGTGATGTGTGCATTCAAGTCACAGAGTTGAACATTCCCTTTCGTACAGCAGTTTTGAAACACTCTTTCTGTAGTATCTGGAAGTGAACATTAGGACAGCTTTCAGGTCTATGGTGAGAAAGGAAATATCTTCAAATAAAAACTAGACAGAAGCATTCTCATAAACTTGTTTGTGATGTGTGAACTCAACTAACATAGGTGGATCTTTCTTTTCATACAGCAGTTTTGAAAAACACTTTTTGTTGAACCTGCATGTGGACATGTGGATAGATTTGAAGATTTCGTTGGAAACGGGAATATCTTCATGTAAAATCTAGACAGAAGCATTCTCAGAAACGTCTTTGTGATGTTTGCATTCAACTCATAGAGTTGAACATTCCCTTTCAGAGAGCAGCTTTGAAGCACTCTTTTTGTAGTATGTGCAAGTGGATATTTGGAGCGCTCTGAGGCCTACGGTGAAAAAGCAAATATCTTCCCATAACCACTACACAGAAACATTCTCAGAAACTCCTTTATGACGTATGCACTCACCTAACAGAGAAGAACCTTCCGTTTGACAGAGCAGTTTTGATACACTCTTTTTGTAGAATCTGCAAGTGGATATTTGGATAGCTGTGAAGATTTCGTTGGAAACGGGAATATCTTCCTATAAAATCTAGACAGAAGCATTCTCAGAAACTGCTCTGTGATGTCTGCATTCAAGTCACAGAGTTGAACATTGCCTTTCATAGAGCAGGTTTGAAACGCTCTTTTTATAGTATATGGAAGTGGACTTATCGGACGGTTTGAGGCCCATGGTGATAAAGGGAATATCTTCCCCTACAAGCTAGAAAGAAGCATTGTGTGAAACTTGTTTGTGATGTGTGTACTCAACTAACAGAGTTGAACCTTTCTTTTTACAGAGCAGTTTTGAAACACTCTTTTTGTAGAATCTGCGAGGGGATATTTGGATAGATTTCAGGATTTCGTTGGAACCGGGAATATCTTCATATAAAATCTCGACAGAAGCATTCTCAGAAACTTCTTTGTGATATCTGCATTCAAGTCACAGAGTTGAATATTCCCTTTCACCGAGTAGGTTAGAAACACTCTTTTTGTAGAATCTGGAAGTGGACATTTGGAGCGCCTTGACGCCTACGGTGAAAAGGGAAATATCTTCCCATTAAAACTAGACAGAAGCAATCTCAGAATCTTCTTTGGGATATATGCACGCAGCTAACAGAGTTGAACCTTTCTATTGACAGAGCAGTTTTGAAACAGTCTTTCTGTGGAATCTGCAAGTGGATATTTGGGATAGCTTGGAGGATTTCGTTGGAAACGGGATTACGTATAAAAAGTAGACAGCAGCATCCTCAGAAACTTCTTTGTGATGTCTGCATTCAAATCACAGAGTTGAACATTCCCTTTCGTACAGCAGTTTTGAAACACTCTTTCTGTAGTATCTGGAAGTGAACATTTGGACAGCTTTCAGGTCTATGGTGAGAAAGGAAATATCTTCAAATAAAAACTAGACAGAAGCATTCTCATAAACTTGTTTGTGATGTGTGAACTCAGCTAACAGACGTGGATCTTTCTTTTGATAGAGCAGTTTTGAAAAACACTTTTTGTTGAATCTGCAAGTGGACATTTGGATAGATATGAAGATTTCGTTGGAAACGGGAATATCTTCATATCAAATCTAGACAGAAGCATTCTCAGAAACGTCTTTGTGATGTTTGCATTCAACTCATAGAGTTGAAAATTCCGTTTCAGAGAGCAGCTTTGAAGCACTCTTTTTGTAGTATGTGCAAGTGGATATTTGGAGCGCTCTGAGGCCTACGGGGAAAAAGCAAATATCTTCCCATAACCACTAGACAGAAACATTCTCAGAAACTCCTTTATGACGTATGCACTCACCTAACAGGAGTAAGAACCTTCCTTTTGACAGAGCAGTTTTGATACACTCTTTTTGTAGAATCTGCAAGTGGATATTTGGATAGCTGTGAAGATTTCGTTGGAAACGGGAATATCTTCCTATAAAATCTATACAGAAGCATTCTCAGAAACTGCTTTGTGATGTCTGCATTCAAGTCACAGAGTTGAACATTGCCTTTCCTAGAGCAGGTTTGAAATGATCTTTTTTAGTATATGGAAGTGGACGTTTCAGACGGTTTGAGGCCCATGGTGTTAAAGGGAATATCTTCCCCTACAAGCTAGAAAGAAGCATTCTGTGAAACTTGTTTGTGATGTGTGTACTCAACTAACAGAGTTGAACCTTTCTTTTTACAGAGCAATTTTGAAACACTCTTTTTGTAGAATCTGCGAAGGGATATTTGGATAGATTTCAGGATTTCGTTGGAAACGGGAGTATCTTCATATAAAATCTCGACAGAAGCATTCTCAGAAACTTCTTTGTGATATCTGCATTCAAGTCACAGAGTTGAATATTCCCTTTCACAGAGTAGGTTTGAAACACTCTTTTTGTAGTATCTGGAAGTGGACATTTTGAGCGCCTTGACACCTACGGTAAAAAGGGAAATATCTTCCCATAAAAACTAGACAGAAGCAATCTCAGAATTTTCTTTGGGATATATCCACGCAGCTAACAGAGTTGAACCTTTCTATTGACAGAGCAGTTTTGAAACAGTCTTTCTGTGGAATCTGCAAGTGGATATTTGGATAGCTTGGAGGATTTCGTTGGAAACGGGATTACGTATAAAAAGTAGACAGCAGCATCCTCAGAATCTTCTTTGTGATGTGTGCATTCAAGTCACAGAGTTGAACATTCCCTTTCGTACAGCAGTTTTGAAACACTCTTTCTGTAGTATCTGGAAGTGAACATTAGGACAGCTTTCAGCTCTATGGTGAGAAAGGAAATATCTTCAAATAAAAACTAGACAGAAGCATTCTCATAAACTTGTTTGTGTTGTGTGAACTCAGCTAACAGAGGTGGATCTTTCTTTTGATAGAGCAGTTCTGAAAAACACTTTTTGTTGAATCTGCAAGTGGACATTTGGATAGATTTGAAGATTTCGTTGGAAACGGGAATATCTTCGTATCAAATCTAGACAGAAAGCATTCTCAGAAACGTCTTTGTGATGTTTGCATTCAACTCATAGAGTTGAACATTCCGTTTCAGAGAGCAGCTTTGAAGCACTCTTTTTGTAGTATGTGCAAGTGGATATTTGGAGCGCTCTGAGGCCTACGGTGAAAAAGCAAATATCTTCCCATAACCACTAGACAGAAACATTCTCAGAAACTCCTTTATGACGTATGCACTCACCTAACAGAGAAGAACCTTCCTTTTGACAGAGCAGTTTTGATACACTCTTTTTGTAGAATCTGCAAGTGGATATTTGGATAGCTGTGAAGATTTCGTTGGAAACGGGAACATCTTCCTATAAAATCTAGACAGAAGCATTCTCAGAAACTGCTCTGTGATGTCTGCATTCAAGTCACAGAGTTGAACATTGCCTTTCATAGAGCAGGTTTGAAACGCTCTTTTTGTAGTATATGGAAGTGGATGTTTCGGACGGTTTGAAGCCCATGGTGATAAAGGGAATATCTTCCCCTACAAGCTAGAAAGAAGCATTCTCATAAACTTGTTTGTGATGTGTGTACTCAACTAACAGAGTTGAACCTTTCTTTTTACAGAGCAGTTTTGAAACACTCTTTTTGTAGAATCTGCAAGGGGATATTTGGATACATTTCAGGATTTCGTTGGAAACGGGAATATCTTCATATAAAATCTCGACAGAAGCATTCTCAGAAACTTCTTTGTGATATGTGCATTCAAGTCACAGAGTTGAATATTCCCTTTCACAGAGTAGGTTTGAAACACTCTTTTTGTAGTATCTGGAAGTGGACATTTGGAGCGCCTTGACGCCTACGGTGAAAAGGGAAATATCTTCTCATAAAAATTAGACAGAAGCAATCTCAGAATCTTCTTTGGGATATATGCACGCAGTTAACAGAGTTGAACCTTTCTATTGACAGAGCAGTTTTGAAACAGTCTTTCTGTGGAATCTGCAAGTGGATATTTGGATAGCTTGGAGGATTTCGTTGGAAACGGGATTACGTATAGAAAGTAGACAGCAGCATCCTCAGAAACTTCTTTGTGATGTGTGCATTCAAGTCACAGAGTTGAACATTCCCTTTCGTACAGCAGTTTTGAAACACTCTTTCTGTAGTATCTGGAAGTGAACATTAGGACAGCTTTCAGGTCTATGGTGAGAAAGGAAATATCTTCAAATAAAAACTACACAGAAGCATTCTCATAAACTTGTTTGTGATGTGTGAACTCAGCTAACAGAGGCGGATCTTTCTGTTGATAGAGCAGTTCGGAAAAACACTTTTTGTTGAATCTGCAAGTGGACATTTGGATAGATTTGAAGATTTCGTTGGAAACGGGAATATCTTCATATCAAATCTAGACAGAAGCATTCTCAGAAACGTCTTTGTGATGTTTGCATTCAACTCATAGAGTTGAACATTCCGTTTCAGAGAGCAGCTTTGAGGCACTCTTTTTGTAGTATGTGCAAGTGGATATTTGGAGCGCTCTGAGGTCTACGGTGAAAAAGCAAATATCTTCCCATAACCACTAGACAGAAACATTCTCAGAAACTCCTTTATGACGTATGCACTCACCTAACAGAGAAGAACCTTCCTTTTGACAGAGCAGTTTTGATACACTCCTTTTGTAGAATCTGCAAGTGGATATTTGGATAGCTGTGAAGATTTCGTTGGAAACGGGAATATCTTCCTATAAAATCTAGACAGAAGCATTCTCAGAAACTGCTCTGTGATGTCTGCATTCAAGTCACAGAGTTGAACATTGTCTTTCATAGAGCAGGTTTGAAACGCTCTTTTTGTAGTATATGGAAGTGGATGTTTCGGACGGTTGGAGGCCCATGGTGATAAAGGGAATATCTTCCCCTACAAGCTAGAAAGAAGCATTCTGTGAAACTTGTTTGTGCTGTGTGTACTCAACTAACAGAGTTGAACCTTTCTTTTTACAGAGCAGTTTTGAAACACACTTTTTGTAGAATCTGCGAGGGGATATTTGGATAGATTTCAGGATTTCGTTGGAAACGGGAATATCTTCATATAAAATCTCGACAGAAGCATTCTCAGAAACTTCTTTGTGATATCTGCATTCAAGTCACAGAGTTGAATATTCCCTTTCACAGAGTAGGTTTGAAACACTCTTTTTGTAGTATCTGGAAGTGGACATTTGGAGCGCCTTGACACCTACGGTGAAAAGGGAAATATCTTCTCATAAAAACTAGACAGAAGCAATCTCAGAATCTTCTTTGTGATATATGCACGCAGCTAACAGAGTTGAACCTTTCTATTGACTGAGCAGATTTGAAACAGTCTTTCTGTGGAATCTGCAAGTGGATATTTGGATAGATTGGAGGATTTCGTTGGAAACGGGATTACGTATAAAAAGTACACAGCAGCATCCTCAGAAACATCTTTGTGATGTGTGCATTCAAGTCACAGAGTTGAACATTCCCTTTCGTACAGCAGTTTTGAAACACTCTTTCTGTAGTATCTGGAAGTGAACATTAGGACAGCTTTCAGGTCTATGGTGAGAAAGAAAATATCTTCAAATAAAAACTAGACAGAAGCATTCTCATAAACTTGTTTTGGATGTGTGAACTCAGCTAACAGAGGTGGATCTTTCTTTTGATAGAGCAGTTCTGAAAAACACTTTTTGTTGAATCTGCAAGTGGACATTTGGATAGATTTGAAGATTTCTTTGGAAACGGGAATATCTTCATATCAAGTCTAGACAGAAGCATTCTCAGAAACGTCTTTTTGATGTTTGCATTCAACTCATAGAGTTGAACATTCCCTTTCAGAGAGCAGCTCTGAAGCACTCTTTTTGTAGTATGTGCAAGGGGATATTTGGAGCGCTCTGAGGCCTACGGTGAAAAACCAAATATCTTCCCATAACGACTAGACAGAAACATTCTCAGAAACTCCTTTATGAAGTATGTACTCAACTAACAGAGAAGAACCTTCCTTTTGACAGAGCAGTTTTGATACACTCTTTTTGTAGAATCTGCAAGTGGATATTTGGATAGCTGTGAAGATTTCGTTGGAAACGGGAATATCTTCCTATAAAATCTAGACAGAAGCATTCTCAGAAACTGCTCTGTGATGTCTGCATTCAAGTCACAGAGTTGAACATTGCCTTTCATAGAGCAGGTTTCAAACACTCTTTTTTTAGTATATGGAAGTGGACCTTTCGGACGGTTTACGGCCCATGGTGATAAAGGAAATATCTTCCCCTACAAGCTAGAAAGAAGCATTCTGTGAAACTTGTTTGTGATGTGTGTACTCAACTAACAGAGTTGAACCTTTCTTTTTACAGAGCAGTTTTGAAACACTCTTTTTGTAGAATCTGCGAGGGGGTATTTAGATAGATTTCAGGATTCCGTTGGAAACGGGAATATCTTCATATAAAATCTCGACAGAAGCATTCTCAGAAACTTCATTGTGATATCTGCATTCAAGTCACAGAGTTGAATATTCCCTTTCACAGAGTAGGTTTGAAACACTCTTTTTGTAGTATCTGGAAGTGGACATTTGGAGCGCCTTGACGCCTACGGTGAAAAGGGAAATATCTTCCCATAAAAACTAGACAGAAGCAATCTCAGAATCTTCTTTGGGATATATGTACGCAGCTAATAGAGTTGAACCTTTCTATTGACAGAGCAGTTTTGAAACAGTCTTTCTGTGGAATCTGCAAGTGGATATTTGGATAGATTGGAGGATTTCGTTGGAAACGGGATTACGTATAAAAAGTAGACAGCAGCATCCTCAGAAACTTCTTTGTGATGTGTGCATTCAAGTCACAGAGTTGAACATTCCCTTTCGTACAGCAGTTTTGAAACACTCTTTCTGTAGTATCTGGAAGTGAACATTAGGACCGCTTTCAGGTCTATGGTGAGAAAGGAAATATCTTCAAATAAAAACTAGACAGAAGCATTCTGATATACTTGTTTGTGAAGTGTGATCTCAGCTAACAGAGGTGGATCTTTCTTTTGATAGAGCAGTTCTGAAAAACACTTTGTTGAATCTGCAAGTGGACATTTGGATAGATTTGAAGATTTCGTTGGAAACGGGAATATCTTCATATCAAATCTAGACAGAAGCATTCTCAGAAACGTCTTTGTGATGTTTGCATTCAACTCATAGAGTTGAACATTCCGTTTCAGAGAGCAGCTTTGAAGCACTCTTTTTGTAGTATGTGCAAGTGGATATTTGGAGCGTTCTGAGGCCTACGGGGAAAAAGCAAATATCTTCCCATAACCACTAGACAAAAACATTCTCAGAAACTCCTTTATGACGTTTGTACTCACCTAACAGAGAAGAACCTTCCTTTTGACAGAGCAGTTTTGATACACTCTTTTTGTAGAATCTGCAAGTGGATATTTGGATAGCTGTGAAGATTTCGTTGGAAACGGGAATATCTTCCTATAAAATCTAGACAGAAGCATTCTCAGAAACTGCTCTGTGATGTCTGCATTCAAGTCACAGAGTTGAACATTGCTTTTCATAGAGCAGGTTTGAAACGCTCTTTTTGTAGTATATGGAAGTAGAAGTTTCGGACGGTTTGAGGCCCATGGTGATAAAGGGAATATCTTCCCCTACAAGCTAGAAAGAAGCATTCTGTGAAACTTGTTTGTGATGTGTGTACTCAACTAACAGAGTTGAACCTTTCTTTTTACAGAGCAGTTTTGAAACACTCTTTCTGTAGAATCTGCGAGGGGATATTTGGATAGATTTCAGGATTTCGTTGGAAACGGGAATATCTTCATAGAAAATCTCGACAGAAGCATTCTCAGAAACTTCTTTCTGATATCTGCATTCAAGTCACAGAGTTGAATATTCCCTTTCACAGAGTAGGTTTGAAACACTCTTTTTGTAGTATCTGGAAGTGGACATTTGGAGCGCCTTGACACCTACGGTGAAAAGGGAAATATCTTCCCATAAAAACTAGACAGAAGCAATCTCAGAATCTTCTTTGGGATATATGCACGCAGCTAACAGAGTTGAACCTTTCTATTGACAGAGCAGTTTTGAAACAGTCTTTCTGTGGAATCTGCAAGTGGATATTTGGATAGCTTGGGGGATTTCTTTGGAAACGGGATTACGTATAAAAAGTAGATAGCAGCATCCTCAGAAACTTCTTTGTGATGTGTGCATTCAAGTCACAGAGTTGATCATTCCCTTTCGTACAGCAGTTTTGAAACACTCTTTCTGTAGTATCTGGAAGTGAACATTAGGACAGCTTTCAGGTCTATGGTGAGAAAGGAAATATCTTCAAATAAAAACTAGACAGAAGCATTCTCATAAACTTCTTTGTGATGTGTGAACTCAGCTAACAGAGGTGGATCTTTCTTTTGATAGAGCAGTTCTGAAAAACACTTTTTGTTGAATCTGCAAGTGGACATTTTGATAGATATGAAGATTTCGTTGGAAACGGGAATATCTTCATATCAAATCTAGACAGAAGCATTCTCGGAAACGTCGTTGTGATGTTTGCATTCAACTCATAGAGTTGAACATTCCGTTTCAGAGAGCAGCTTTGAGGCACTCTTTTTGTAGTATGTGCAAGTGGATATTTGGAGCGCTCTGAGGCCTTCGGTGAAAAAGCAAATATCTTCCCATAACCACTAGACAGAAACATTCTCAGAAACTCCTTTATGACGTATGCACTCACCTAACAGAGAAGAACCTTCCTTTTGACAGAGCAGTTTTGATACACTCTTTTTGTAGAATCTGCAAGTGGATATTTGGATAGCTGTGAAGATTTCGTTGGAAAAGGGAATATCTTCCTATAAAATCTAGACAGAAGCATTCTCAGAAACTGCTCTGTGATGTCTGCATTCAAGTCACAGAGTTGAAAATTACCTTTCATAGAGCAGGTTTGAAACGCTCTTTTTGTAGTATATGGAAGTGGATGTTTCGGACGGTTGGAGGCCCATGGTGATAAAGGGAATATCTTCCCCTACAAGCTAGAAAGTAGCATTCTGTGAAACTTGTTTGTGATGTGTGTACTCAACTAACAGCAGTTGAACCTTTCTTTTCACAGAGCAGTTTTGAAACACTCTTTTCGTAGAATCTGCGAGGGGATATTTGGATAGATTTCAGCATTTCGTTGGAAACGGGAATATCTTCATATAAAATCTCGACAGAAGCATTCTCAGAAACTTCTTTGTGATATGTGCATTCAAGTCACAGAGTTGAATATTCCCTTTCACAGAGTAGGTTTGAAACACTCTTTTTGTAGTATCTGGAAGTGGATATTTGGAGCGCCTTGACACCTACGGTGAAAAGGGAGATATCTTCCCATAAAAACTAGACAGAAGCAATCTCAGAATCTTCTTTGGGATATATGCACGCAGCTAACAGAGTTGAACCTTTCTATTGACCGAGCAGTTTTGAAACAGTCTTTCTGTGGAATCTGCAAGTGGATATTTGGATAGCTTGGAGGATTTCGTTGGAAACGGGATTAAGTATAAAAAGTAGACAGCAGCATTCTCAGAAACTTCGTTGTGATGTGTGCATTCATGTCACAGAGTTCAACATTCCCTTTCATACAGCAGGTTTCAAACACTCTTTCTGTAGTATCTAGAAGTGAACATTAGGAGAGCTTTCAGGTCTGCGGTGAGAAAGGAAATATCTAAAAATAAAAACTAGACAGGAAGCATTCTCATAATCTTGTTTGTGATGTCTGAACTCAGCTAACAGAGGTGGATCTTTCTTTTGATAGAGCAGTTCTGAAAAACACTTTTTGTTGAATCTGCAAGTGGACATTTGGATAGATTTGAAGATTTCGTTGGAAACGGGAATATCTTCATATCAAATCTAGACAGAAGCATTCTCAGAAACGTCTTTGTGATGTTTGCATTCAACTCATAGAGTTGAACATTCCCTTTCAGAGAGCAGCTTTGAAGCACTCTTTTTGTAGTATGTGCAAGTGGATATTTGGAGTGCTCTGAGGCCTACGGTGAAAAAGCAAATATCTTCCCATAACCACTAGACAGAAACATTCTCAGAAACTCCTTTATGACGTATGCACTCACCTAACAGAGAAGAACCTTCCTTTTGACAGAGCAGTTTTGATACACTCTTTTTGTAGAATCTGCAAGTGGATATTTTGATACCTGTGAATATTTCGTTGGAAACGGGAATATCTTCCTATAAAATCTAGACAGAAGCATTCTCAGAAACTGCTCTGTGATGTCTGCATTCAAGTCACAGAGTTGAAAATTGCCTTTCATAGAGCAGGTTTGAAACGCTCTTTTTGTAGTATATGGAAGTGGATGTTTCGGACGCTTGGAGGCCCATGGTGATAAAGGGAATATCTTCCCCTACAAGCTAGAAAGAAGCATTCCTGTGAAACTTGTTTGTGATGTGTGTACTCAACTAACAGAGTTGAACCTTTCTTTTTACAGAGCAGTTTTGAAACACTCTTTTTGTAGAATCTGCGAGGGGATATTTGGATACATTTCAGGATTTCGTTGGAAACGGGAATATCTTCATATAAAATCTCGACAGAAGCATTCTAAGAAACTTCTTTGTGATATCTGCATTCAAGTCACAGAGTTGAATATTCCCTTTCACAGAGTAGGTTTGAAACACTCTTTTTGTAGTATCTGGAAGTGGACATTTGGAGCGCCTTGACGCCTACGGTGAAAAGGGAAATATCTTCCCATAAAAACTAGACAGAAGCAATCTCAGAATCTTCTTTGGGATATATGCACGCAGCTAACAGAGTTGAACCTTTCTATTGACAGAGCAGTTTTGAAACAGTCTTTCTGTGGAATCTGCAAGTGGATATTTGGATAGCTTGGAGGATTTCTTTGGAAATGGGACTACGTGTAAAAAGTAGACAGCAGCATCCTCAGAAACTTCTTTGTGATGTGTGCATTCAAGCCACAGATTTGAACATTCCCTTTCGTACAGCAGTTTTGAAACACTCTTTCTGTAGTATCTGGAAGTGAACATTAGGACAGCTTTCAGGTCTATGGTGAGAAAGGAAATATCTTCAAATAAAAACTAGACAGAAGCATTCTCATAAACTTGTTTGTGATGTGTGAACTCAGCTAACAGAGGTGGATCTTTCTTTTGATAGAGCAGTTCTGAAAAACACGTTTTGTTGAATCTGCAAGTGGACATTTGGATAGATTTGAAGATTTCTTTGGAAAAGGGAATATCTTCATATCAAATCTAGACAGAAGCATTCTCAGAAACGTCTTTGTGATGTTTGCATTCACCTCATAGAGTTGAACATTCCGTTTCAGAGAGCAGCTTTGAAGCACTCTTTTTGTAGTATGTGCAAGTGGATATTTGGAGCGCTGTGAGGCCTACAGTGAAAAAGCAAATATCTTCCCATAACCACTAGACAGAAACATTCTCAGAAACTCCTTTATGACGTATGTACTCACCTAACAGAGAAGAACCTTCCTTTTGACAGAGCAGTTTTGATACACTCTTTTTGTAGAATCTGCAAGTGGATATTTGGATAGCTGTGAAGATTTCTTTGGAAACGGGAATATCTTCCTATAAAATCTAGACAGAAGCATTCTCAGAAACTGCTCTGTGATGTCTGCATTCAAGTCACAGAGTTGAACATTGCCTTTCATAGAGCAGGTTTGAAACGCTCTTTTTGTAGTATATGGAAGTGGACATATCGGACGGTTTGAGGCCCATGGTGATAAAGGGAATATCTTCCCCTACAAGCTAGAAAGAAGCATTCTGTGAAACTTGTTTGTGATGTGTGTACTCAACTAATAGAGTTGAACCTTTCTTTTTACAGAGCAGTTTTGAAACACTCTTTTTGTAGAATCTGCGAGGGGATATTTGGATAGATTTCAGGATTTCGTTGGAAACGGGAATATCTTCATTTAAAATCTCGACAGAAGCATTCTCAGAAGCTTCTTTGTGATATGTGCATTCAAGTCACAGAGTTGAATATTCCCTTTCACAGAGTAGGTTTGAAACACTCTTTTTGTATTATCTGGAAGTGGACATTTTGAGCACCTTGACGCCTACGGTGAAAAGGGAAATATCTTCTCATAAAAAGTAGACAGAAGCAATCTCAGAATCTTCTTTGGGATATATGTACGCAGCTAATAGAGTTGAACCTTTCTATTGACAGAGCAGTTTTGAAACAGTCTTTCTGGGGAATCTGCAAGTGGATATTTGGATAGCTTGGAGGATTTCGTTGGAAACGGGATTACGTATAAAAAGTAGACAGCAGCATCCTCAGAAACATCCTTGTGATGTGTGCATTCAAGTCACAGAGTTGAACATTCCCTTTCGTACAGCAGTTTTGAAACACTCTTTCTGTAGTATCTGGAAGTGAACTTTAGGACAGCTTTCAGGTCTATAGTGAGAAAGGATATATCTTCAAATAAAAACTAGATGGAAGAATTCTGATAAACTTGTTTGTGAAGTGTGAACTCAGCTAACAGAGGTGGATCTTTCTTTTGATACAGCAGTTTTGAAAAACACTTTGTTGAATCTGCAAGTGGACATTTGGATAGATTTGAAGATTTCGTTGGAAACAGGAATATCTTCATATCAAATCTAGACAGAAGCATTCTCAGAAACGTCTTTGTGATGTTTGCATTCAACTCATAGAGTTGAACATTCCGTTTCAGAGAGCAGCTTTGAAGCACTCTTTTTGTAGTATGTGCAAGTGGATATTTGGAGCGCTGTGATGCCTACGGTGAAAAAGCAAATATCTTCCCATAACCACTAGACAGAAACATTCTCAGAAACTCCTTTATGACGTATGCACTCACCTAACAGAAAAGAACCTTCCTTTTGACAGAGCAGTTTTGATACACTCTTTTTGTAGAATCTGCAAGTGGATATTTGGATAGTTGTGAAGATTTCGTTGGAAACAGGAATATCTTCCTATAAAATCTAGACAGAAGCATTCTCAGAAACTGCTCTGTGATGTCTGCATTCAAGTCACAGAGTTGAACATTGCCTTTCATAGAGCAGGTTTGAAATGCTCTTTTTGTAGTATATGGAAGTGGACGTTTCAGACGGTTTGAGGCCCATGGTTTTAAAGGGAATATCTTCCCCTACAAGCTAGAAAGAAGCATTCTGTGAAACTTGTTTGTGATGTGTGTACTCAACTAACAGAGTTCAACCTTTCTTTTTACAGAGCAGTTTTGAAACACTCTTTTTGTAGAATCTGCGAGGGGATATTTGGATACATTTCAGGATTTCGTTGGAAACGGGAATATCTTCATATAAAATCTCGACAGAAGCATTCTCAGAAGCTTCTTTGTGATATGTGCATTCAAGTCACAGAGTTGAATATTCCCTTTCACAGAGTAGGTTTGAGACACTCTTTTTGTAGTATCTGGAAGTGGACATTTGGAGCACCTTGACGCCTACGGTGAAAAGGGAAATATCTTCTCATAAAAAGTAGACAGAAGCAATCTCAGAATCTTCTTTGGGATATATGTACGCAGCTAACAGAGTTGAACCTTTCTATTGAGAGAGCAGTTTTGAAACAGTCTTTCTGTGGAATCTGCAAGTGGATATTTGGATAGCTTGGAGGATTTCGTTGGAAACGGGATTACGTATAAAAAGTAGACAGCAGCATCCTCAGAAACTTCTTTGTGATGTGTGCATTCAAGTCACAGAGTTGAACTTTCCCTTTCGTACAGCAGTTTTGAAACACTCTTTCTGTAGTATCTGGAAGTGAACATTAGGACAGCTTTCAGGTCTATGGTGAGAAAGGAAATATCTTCAAATAAAAACTAGACAGAAGCATTCTCATAAACTGGTTTGTGATGTGTGAACTCAGCTAACAGAGGTGGATCTTTCTTTTGATAGAGCAGTTCTGAAAAACACTTTTTGTTGAATCTACAAGTGGACATTTGGATAGATTTGAAGATTTCGTTGGAAACGGGAATATCTTCATATCAAATCTAGACAGAAGCATTCTCAGAAACGTCTTTGTCATGTTTGCATTCAACTCATAGAGTTGAATATTCCCTTTCAGAGAGCAGCTTTGAAGAACTCTTTTTGTAATATGTGCAAGTGGACATTTGGAGCGCTATGAGGCCTACGGGGAAAAAGCAAATATCTTCCCATAACCACTAGACAGAAATATTCTCAGAAACTCCTTTATGACGTATGCACTCAGCTAACAGAGAAGAACCTTCCTTTTGACAGAGCAGTTTTGATACACTCTTTTTGTAGAATCTGCAAGTGGATATTTGGATAGCTGTGAAGATTTCGTTGGAAACGGGAATATCTTCCTATAAAATCTAGACAGAAGCATTCTCAGAAACTGCTCTGTGATGTCTGCATTCAAGTCACAGAGTTGAACATTGCCTTTCCTAGAGCAGGTTTGAAACGCTCTTTTTGTAGTATATGGAAGTGGACGTTTCCGACGCTTTGAGGCCCATGGTGATAAAGGGAATATCTTCCCCTACAAGCTAGAAAGAAGCATTCTGTGAAACTTGTTTGTGATGTGTGTACTCAATTAACAGAGTTGAACCTTTCTTTTTACAGAGCAGTTTTGAAACACTCTTTTTGTAGAATCTGCGAGGGGATATTTGGATACATTTCAGGATTTCGTTGGAAACGGGAATATCTTCATATAAAATCTCGACAGAAGCATTCTCAGAAGCTTCTTTGTGATATGTGCATTCAAGTCACAGAGTTGAATATTCCCTTTCACAGAGTAGGTTTGAAACACTCTTTTTGTAGTATCTGGAAGTGGACATTTGGAGCACCTTGACGCCTACGGTGAAAAGGGAAATATCTTCTCATAAAAAGTAGACAGAAGCAATCTCAGAATCTTCTTTGGGATATATGTACGCAGCTAACAGAGTTGAACCTTTCTATTGACAGAGTAGTTTTGAAACAGTCTTTCTGTGGAATCTGCAAGTGGATATTTGGATAGCTTGGAGGATTTCGTTGGAAACGGGATTACGTATAAAAAGTAGACAGCAGCATCCTCAGAAACTTCTTTGTGATGTGTGCATTCATGTCACAGTGTTGAACATTCCCTTTCGTACAGCCGTTTTGAAACACTCTTTCTGTAGTATCTCTAAGTGAATATTAGGACATCTTTCAGGTCTATGGTGAGAAAGGAAATATCTTCAAATAAAAACTAGACAGAAGCATTCTCATAAACTTGTTTGTGATGTGTGAACTCAGCTAACAGAGGTCTATCTTTCTTTTGATAGAGCAGTTCTGAAAAACACTTTTTGTTGAATCTGCAAGTGGACATTTGGATAGATTTGAAGATTTCGTTGGAAACGGGAATATCTTTATATCAAATCTAGACAGAAGCATTGTCAGAAACGTCTTTGTGATGTTTGCATTCAACTCATAGAGTTGAACATTCCCTTCCAGAGAGTAGCTTTGAAGCACTCTTTTTGTAGCATGTGCAAGTGGACATTTGGAGCGCCCTGAGGCCTACGGGGAAAAAGCAAATATCTTCCCATAACCACTAGACAGAACATTCTCAGAAACTCCTTTATGACGTATGCACTCACCTAACAGAGAAGAACCTTCCTTTTGACAGAGCAGTTTTGATACACTCTTTTTGTAGAATCTGCAAGTGGATATTTGGATACCTGTGAAGATTTCGTTGGAAACGGGAATATCTTCCTATAAAATCTAGACAGAAGCATTCTCAGAAACTGCTCTGTGATGTCTGCATTCAAGTCACAGAGTTGAACATTGCCTTTCATAGAGCAGGTTTGAAACGCTCTTTTTGTAGTATATGGAAGTGGACTTATCGGACGGTTTAAGGCCCATGGTGATAAAGGGAATATCTTCCCCTACAAGCTAGAAAGAAGCATTCTGTGAAACTTGTTTGTGATGTGTGTACTCAACTAACAGAGTTGAACCTTTCTTTTTACAGAGCAGTTTTGAAACACTCTTTTTGTAGAATCTGCGAGGGGATATTTGGATAGATTTCAGGAATTTCGTTGGAAACGGGAATATCTTCATATATAAATCTCGACAGAAGCATTCTCAGAAACTTCTTTGTGATATGTGCATTCACGTCACAGAGTTGAATATTCCCTTTCACAGAGTAGGTTTGAAACACTCTTTTTGTAGTATCTGGAAGTGGACATTTGGAGCGCCTTGACGCCTACGGTGAAAAGGGAAATATCTTCCCATAAAAACTAGACAGAAGCAATCTCAGAATCTTCTTTGGGATATATGCACGCAGCTAACAGAGTTGAATCTTTCTATTGAGAGAGCAGATTTGAAACAGTCTTTCTGTGGAATCTGCAAGTGGATATTTGGATAGATTGGAGGATTTCTTTGGAAATGGGATTACGTATAAAAAGTAGACAGCAGCATCCTCAGAAACTTCTTTGTGATGTGTGCATTCAAGTCACAGAGTTGAACATTCCCTTTCGTACAGCAGTTTTGAAACACTCTTTCTATAGTATCTGGAAGTGAACATTAGGACAGCTTTCAGGTCTATGGTGAGAAAGGAAATATCTTCAAATAAAAATTAGACAGAAGAATTCTGATAAACTTGTTTGTGAAGTGTGAACTCAGCTAACACAGGTGGATCTTTCTTTTGATACAGCAGTTTTGAAAAACACTTTGGTGAATCTGCAAGTGGACATTTGGATAGATTTGAAGATTTCGTTGGAAACGGGTATATCTTCATAACAAATCTAGACAGAAGCATTCTCAGAAAACGTCTTTGTGATGTTTGCATTCAACTCATAGAGTTGAACATTCCGTTTCAGAGAGCAGCTTTGAGGCACACTTTTTGTAGTATGTGCAAGTGGATATTTGGAGCGCTCTGAGGCCTACGGTGAAAAAGCAAATATCTTCCCATAACCACTAGACAGAAACATTCCCAGAAACTCCTTTATGACGTATGCACTCACCTAACAGAGAAGAACCTTCCTTTTGACAGAGCAGTTTTGATACACTCTTTTTGTAGAATCTGCAAGTGGATATTTGGATAGCTGTGAAGGTTTCGTTGGAAACGGGAATATCTTCCTATAAAATCTAGACAGAAGCATTCTCAGAAACTGCTCTGTGATGTCTGCATTCAAGTCACAGAGTTGAACATTGCCTTTCATAGAGCAGGTTTGAAATGCTCTTTTTGTAGTATATGGAAGTGGACGTTTCGGACGGTTTGAGGCCCATGGTGATAAAGGGAATATCTTCCCCTACAAGCTAGAAAGAAGCATTCTGTGAAACTTGTTTGTGATGTGTGTACTCAACTAACAGAGTTGAACCTTTCTTTTTACAGAGCAGTTTTGAAACACTCTTTTTGTAGAATCTGCGAGGGGATATTTGGATAGATTTGAGGATTTCGTTGGAAACGGGAATATCTTCATAGAAAATCTCGACAGAAACATTCTCAGAAACCTCTTTGTGATATCTGCATTCAAGTCACAGAGTTGAATATTCCCTTTGACAGAGTAGGTTTGAAACACTCCTTTTGTAGTATCTGGAAGTGGACATTTGGAGCACCTTGACGCCTACGGTGAAAAGGGAAATATCTTCCCATAAAAACTAGACAGAAGCAATCTCAGAATCTTCTTTGGGATATATGCACGCAGCTAACAGAGTTGAACCTTTCTATTGACAGAGCAGTTTTGAAACAGTCTTTCTGTGGAATCTGCAAGTGGACATTTGGACAGCTTGGAGGATTTCGTTGGAAACGGGATTACGTATAAAAAGTAGACAGCAGCATCCTCAGAAACTTCTTTGTGATGTGTGCATTCAAGTCACAGAGTTGAACATTCCCTTTCGTACAGCAGTTTTGAAACACTCTTTCTATAGTATCTGGAAGTGAACATTAGGACAGCTTTCAGGTCTATGGTGAGAAAGGAAATATCTTCAAATAAAAACTAGACAGAAGCATTCTCATAAACTTGTTTGTGATGTGTGAACTCAGCTAACAGACGTGGATCTTTCTTTTGATACAGCAGTTTTGAAAAACACTTTTTGTTGAATCTGCAAGTGGACATTTGGATAGATTTGAAGATTTCGTTGGAAACGGGAATATCTTCCTATAAAATCTAGACAGAAGCATTCTCAGAAACGTCTTTGTGATGTTTGCATTCAACTCATGGAGTTGAACATTCCGTTTCAGAGACCAGCTTTGAAGCACTCTTTTTGTAGTATGTGCAAGTGGATATTTGGAGCGCTCTGAGGCCTACGGTGAAAAAGCAAATATCTTCCCATAACCACTAGACAGAAACATTCTCAGAAACTCCTTTATGACGTATGTACTCAACTAACAGAGAAGAACCTTCCTTTTGACAGAGCAGTTTTGATACACTCTTTTTGTAGGATCTGCAAGTGGATATTTGGATAGCTGTGAAGATTTCGTTGGAAACGGGAATATCTTCCTATAAAATCTAGACAGAAGCATTCTCAGAAACCGCTCTGTGATGTCTGCATTCAAGTCACAGAGTTGAACATTGCCTTTCCTAGAGCAGGTTTGAAACGCTCTTTTTGTAGTATATGGAAGTGGACGTTTCGGACGGTTTGAGGCCCATGGTGATAAAGGGAATATCTTCCCCTACAAGCTAGAAAGAAGCATTCTGTGAAACTTGTTTGTGATGTGTGTACTCAACTAACAGCAGTTGAACCTTTCTTTTTACAGAGCAGTTTTGAAACACTCTTTTTGTAGAATCTGCGAGGGGATATTTGGATAGATTTCAGGATTTCGTTGGAAACGGGAATATCTTCATATAAAATCTCGACAGAAGCATTCTCAGAAACTTCTTTGTGATATGTGCATTCAAGTCACAGAGTTGAATATTCCCTTTCACAGAGTAGGTTTGAAACACTCTTTTTGTAGTATCTGGAAGTGGACATTTGGAGCGCCTTGACGCCGACGGTGAAAAGGGAAATATCTTCCCATAAAAACTA
The DNA here is from genome assembly GCF_000001405.40 of Homo sapiens. Taxonomy (NCBI): domain Eukaryota; kingdom Metazoa; phylum Chordata; class Mammalia; order Primates; family Hominidae; genus Homo; species Homo sapiens. Next base: position 16,876,216 of record NC_000013.11, read on the forward strand.
GACAGAAGCAATCTCAGAATCTTCTTTGGGATATATGCACGCAGCTAACAGAGTTGAACCTTTCTATTGACAGAGCAGTTTTGAAACAGTCTTTCTGTGGAATCTGCCAGTGGATATTTGGATAGCTTGGAGGATTTCGTTGGAAACGGGATTAAGTATAAAAAGTAGACAGCAGCATCCTCCGAAACTTCTTTGTGATGTGTGCATTCAAGTCACAGAGTTGAACATTCCCTTTCGTACAGCAGTTTTGAAACACTCTTTCTGTAGTATCTGGAAGTGAACATTAGGACAGCTTTCAGGTCTATGGTGAGAAAGGAAATATCTTCAAATAAAAACTAGACAGAAGCATTCTCATAAACTTGTTTGTGATGTGTGAACTCAGCTAACAGAGGTGGATCTTTCTTTTGATAGAGCAGTTCTGAAAAACACTTTTTGTTGAATCTGCAAGTGGACATTTGGATAGATTTGAAGATTTCGTTGGAAACGGGAATATCTTCATACCAAATCTAGACAGAAGCATTCTCAGAAACGTCTTTGTCATGTTTGCATTCAACTCATAGAGTTGAACATTCCCTTTCAGAGAGCAGCTTTGAAACACTCTTTTTGTAGTATGTGCAAGTGGATATTTGGAGCGCTCTGAGGCCTAAGGTGAAAAAGAAAATATCTTCCCATAACCACTAGACAGAAACATTCTCAGAAACTCCTTTATGACGTATGCACTCACCTAACAGAGAAGAACCTTCCTTTTGACAGAGCAGTTTTGATACACTCTTTTTGTAGAATCTGCAAGTGGATATTTGGATACCTGTGAAGATTTCGATGGAAACGGGAATATCTTCCTATAAAATCTAGACAGAAGCATTCTCAGAAACAGCTCTGTGAAGTCTGCATTCAACTCACAGAGTTGAACATTGCGTTTCATAGAGCAGGTTTGAAACGCTCTTTTTGTAGTATATGGAAGTGGACGTTTCGGACGGTTTGAGACCCATGGTGATAAAGGGAATATATTCCCCTACAAGCTAGAAAGAAGCATTCTGTGAAACTTGTTTGTGATGTGTGTACTCAACTAACAGAGTTGTACCTTTCTTTTCACAGAGCAGTTTTGAAACACTCTTTTTGTAGAATCTGCGAGGGGATATTTGGATAGATTTCAGGATTTCCTTGGAAACGGGAATATCTTCATATAAAATCTCGACAGAAGCATTCTCAGAAACTTCTTTGTGATATCTGCATTCAAGTCACAGAGTTGAATATTCCCTTTCACAGAGTAGGTTTGAAACACTCTTTTTGTAGTATCTGGAAGTGGACTTTTGGAGCACCTTGACACCTATGGTGAAAAGGGAAATATCTTCCGATAAAAACTAGACAGAAGCAATCTCAGAATCTTCTTTGGGATATATGCACGCAGCTAACAGAGTTGAACCTTTCTATTGACAGAGCAGTTTTGAAACAGTCTTTCTGTGGAATCTGCAAGTGGATATTTCGATGGCTTGGAGGATTTCGTTGGAAACGGGATTACGTATAAAAAGTAGACAGCAGCATCCTCAGAAACTTCTTTGTGATGTGTGCATTCAAGTCACAGAGTTGAGCATTCCCTTTCATACAGCAGTTTTGAAACACTCTTTCTGTAGTATCTGGAAGTGAACATTAGGACAGCTTTCAGCTCTATGGTGAGAAAGGAAATATCTTCAAATAAAAACTAGAGAGAAGCATTCTCATAAACTTGTTTGTGATGTGTGAACTCAGCTAACAGAGGTGGATCTTTCTTTGGATAGAGCAGTTCTGAAAAACACTTTTTGTTGAATCTGCAAGTGGACATTTGGATAGATTTGAAGATTTCGTTGGAAACGGGAATATCTTCATATCAAATCTAGACAGAAGCATTCTCAGAAACGTCTTTGTGATGTTTGCATTCAACCCATAGAGTTGAACATTCCGTTTCAGAGAGCAGCTTTGAAGCGCTCTTTTTGTAGTATGTGCAAGGGGATATTTTGAGCGCTCTGAGGCCTAAGGTGAAAAAGCAAGTATCTTCCCATAACCACTAGACAGAAACATTCTCAGAAACTCCTTTATGACGTATGCACTCACCTAACAGAGAAGAAACTTCCTTTTGACAGAGCAGTTTTGATACACTCTTTTTGTAGAATCTGCAAGTGGATATTTGGATAGCTGTGAAGATTTCATTGGAAACGGGAATATCTTCCTGTAAAATCTAGACAGAAGCATTCTCAGAAACTGCTCTGTGATGTCTGCATTCAAGTCACAGAGTTGAACATTGCCTTTCATAGAGCAGGTTTGAAACGCTCTTTTTGTAGTATATGGAAGTGGATGTTTCAGACGGTTTGAGGCCCATGGTGATAAAGGGAATATCTTCCCCTACAAGCTAGAAAGAAGCATTGTGTGAAACTTGTTTGTGATGTGTGTACTCAACTAACAGAGTTGAACCTTTCTTTTTACAGAGCAGTTTTGAAACACTCTTTTTGTAGAAACTGCGAGGGGATATTTGGATACATTTCAGGATTTCGTTGGAAACGGGAATATCTTCATATAAAATCTCGACAGAAGCATTCTCAGAAACTTCTTTGTGATATGTGCATTCAAGTCACAGAGTTGAATATTCCCTTTCACAGAGTAGGTTGGAAACACTCTTTTTGTAGTATCTGGAAGTGGACATTTGGAGCGCCTTGACACCTACGGTGAAAAGGGAAATATCTTCCCATAAAAACTAGACAGAAGCAATCTCAGAATCTTCTTTGGGATATATGCACGAAGCTAACAGAGTTGAACCTTTCTATTGACAGAGCAGTTTTGAAACAGTCTTTCTGTGGAATCTGCAAGTGGATATTTGGATAGCTTGGAGGATTTCGTTGGAAACGGGATTATGTATAAAAAGTAGACAGCAGCATCCTCAGAAACTTCTTTGTGATGTGTGCATTCAAGCCACAGATTTGAACATTCCCTTTCGTACAGCAGTTTTGAAACACTCTTTCTGTAGTATCTGGAAGTGAACATTAGGACAGCTTTCAGGTCCATGGTGAGAAAGGAAATATCTTCAAATAAAAACTAGACAGAAGCATTCTCATAAACTTGTTTGTGATGTGTGAACTCAGCTAACAGAGGTGGATCTTTCTTTTGATAGAGCAGCTCTGAAAAACACTTTTTGTTGAATCTGCAAGTGGACATTTGGATAGATTTGAAGATTTCGTTGGAAACGGGAATATCTTCATATCAAATCTAGACAGAAGCATTCTCAGAAACGTCTTTGTGATGTTTGCATTCAACCCATAGAGTTGAACATTCCGTTTCAGAGAGCAGCTTTGAAGCACTCTTTTTGTAGTATGTGCAAGGGGATATATGGAGCGCTCTGAGGCCTAAGGTGAAAAAGCAAATATCTTCCCATAACCACTAGACAGAAACATTCTCAGAAACTCCTTTATGACGTATGCACTCACCTAACAGAAAAGAACCTTCCTTTTGACAGAGCAGTTTTGATACACTCTTTTTCTGGAATCTGCAAGTGGATATTTGGATAGCTGTGAAGATTTCGTTGGAAACGGGAATATCTTCCTATAAAATCTAGACAGAAGCATTCTCAGAAACTGCTCTGTGATGTCTCCATTCAAGTCACAGAGTTGAACATTGCCTTTCATAGAGCAGGTTTGAAACGCTCTTTTTGTAGCATATGGAAGTGGATGTTTCGGACGGTTGGAGGCCCATGGTGATAAAGGGAATATCTTCCCCTACAAGCTAGAAAGAAGCATTCTGTGAAACTAGTTTGTGATGTGTGTACTCAACTAACAGAGTTGAACCTTTCTTTTTACAGAGCAGTTTTGAAACACTCTTTTTGTAGAATCTGCGAGGGGATATTTGGATAGATTTCAGGATTTCGTTGGAAACGGGAATATCTTCATATAAAATCTCGACAGAAGCATTCTCAGAAACTTCTTTGTGATATGTGCATTCAAGTCACAGAGTTGAATATTCCCTTTCACAGAGTAGGTTTGAAACACTCTTTTTGTAGTATCTGGAAGTGGACATTTGGAGCGCCCTGACGCCTACGGTGAAAAGGAAAATATCTTCTCATAAAAAGTAGACAGAAGCAATCTCAGAATCTTCTTTGGGATATATGCACGCAGCTAACAGAGTTGAACCTTTCTATTGACAGAGCAGTTTTGAAACAGTCTTTCTGTGGAATCTGCAAGTGGATATTTGGATAGCTTGGAGGATTTCGTTGGAAACGGGATTACGTATGAAAAGTAGACAGCAGCATCCTCAGAAACTTCTTTGTGAGGTGTGCATTCAAGTCACAGAGTTGAACATTCGCTTTCGTGCAGCAGTTTTGAAACACTCTTTCTGTAGTATCTGGAAGTGAACATTAGGACAGCTTTCAGGTCTATGGTGAGAAAGGAAATATCTTCAAATAAAAACTAGACAGAAGCATTCTCATAAACTTGTTTGTGATGTGTGAACTCAGCTAACAGAGGTGTATCTTTCCTTTGATAGAGCAGTTCTGAAAAACACGTTTTGTTGAATCTGCAAGTGGACATTTTGATAGATTTGAAGATTTCGTTGCAAACGGGAATATCTTCATATCAAATCTAGACAGAAGCATTCTCGGAAACGTCTTTGTGATGTTTGCATTCAACACATAGAGTTGAACATTCCGTTTCAGAGAGCAGCTTTGAAGCACTCTTTTTGTAGTATGTGCAAGTGGATATTTGGAGCACTCTGAGACCTAGGGTGAAAAAGCAAATATCTTCCCATAACCACTAGACAGAAACATTCTCAGAAACTCCTTTATGACGTATGTACTCAACTAAGAGAGAAGAACTTTCCTTTTGACAGAGCATTTTTGATACACTCTTTTTGTACTATCTGCAAGTGGATATTTGGATAGCTGTGAAGATTTCGTTGGAAACGGGAATATCTTCCTATAAAACCTAGACAGAAGCATTCTCAGAAACTGCTCTGTGATGTCTGCATTCAAGTCACAGAGTTGAACATTGCCTTTCCTAGAGCAGGTTTGAAACGCTCTTTTTGTAGTATATGGAAGTGGACGTTTCGGAGGGTTTGAGACCCATGGTGATAAAGGGAATATATTCCCCTACAAGCTAGAAAGAAGCATTCTGTGAAACTTGTTTGTGATGTGTGTACTCAACTAACAGAGTTGAACCTTTCTTTTTACAGAGCAGTTTTGAAACACTCTTTTTGTAGAATCTGCGAGGGGATATTTGGATAGATTTTAGGATTTCGTTGGAAACGGGAATATCTTCATATAAAATCTCGACAGGAAGCATTCTCAGAAACTTCTTTGTGATATGTGCATTCGAGTCACAGAGTTGAATATTCCCTTTCACAGAGTAGGTTTGAAACACTCTTTTTGTAGTATCTGGAAGTGGATATTTGGAGCGCCTTGACACCTACGGTGAAAAGGGAAATATCTTCCCATAAAAACTAGACAGAAGCAATCTCAGAATTTTCTTTGGGATATATGCACACAGCTAACAGAGTTGAACTTTTCTATTGACATACCAGTTTTGAAACAGTCTTTCTGTGGAATCTGCAAGTGGATATTTGGATAGCTTGGAGGATTTCGTTGGAAACGGGATTACGTATAAAAAGTAGACAGCAGCATCCTCAGAAACTTCTTTGTAATGTGTGCATTCAAGTCACAGAGTTGAACATTCCCTTTCGTACAGCAGTTTTGAAACACTCTTTCTGTAGTATCTGGAAGTGAACATTAGGACAGCTTTCAGCTCTATGGTGAGAAAGGAAATATCTTCAAATAAAAACTAGACAGAAGCATTCTCATAAACTTGTTTGTGATGTGTGAACTCAGCTAACAGAGGTGGATCTTTCTCTTGATAGAGGAGTTCTGAAAAACACTTTTTGTTGAATCTGCAAGTGGACATTTGGATAGATTTGAAGATTTCGTTGGAAACGGGAATATCTTCATAT